>NW_018654717.1:6065947-6367528 GCF_000001405.40 Homo sapiens
CATGTGCATTAGAGCTCCTTAACATATCAACCTCATATATAAAATAGGACTCCTGATATAAGGGCTGATTGTTCTATTAATTGAGTTCAGTCATGCCAATTAAATAGCACATAGAATCTGGAAGGTGCTCAACAATACTAATTCCCTTCCTATAATCTCCAAGGAGTAGTTAAATCAGCATTCCCCAAAGCATGCTCGCTACCAGTTTTTAATAGTTACGGCAAAGAAACGTTTCTGTGATTAAATATATTTGGGCAAAACTGGCTTATACAAAGATAAATCGATCATAGACTTCCCTTGTGCTTTTGTTACCTACGCAAGGGGTGGGCTCAGTCACTTGGTGGATACCAACCCAATGGCCACAACCAAAGAGGCTTTTGCAAAGGGAATGTATTACTTGTAACAAGCAAAGAGAACACCTTGAGGTAGTTTCCAAAGCAGTGTCTTCCTGAGCTGGGGGCTGGGTCACGTCTTATAAGCATAGGGTAATGAGGCATGATCTGACTGGATTTTGCAACAAGATGATTTTGGGAGGCATGATCTGACTGGATCCTGCCATGGGGTGATGCCAGAACTCAATCTGATTGGATCCTGTACCTTGCCATACCGTGTTCCTCCACTTCTTAATTCAGTCCCCTTAATTCAGAGCACTTAGGTTCACCCGGTTGGTGCAGGCTTGGCTCTTCCAGGCATGCTCAGCTTATGTGGCCTAAGGGTCCATGGCAACTGAAAAACAACTCCCAACTTTGTTACATAAAGGCTGAACAAGATTGGCTTGGAGCAGTTACATTTTCCTTTTCCTTTTTTAACTGCAGGGCATCTAGGAAACTTTTATGTGGATTTCTAAAGCACCATTACCCAGTCTTATTTGAATATGGAGTCCTTTCTTCCCGCAAAAGTAACAATCTGCAGGGCACATTTAGGGAAATAGTGGGTTACCCTCCATCGGAGCAATAAATCCTTCAACCATGGCTGCTTTTCTTGTATCTATACCCCACAGTTTTGTGATGGGACTGGTTCTCATATGTTTTAAAGAATTTTAAATGATTTTTAAAAGAAATGTTAATATATTTGAAGGAAAAAGACAATGGTTTGTTATAAACAATAGATATGTTTCTTCTGTTATTAAAACAGAGCCTAGATTTGGTACATAAGTATGTGATGTACTGACACATTTTCAGAGTTTCTAAAAATGTTAAAAACGGAATAATACTAAAAGGCTATTTCGCTTAATCCTTAGCAGGGCACAGCTACTTTCATTAAAATGTTTTCTGGCTCTTTTAGGCTAACAATCTGTGCACTTAGTACTCAGCAAAGTGGTTTACTTTCACCACCAAATCCGCAAAGCTTTCCTTTTTCTCTGACCTTGAAGACATGAGAACTTGGAGAAGAATCTGCTACACAGGTAAGGCATTCACCACTTTCACACTCTTCCAAATGAGCAGGAAAGAAGAAAACTTCAGCCTGTATGAGGAAAAGAGAGGGGAGGGAGACGGGAGAGTAGGGAGCCCGCCTCCATGGGCTGGGACTTGGGCAATTACTCCAAAGGACCTTGGCTTGATTTACGGTTTTGCTGTCACTTATTGAAATTCTGTTTTTTTGTTTGTTTGCTTTGTTTTGTTTTGTTTTTTGTTTTTGACAGAGTCTTGCTCTTTCGCCGAGGCTGGAGTGCAGTGGTGCCGTCTCGGCTCACTGCAACCTCCTCCCAGGTTCAAATGATTTTCCTGCCTCAGCCTCCCGAGTAGCTGGGACTACAGGTGCGTGCCACCACACCCAACTAATTTTTTTTTTAATAGTAGAGATGGGGTTTCGCCTTGTTGGCCAGGCTGGTCTCAAAAACTCCTGACTCAGGTGATCCACCTGCATCAGCCTCCCAAAGTGCTGGGATTACACGTGTGAGTCACCGCACCCAGCCTTGAAATTCTAAATAATTTTTCAACAAATGGTTCCATATTTTTATTTTGCACTGGGCTCCTCAAATTATGTAGCCGGTCCTATAAGGAGGGGGGAAACTTTGAAGAGAGGGCATGGCCTTTTCAGTGTTTGGCAGGTGTGAGTTGACAGCATTTAGCACTGACTGAGGAAGTAAGTGTCTGATCAGAGATCTCAGCCCTAATGCCACAGACAGGAAAAAAAAATTGATAATGCTAAACTGGCATGGCAGGCGGAGAACAAATTGAAGTGATAAATACATATTTTGTGGCTGAGCCTTTCCAAACTGATAAAATATTTGATTTACTATCCCTCTTCTGAAATCCTAAGTAACTTACAGCATCCAAAAGAACAGCCTGGGGGTGGTTATGCTCCTAACAGAAACCCTCTATTTACACAGCCATCAATTTCCCCTAGGGAGGGTTGCCATGGTGAGGTCTGTCACACCCGACAATCACTTCTACACACCATTCATTTAGAAAGTAAGCAATTAAATTCTACCCTAAAAGGACATACAAAAGAGGGATCATTATAGCCATTTTGGATGACTCATTCATTGGGATTAAAAGGTTGAAAGCCTCTTCAGGTCAAAATCATAGCTCCACCACTTATTTCTCATTAAGAATCTTTTTGGGTACTGCATAATTTAAAACCTTAGGGCCACTGTTGCTACAGAGAAAAATTGCAGAACCTAAAAATATTCATGAATTTGACTTTTTAAAACTAGACTTTACAGGATGGACCCAAGAGAAGGGTATTTGTTTTCCAGTCAGTTTCATAAGAGTGGTGAATAAAAGGGAAGCGCTTTCAGATTGTGTCAAGGCAGAAGGCTGGATGAAGGGGATTGGAAAGCTGCTTCTGGGGAAGTGTGAAGAAAATCAAGAGAAGATCTGGTCATAGTGTTCAAAATAGGAGTGCTTCCCAGATGGAGAGGTCAGCAGTGACAAATGCATCACCTCCCAGCAATGTGGGGCATTGCACATACAGAACATTCCAGGTAGGCAAAGTGCAAAACTCCCAGAGTGAAATAGGGAGACCACAAAATGTTACAGGAAGTTCAAGTCAAGCACTGGAACACTGCAGGGATGGTGTTCCCTGGAGTTGTTCTGCAGTGGCCCTTAAATCAGAGAAATGAGAACTATCCCAGGAGAATGCACAGTGCAAGAAGAACATAGAGCTACTGACTCCGGGGAACAGATACCTTTAAGACAGTAAGAAAGATCTTTGAAGAAAGTTGAGGGATTGCTGGAGAGGTAGGAAAGGCAACCAGGAAAGGGTCTTGCTTAAAGGCCTGTGACTGTATTTAAAGAAGTGCTCAACTCTACTAAATGCTGCAGAACGGTCAAGTCAGAAAACAGCTGAAAGATACCTACCAGATGCACCAATTTAAAAACCGACACTGATGACGTTGGAAAACAAAATTTCAATGGAAGGGCTGGATTATAGTGGGTTAAGAAGTGACTGGAAGGTAAAGAAAAGGGGAAAGTGAATGTGGCCCAGCATTTCAAAAATCTGAGTTCTGAATGGGAGAAAAGAAAAAAGACATCATCTCCTAACCCACAGGGGCTGACTGAGCATCCTTAATAGGAGGGAATAGTCCTGAAGATCACAGAAGATGGGAACCCCGACTGCCTTATTCACTGTTACTTCCCCACTGGCGGGTCAGTACCTAGCACAGAAGCACTCACTGGATATTGTGTGAATGGATGACGCTGAGAATGTTTAGATTTTGATACTTTCAGAATGGAGTCTGCATAGAGTTGGCCTTATTACAAGTGGGGAGAAGGGATAGAGAGGGGGAGAAGAGATAAGGGTGGGGAGAGAAAGAGCCCCAGTGTAAACTGCAGTATTCAGCACAATTTGGCCAATACGTATGTGTTCCAAGCTGCTGGATAAGCCAGGGAATCCAGGCTGTTGAGGGAGGGTCAAGAAGTGTCTCAAACAGCAGCAGCACTAGTGGTCATGTGGGCATTAGCAGCACAGCTCTGAAAAGTCATTGGTAGGAACCAAGACAGAATAAAACTCCCGAAGGAATGGGGGATGCAAGATCTCAGCAGGTGACAGGCCACTAACACAGTGCTTGAGAAGTAACACAGGACTCTTCTTCCCCGGAGGGTCATTTGGAGACATATGGAAGTTTAAAGTGGGATCCCACATTTAATGGAGCCCTGAGGATATCGTGGCAGGACTAAGCCTGTAGGATCAAAGTCTTTGTGCCTACAGCTGGGGAGCCTGGAGTAGAAACAATCGGTGGTTAGTCCTAGTTAGCTCAATTTAACAAACATTAATTGAATAGTTCCTATGTTACCAGGAGCCATGGAATCTACTGGACATATTAATGTATATAAAATACCATGTCTGTTCTCCAGACACTCAATATCTAGCATAGGAGACAGACTTATATGCAAATAAACACAACAGAAAGAAGTGATACATACAAAATAGAACCATGTTTAAGATAGCTAGAATAGAAGGATGTGAATTCTGACTGGGGGGATTGGAGGAGGCATCAGAGAGAGGGGCTCTTGAGCAGAATTTTTAATAAAAAGAAGTTAAGTTTTCCAGGCAGACAAAGGAGGAGATGTTCAAAGCACAGGTGTCGTTATCTTGTGCAAAGGTATGGGAGCTTTGATTGTAATATATTCTACTGGACAAAAGTTGGATAATTAACGTGCTTTCCCAAAGCATATGACACAAAAACAGATCAGATCACTTTGAGCCTTTCAAGCTACCAATTATAAAGCCTTCTTTAGCACTACCTGTTCTGTAGTAGAAAGAAGACGTGGCTAGGGTAAGTGGGATGTCCTTGAACAGCACAGCGAGCTTGTAGCTCTAACAAATCCCTGGATCTCCTTTCTTCACCTATAAATAATAGGTAGGCTAGCTTATTCCTATTTAGTCCTAAATGTTCATATTTCTTCTTCCCCCTTTAAAACATTGTTAAGGACTTTTTAGAAAGGTCATCTCTCTGCTGTGTTCTCACAACTAGACATCCCAATCACTGCATCACTGTTACCAAGCAGCAAGGCCTCTTTCCAGTGATGTTAGCCAGGGGAGGTTCGGCTGATCACCCAGGTCCAGGGCAGCACATTCGTTCCCTACTCTTTTTTTTTTTTTTAATTAGTCCCTGTTTCACTGGTGTCTTCCAGACTTCCTTTTCTCTCCCATTTGCTCGGTTCAGCTTTGTTGTTTCAAATAAATCTCCATGGAAGGAAAAATACAGTGATCCTTTAAATCCACGGACTCTTCTAAGCTGAAAGCCCTCCAGATGGCTCATTCTTGCCTCTCTGCTTAATTTCCCCCATCCATCTGAGAAGATGTCTCTTAATCATTCCTACTGCATCTTGATGTCTCTTTTAATCAATGGCTTTTTAAAAGATAAATTACTTTTCAATAATTGTTACTAGGCACTTTGCAAGTTCCTTCACATTTACAAATTACTTTTCAATAATTGTTAATAGACACTTTGCAAGTTCCTTCACATCTTTAGCTTGGGAGAGAAATTTTCTTAGTGGAGCATTTGGACTAGAACAGCCAAACAAATATAATTTTAACTGGTTTTATGACACGACCCTAGAATAATAAAGGTCACTAAGCTATTAGTGAATTTTCATTTACTTTTTGAATATTGTATTGTTCCTGACAGCCAAAAATTTGCTTTGTATCTGCTATTGATTATATTTTGCTTCCTGAACATGTTATGCATAAGGTTACTTTATTTCTAAGTGTGTATCCTTTTTCTCTACTTACTCATTTAATTTTAACTTAACTTCTTATTTCTGTTCTTAAATACATTCCATTGGTAGACATTATCGTTTGAAAACTCCTTTTGGCAATCTCTTTCAAATGGGAGTCTTTGATTTGGTCAGTGCTCTGGCTTTTCAGGGAGGGCTCTGTGAAATGAACCTGCACATCTTTGCAACTTCTGAGATTTTCCCCTCCACTCACTAGCTGATGTTCTGAGCCCTTTCCTGGTTTGGTTGGACTGAAAGGTTCCCATGTGTGGCTTTCAGCCATTCCCTAATGCTATTTGATGTTGGTGAATAGTCCAGGTTATAAAGTATTTTGCAAGCTCTCCTTGCGTGGGCACCCTCCTCCCATTTAATTAGCCAGTGGGAAGAAGAGAGGAAAGTATCTCTGGAGAGCAGTCTCCAGATGCCGAGAGCTAATAAATCACTTTCTGCAACACCACGTTTTCTTCTTTACTCAGAATTACTCTTCAATATGTGATTCCAAGCAAGATTTGATTCCTATTTTGCTTTTGTTCTGTAATGCAACTATAGCTGCTTGTCTTTTAGATTTTTCAGTTGCCTGCCTTTCCTGAATTATCTTCTTCACATGATACAACCTATGCAATCCAATTTTACTGAAACTATGTAAAATGATTGTGCCTTGAAGAAAAAACTGCATTTCTACTAGAGCATAGCCATCAGGACTTCAGGTTCTGAGACTCACTTAAATGCCTCTCAAGGATACAGGAGTGAGATGCACCAAGAGGCAATTTGCTCCATCCCTCTTAGGTAGGTTTGGTTAGAAAGGGTGAGCAAATTCCGTGGCTGCTTTACTAATCCTGGAAAGACAGTGTTGTAATAGAGGAACATGTCTCAGAGAGACATGTGTATCCATTACCTTTCAGAGCCATGGCAAAATCAACTCAATTTGGAGATAGTGTCTTTTGTGTCCATTTAAAACAATTTTGAAATTCAACTCATTTTAAATTTATGGACCACAATGGAGTTTTTTACTATATCTGTTAAAATATGGAAACTTTAGCTCATTTCGATAGCATATGCTATATATACACAAATGGAATTTAAGAATGCATTTCATTTTGGGGGGGATACATGAGAACTTAAAAGGCAATGCCATTTAAATTGTGCCCCATTTTTCTCTCAAGCATGGGAGTACTGGGCTGTGAAGTTACCTCCCCATATATGGATAGTAAGACGTTTTTCGACAACCTACAGGATGGGAGAAAATTTTTGCAATCTAGCCATCTGACAAAGGTCTAATATTCAGAATCTACAAGGAATTTAAACAAATTTACAAGAAAAATCAAACAACCTCATTCAAAAATGGGGAAAGGACATGCACAGATGCTTCTCAAGACATTCGTGCAGCCAACACACATATGAAAAAAGCTCAGTATCACTGTTCATTAGAGAAATGCAAATCAAAACCACAATGAGATGCCATCTCACACCAATTAGATTGGCTATTACTACAAAGTAAAAAAAACAAAAACAAAAACAAAGAAACCAACACATGCTGGTGAGGTTATGGAGAAAAAAGAAATGTTTTTACAATGTTGCTGGGAGTATAAATTAGTTCAACCATTGTGGAAGACAGTGTGGTGATTTCTTGAAGACCTAGAGGCAGAAATGCCATTTGACCCAGCAATCCCATAACTGAGTATACACCCAAAGGAATAGAAATCATTCTATTATAAAGATACATGTACACATATGTTCAGTGCAGTACGGTTTACAATAGCAAAATCATGGAATCAACCTAAACGCCTATCAATGATAGACTGGATAAAGAAAATGTGGTGCATATACACAATGGGTTACTATGCAGGCATAAAAAGGAACAAGACTGGCCGGGAGCAGTGGCTCACACCTGTAATCCCAGCACTTTGGGAGGCCGAGGCGGGTGGATCACTTGAGGTCAGGAGTTCGAGACCAACCTGGTTAACATGGTGAAACCCCGTCTCTACTAAAAATACACAAATTAGCCGGGCATGGTGTTGGGTGCCTGTAATCCCAGCTAGTTGGGAGGCTGAGGCAGGAGAATCGCTTGAACCTGGGAGGCGGGGGTTACAGTGAGCCGAGATTGTGCCACTGCACTCCAGCCTGGGCGACAAGCGTGAGACTCTGTCTCAAAAAATAATAATAATAAATAAATAACAAGGAACAAGATCATGTTCTTTGCAGGAACATGGATGGAGCTGGAAGCCATTATCCTCAGCAAGCTAACACAGGAAAAGAAAACCAAACACTGTATGTTCTCACTTATAAGTGGGAGCTGATTGATGAGAACACATGGACACGTAGAGGTGAACAACACACACTGGACAGCTGTGCAGAGCGTTAGGGGAGGGAGAGAATCAGGAGGAATCGCTAATGGATGCTGGGCTTAATATCTAGGTGATGGGATGATCTGTGCAGTAAACCACCAAGGCACACATTTACCTATGTAACAAACCTGCATATCCTGCACAAGTACCCCTGAACTTAAAATAAAAGTTGAAAAACAGAAAAAAAAAAAACCAAAAGAATGACTGTCTTTCTTTGAGAAGCAGTGTGATGTTGTATAGAGAGCCCAGGCTTTGGGAGTCAGACAGAACCGTCATTGAATCCTGGCTCCAGGCTGGCTGTGTAATCCTGAGCACATTGCTTAGGCTCTCTGAATCTGTTTCTTCATAGTCACATTCCTCATGGTCAGTGTGAGAACTGGTAAAGTTAGTATCTATAAAATGCTGAGCATAGAGCCTGGAGGAGAGAGAACCCTTGGTCCTAATCATGCCATACATCAGACAGAGGGGAGCTTTTAAAACGACACCTCTTCATGTCCCGGGAGTGGAGAGTCTCTGAGAAGTAAAAACCACTCTCTTTCAGATTAATGGGGAGTAATCCACCAAATTAGTGAAAATAGAAATAATCAGTTCATCTTAATTTTATAATTTTCAATTACAGAAACTAATTAGGAAGTATTATCCACCTTTTATTGTGTCTCCATTGACAATTTGTTTGTAGACCTTTTTAGCTTTCACTTCTGTGCATTTCCTCTGTCAGGGGCCCTAACACTAGAACACAGTATTCCTTCTCCAAGGTCTTGAACCAGATGACTTCTGAGCATGGTGAGTGAACCTCTCCGATCTGTATCCTAGCCTTCCAGGGACACTCGGTTGTAAGTCTCACAAAATCAAGAAAGGGCCTGGGGCTCAAGGTAAAAATCTGGAAACACTGGAGGCAAATGAAGCCAGAAAGATGGTGAAGTTTTCCGAAGAGATCATAAAAAGAAAGAAAGAGAACTTGGACATAAACCTGAAAAATGTCAGGCTTTAAGAGGAAAAAAGAATAATAGGAGTCCATAAAGAAGACTGAGATGAAACAGAAAGGTAGGAGGAAGTCGCAATCCCAGAAGTCAAGATAAAAGGAAGCCTCTTTTTTAAAGAAAATTAAAATTGAATGTATATTTCTGCTGAGATGATTATGGCATTTCTGTAAATATATTATGAGGAGAGGGTAATCTTTAAAGTTTTTAATCAGGGTAATAATTAAGATCCAGCAATAATGACTGACGTTTGCAAAATATCAAAAACATGTGCATTTTTGTATATAGTATCTGCTACTCAGAG
This sequence comes from Homo sapiens, assembly GCF_000001405.40. Lineage (NCBI taxonomy): Eukaryota > Metazoa > Chordata > Mammalia > Primates > Hominidae > Homo > Homo sapiens. The sequence goes on from NW_018654717.1 coordinate 6,075,243, forward strand.
TAAAAAAGCAATAGACATTTTCACATTTCCTCCAGTTAATATCTTTGAAAACCTGTGAAGGTTTTCTCAAAATGTCAGCAGCCTATGAGTTTCACAATCAACATAACAGAGAGCATTTATTCCAAGATTCTTGTTTCCTTCCAGCACTTTGGCAAAATCAGGAACAATGTATTCCCCATAAAATTGATATCTATCACTTATTCCATCCAATTTGAGACCAGCCTGGCCAACATGATGAAACCCCGTCTCTACTAAAAATACAAAAAATTAGCCAGGTGTGGTGGCGGGTGCCTGTAGTCCCAGCTACTTGGGAGGCTGAGGCAAGAGAATCGCTTGAACCTGGGAGGCGGAAGTTGCAGTGAGCCGAGATTGCGCCACTGAACTCCAGCCTGGGAGACAAAAGCGAAACTCTGTCTCAAAAACACCACCAACAATAAAAAAAGCAAAAATGAAAAGAAACAACTATAGTTGTGCATGTCAGGAAGGCTCTACTGTCTATCAATTGAAGTTTTTTTGCATTTACTGAAGTGAAAATAAACGAGGAGTTTTTAACAAAATACTCAGTGGTATGAGAAGGAAAAGAGCAAAAAGTCAGTTCTCTTTTCTTCCTGCCCTACTTTCTATCAGTCACTCAGTAACTGTTTAACGGTGCTAGGCTGGGAGCAGTGGCTCATGCCTGTAATCCCAGCACCTTGGGAGGCCAAGGTGGGAGGATCACTTGAGGCCAGGAGTAAAGACCAGCCTGGGCAACATAGTGAGATTCCATCTCTATAAAAAATGTTTTAAAATATATTAGCTGGGCATGGTGGCACATGCCTATAATCCCAGCTACTGGGGAGGCTGAGGTGGGAGGATCACTTGAGCCCAGGATTTCCAGGCTGCAGTGACCTATGATTGCACCACTGCACTCCAGCCTGAGGAACAGAGCAAGACTTTGTCCTCAAAAATAGAAAAGAAAATAAAAAGAATGTCCCTTCGTGTCACTCACTGAGCTGGAGATATAAATGAATAAGGTAAGGTATGACTTTCAAGAAGAAGAAGACACGAAGAGAGAAAACCTCCATTTACTGAGGATGTCATGTGTGCCAGGTACCCTCCTAGGCCCTTTACATGCCATAGCAGATCCAGGATTTGGGGAATCAAAAACGTACACAATTTGGGGATCTTCTTTAAGAGAAAGAATATAAAATTTTAAAAAGAAAATTAGGTGCAGGGTCTTAGACAAGCCCTGAATCAGACCACTCTTTTGTGTATAAAACTCGGAAAATCTTCCTTTCACACTTTAAAATCCAAACTCTCTCCCTTGGCTTTGAAAATTCTACATGATTTGGCCTCTTGTAGAAGTCTCTTTGGAGACTCCATATTAAATAAAAGAGTGTATGTTCACCCATTGGAAGTGTCAACCAAATTGATGTTTAACTGACACAGATAGGGAGGCAATCACTAGATCAATGGTTCCCCAAATTCCATTTACCAAAGACTCTTTGGAGTACTCCTTCATCAAAGGAAATCCCAGAACCAGCACCCGTCTCCAGTTACGCTGAATCCAAGCGGCTGTGGGTGTGGCCTCATGAATCTGCATTTTAACTGGGAGCACTGCATGAAAACCTGATGCAGAGAGATAAAGTTTATGATTACAACTCTAAGTCCAGATACAAGATTCAGTGATTTCAAAATCACTAACGGTAGAACTTGGTTTATATTAATTATAAATGGTAAGATGAAACAGTAGACATGGGCCCTAAGACCCTTACCAACTTCAGTCCCAGATTCAGAGGTAACTAAGCTGGGTGTCATTTTTTAAAGTGTCTCAGGTGACACCCAATATACTTCAAGAAGTTTGTGTAGGAAAGAATCCTAACATAAGAACAAGGTCCTCACTATTACCCAGAGTATTATACTGCAGCATCAGTCTCTCAGCAATGAGGCTTGGAGGGTTTTTTGTTTGTTTGTTTTTGGGGGGATGTTTTTTTTTGAGCCGGACTCTTGCTCTGTCACCCAGGCTGGAGTGCAGTGGCGCGATCTTGGCTCACTGCAACCTCCACCTCCCAGGTTCAAGCAATTCTCCTGCCTCAGTGTCCCGAGTAGCTGGGATTACAGGCACGTGCCACCATGCCCTGCTAATTTTTGTATTTTTAGTGGAGACAGGGTTTCATCATGTTGGCCAGGATGGCCTCAATCTCCTGACCTCGTGATCCACCTGTCTCGGCTTCCCAAATGCTGGGATTACAGGCGTGAGACACCGCTCCAGGCATGGGGGGATTTTTTTGAGACAGAGTCTCACTCTGTTGCCCAGGCTGGAGTGCAGTGGCATGATCATGGCTCACTGCAGCCTCAATCTCCCAGGCTCAAGTGATGTTCCCACCTCAGCCTCCTGAGTAACTGGGGCCACAGGCACACACCACCACACCTGGCTATTGCTTGTATTTTTTGTAGAGACAAGGTCTTGCTATGTCACCCGGGCTGGTCTCAAACTCTTGGGCTCAAGTGATCCTCCCAAAGTGCTGGGAATACAGGTGTGAGCCATTGTGAGAAGTCAGGTTTTTGTTTTTCTTATTTCTGCTTTTATTTTAGATTCAGAGAGCATATGTGCAGGATTTTTACCTGAGTATATTACATTAATGCTGAGATTTGGGCTTCTACTGATCCCATCACCCAGATAGTAAACATAGTACCCAACAGGAAGATTTTCAGCCCTTGCTTCCTTCCCTTCTTTTAGAGTCCCCTGTGTTCATTGTTCTCATCTTTATGTGTATGTGTACTTAAGATTTAGCTCCTAATTACAAGTGAGAACATGCTGTATTTGGTTTTCTGTTTCTGTGTTAATTCATTTAGGATAATGGCCTGCAGCTGCATCTGTGTTGCTGCAAGGAACATCATTTCATTCTTTTTTATGGCTGCATAGTATTCCATGGTGTATATGTACCACATTTTCTTTATCCAGTCCACCATTGATGGGCACCTGGGTTGATTCCATGTCTTTGCTATTGTGAATAGCACTGTCATGAACATACAAGTGCATGTGTCATTTTGGTAGGGCTATTTATTTTCCTTTGGGTACCCAGTAATGGGATTTCTGGGTCGAGTGGTAGTTCTATTTTCAGTTCTTTTGCGAAATCTCCAAACTGCTTTTCACAGTGGCTGAACTAATTTACATTCCCACCAACACTGTATAAGTGTTCCTTTTTCTTAGCACCCTCACCAACATTTGTTAGTTTTTGACTTTTTAATAATAGACTTGGAAGCTTTTAAGTTTCCACTGGACACTGGAAAAGGGTAAGGCAGAGAAACATCTCACTAGAAAGAAGTGGTGAAAAAGAAGTGAAGACAGTATTTTTATTTAGGAGGGGGAGTCTTGTTTCATGCCAACAATTAGACTTTACTCACGTATTCTGTCTGCGCTTCCCACATACACTCAAATGCATCTCAACAAACCCTTCTCTTCAGTAAGTAGAATATTTTTCTCTTATTGAGAATGGCAAGTTCCACTTAAACCAAAACAGACGGCATAAAGAACACCGACACCAAGACAGATGGTTATAAAAAACAATGAAAATATTGGAACAAATATTATCAATTTTTTTAGGTACAGATAAGAGCTTGATGAATCCCACATATATTTATCAGCACCAACAACCACTGTCCAAAGGAAAAGTCTTTTCAGCTCTCCCAACACTCACTCCTGTTACACAGAAGCAAATATAAATATGAGAAAAAACAACTACAATCATCAAACATTTTGGAAAAATCAGTATCATGAAAGAATGGCACCAAACTCAGAAGAGCTGACAACTGTGGAAATAAAGATCATACAGGAAACAGAACCATTAACAAACTCAGCCTTTCAAGAAACTATTATAACCACAGGACAACAATGTCAGCCCCAACAAGGAAAACAATTCAAACCAATACAGAAAATGTTTAAAAGTAGGGAAATGTTTGAGCTTTAAATTTATGAATTAGGTGGTTTTCTACTTCACCTATGTGTGGGTAAAGATGTCTTATCTCCTGTGTTCTATAACAGTTTTAGAGACCTAGTGAATCAGAACAAATGTCAGGAGTTGTACACTAAAATATTAATAAGTATAAGCTCAGTTAAACGTGAGTCTTACCTTTTCCACTCACACTGGGCACGTGAATCTTGACAATTTATCTGTGGAAACATCACAATATCTGCTGGTGAGCTGAGCACAGTGCCTTACACCTGTAATCCCAGCAACTTGGGAGGCTAAGGAAGGAAGATTGGTTGAGGCCAGAAATTCGAGGCCAGCCTGGGCAACCCTGTTTCTACAGAAATTTTTTAAAAAATAAGCTAGGTGTGGTCGTACATGCCTCTATTCCTAGCTACTTGGGAGGCTGAGGCAGGAGGATCACTTAAGCCCAGGAGTTCGAGGTTACAGTGAGTTATGATTGTGCCACCACACTCTAGCCTGGTTGACAGCACAAGACCCTGTCTCTTAAAAGAAAAGAGAAGAAAAAAGATATCTGCTGGTAACAATGTCTACAGAACTGGGATTTTAATTTGGGGGTCTTAAAAGACAACATCAGAAGTTAGGGCAATAGACTTATAGTTGGTAAAGACACGTTTTGAACAAAGTAATTAGAACAAAATTATACAGTTTCCACTTGATCCTGTATGTCTCACGTGGAATCAGGGATTTCAGGCACCAGTATTTATAATAGCTTACTACCCCAGATCTAGGCAGTATTAGACCATAAGAAGATTTGCACTGTTTCAATTCACAATGGAGAAAGGATTGTAATTTCCTTGCAAATGTCTCTTTCTTCCCCCTGTACCATACCCCTGTATCTCTTAAGACAACACACACACACACACACACACACACACACACACACACATTCTCTCCCTCTCTCACTCCCTACTTTTTTCCTTCCCACTGAGAGATTCAAACCTTCAAAAAGTCCCAAATTCCTTCCCATTTAATAAAAATGTCCTCCAAATTTAAAATTACTGAGATATAATCTTGAAATATTTTTTGCTCCAGTGCAACAAATAAATAAGTGTAACATTTTGGGAAAGAATTAAAAAAACAAAAATAAGCTGGGAGGATTGACAAGTCTAGCACATTATGATTGAAAGAATTAGGAGGTTTTTGTCAAATGCATAAGGCACAATTTCTTTGGCTCAGATTGTTCTGTCTATATTTCTTCATTTTTCTTATGTAAATACATATAAATTAGTTTTCAGAATTGCTCTGGTGAGGATGGTGTTCAAGTATTAGTTGTAAAGTTTCAGGAAAAGCAGGAAAAAAAAACCTAGTGGAAACCTAGACCTCCTTGGAATCCAACCCAGCATACACACGCACTTTTTGTGAGCTGAGGGAGAGCAGCTCACCAGCACTCCATTTCATATCCATCCTAATTATTGCACAAAATCTCCTAAGGAGATCTAATTGTTAAAAATATAGCATTAGAATGCTTCTTGCTATTTGAACTTTGGTTCTGCTCCAACTAGAACAGAATGAAATGTACTGAAGAACAGGAGGGAACATTGCAACACAGAATGGATCACTGCAAATCCAACCTTTATTAGAATGCTAAAGCTAAAGCACAGATGATTAAATTTTCTGTACCTTTGCCACCTAAGTCAGGCTTCTAGAGCTTTCCCACAGCTATAAGGTATCTTTCTGGTCTGAGGTCTTCTTGTAAGCATACACCCTCAGCAGTCTCTTAGCTACTTTATTATTCATCAGTGGTCTGTTGACATTGAGCCCAGGGCAGACATGAATTTTGCAAAGCAGACACTAAAGGAAACTGATATGGTTTGGCTGTGTCCCTACCCAAATCTCATCTTGAATTGTAGCTCCCATAATCTCCACCTGTCATAGGTGGGACCTGGTGGGAGGTAATTGAATCATGAGGGTGGATTTTTCTTGTGCTTTTCTCAAGATAGTCAATAAGTCTCATGAGATCTGATGGTTTTATAAAGGGGAGTTCTCCTGCACACGCGCACTTGCCTGCTGCCATGTCAGACATGCCTTTGCTCCTCTTTCATCTTCCACCATGACTGTGAGGCATCCCCAACCATGTGGAACTGTGAGTCCGTTAAACTTCTTTTTCTTTATAAATTACCCAGTCTCAGGTATTTCTTCATGGCAGTATGAAAATGGACTAATACAGAGTCTTCCAGATCACTGCCTTCCACCTCCATATTCTCACAGCTGTGAGAGTATTCCTGTAGAGTTACTCTCTGCTGACTGGTTGGATTGTGCTAGTGATAAGATAGCTAAGAAAACATTTTTGGAAAACAGAACAACAGTGATGAGAACAGGAAAAGAACACAGAGGAAGAGCAGACATGAAGGAGAAGCACTGAGGCTGGTCCTCTTTCGGAAGTGGCTGTATGGCTAGGGAAAGCTTCTGGAGTCACTCTCCATCCTAAGTGGAACGGACCTTCTCAATCTGCAGCTCACTGCTTTCTTTAGCCCCTTCTAGCAAAGCACCTGTAATCCTTTGCTTGCATGTATTGTTCACATGTGAACAAAAATTTTCATAAATAAGGCATTAGAAAATGAATTAACAAGAAGAAAAATGTACTTAATATTCTTGCCCTGAGGGTTTTTCCATAATAATCATGGGAAACTGGAAAAGGTCCACACTCAGAAAATACATATTCTTGGTATTGTGAATTCTCATCACTGGATGTCGAAGGAAGATTTTCAGCTCTAAGATTTTAAATAGAATGTCAACTATTTCACCGATTTTCTCTGACTCTAGTGAGGCACATTAACCTTTAGTGTGTTTCTATTTGTAGTTAGAACTTCATTGGAGAGAGAAGTCTTTTGTATGTAATTACAGAGTAAATTCCCATTTATACATAGAAGCCATGTAGAAAGACTAATTTGAATTTTGGGGTGCTACTGAATAAGGGCATGCTACTACCTAAGACCCCAATGTTTATGAACTTTTTAGAGCCTTAAAAATTAGAAAAGTTAGGTTCAGTAATTATGTTTTTTGTTTGTGGGTTTTTGTTTTTTTTTTTTTTCTGAGAGGGAGTCTCACTCTGTTGCCCAGGCTGGAGTGCAGTGGCATGATCTTGGCTCACTGCAACTTCTGCCTCCCAGGTTTAAGTGATTCTCCCACCTCAGTCTCCCAAGTAGCTGGGATTACAGACACATGCCACCATGCCTAGCTAATGTTTGTATTTTTAGTAGAGACAGGGTTTTGCCATGTTGGCCAGGCTGCTCTCAAACTCCTGACCTCAAGCGATCCGCCTGCCTCAGCGTCCCAAAGTGCTGGGATTACAGGTGTGAGCCACTGCACCTGGCCTAGTAATTATGTTTTAATATGCCTAATCAGTTGAAATCTCATATATATATATATGTATAGATATGTAATTGTATGATAATCTGATTAATGAGAATGGGAAAATGCAAGCACATTCCTTTGTTTGGAATAATGATTCTCCATGTATTTTTTTATTTTAAAAAATGGGCACGTAATTAATCATTAAAGACAAATTCAACAATAGTTCAGTCATTATAAGCCATCTATTGTGTTTGTGGTCTGTCCAATTAGAGCAAGTTTCAAATGCTCTCACTGAAATATTTCAGTTGTGTGTGTTCTTCCCTTGGGACCAATGCCTTTGTGTGTGTATGTGTGTGTGTGACAGTGTGAGTGTGTTGTGTGGTGATAAAAAGTGGGTCAAGGGGAGAGATCAGTGGTCTCAACTGGGCATCGAGGCAGAGGGAGGAGCAGGGATTTGCTCCAAAGCTTTTAAGTGAATTGATTCCTTATCTTACACTCCTTTGTTTAGAATTTTTTAATATTACTGAACCTTTGAAACACAGTAGAGCATAAACATTTATTTAATATATACTTAACAATATATACATTATATTTATTTAATATACAATTTCTGAGTACTCCTCTAAAGTTAAAACTCCTTGTCAATTGAGTTTAAAATTCAGTACTCCCATGTAGGTATTTTGGTGTTTTGTGGGGAGGAAAGCTATTTATTTACAAGCTATTTATTTACAGATGTTCTATAACAATGTAGTACAGCAATGGCTCTCAAAGTGGGAATTTTTATTTATTTACTTATTTTTTTGACACGTATTCTTCCTCTGTCACCCAGGCTGGAGTGCAGTGGTGCAATCTTGGCTCACTGCAACCTCCGCCTCCCAGGTTCTACTGCCTCAGCCTCCTGAGTAGCTGGGGCTACAGGTGTGTGCCACCATGCCCAGTTAATTTTTGTATTTTTAGTAGAGACGACGTTTTATCACGTTGGCCAGGCTGGTCTCAAACTCCTGACCTCAAGTGATCACCTTCCTCGGCATCCCAGTGTGCTAGGATTACAGTCAAAGTGGGAATTTAAATATGTATTTGTGGAAGATTGAAGGTTATATGAGAAATGTTAAAACTTTTGTTTCCATTTCATGATGGTTTTTTGTTTGGGGAGGCAAAAGATTATTTAACAGGACATGGAATGTACTATCTATACAAGAAACTATTGATAAATCTAAACTTCGTGAAGGTTAAGAACTTATTTTTAACGACGAAAAGACACCATTCAAAGAGTAAAAAGAGATACTGAAGACTAGGAGAAGATAGTCACAGCATATATACCTGTTAAAAAAACTCATGTTTGGGATAGAAATCCGATAGTTTAATAAGAAAAAGCCAATCCAGGCTGGGCATGGTGGCTCACGCCTGTAATCCCAGCACTTTGGGAGGCCGAGGCAGGTGGATCCCTTGAGGTCAGGAGTTTGAGGCCAGCCTGACCAACATGAAGAAACCCCATCTCTACTAAAAATACAAAAAAAATTAACCGGGCATGGTGGTGCGTGCCGGTAATTCCAGCGACTTGGGAGGCTGAGACTCGAGAATTGCTTGAACCCAGGATGGGGAGGTTGCAGTGAGCTGAGATCATGCCACTGTACTCCAGGCTGGGTGACAGAGTGAGACTGTCAAAAAAAAGAGAAAGAAAGGAAAGAAAGGAAAGAGAGAAAGAGAGAAAGAGACAGAGGGGAAGGGAGGGAGGGAAGGAAGGAAGGAAGGAAGGAAGGAAGGAAGGAAGGAAGGAAGGAAGGAAGGAAGGAAGGAAGGGAGGGACACAATGCAACTTTCAAAAACGGGCAAAAGACTTAAACAGGCCTTAGGCACTTCACTAGAAGATATCCAAATGACCAACAAGCATATGAAAAGAATCTCAACAAAATTAATCATCAGGGAAATGCAAATTTAACCACAATATATTATACACTCTCCAGAATGGCTAAAATGTTCGAAAAGCTGACAATACCCATTCTCTCATACCTTGCTGGCATGAATTTAAATGGTTACAGTTCAGAAAGCTATTTAGCAAAATATCTATTAAGGTTCCATATAGGCCTATCCTATGCCCCAGCAGTTCCACTCCTATTTATTCTAGAGAAATGAGTGCGTATGTCTACCCAATTAATATGTAAGACTTATTCATAATAGTCTAACACTGGAAATCTGTCCATCCCTAGAAATAAATAAGTTTTGGTATATTCATAAATAGCATCTAATAACACATCTATGAAAAAGAACAAACCATATGCAACATGGTTCCATCTCAGAGACATGGTATTGAGGGAAGACAGCCAGGCCCAAAAGAGTATAACTTATATCATTCCACTTACATAGAGTTCAAAAATAGGCAAAATGAACTGACAGCAATAGAAATCAAAACAGCAGTAACCTCTGCAGGGTTGAGTATGAATTGGGAGAGGGTATGGCGGGTGACTTCTAAGGTTCTACAAATGTATTATATTTTGATCTGAATGTTAGTTATGTCAATATATACATTTGTAAAAACTAATCGAGTAGTGCATTTAAGATTTGTGCAGGTGTGTACATTAAAACTAAATAAAATTGCTTTTTAAAGCAAAGATAGAAAATAAAAGCATCAATTAAATTTGAGAAATTGTTCTATAACAAATACTCTGTCAAAAAAAGAAAGAAAGAAGAAGAAAGAAAGAAAGGAGAGAGAAGGAAGGAAGGAAGGAAAGAAGGAAGGAAGGAAGGACAAAAGAGGACAATCTAACTTTCAAAAATGGGCAAAAGATTTAAACTTAAAGTTAAGTTTGAGAAACTGTAACAAATATGAGACCTATACACTCATGCATAAGAGAAGAAAAGCACTAATATTGAAGATAAAATTATTTCAAAAGAAGAACTAGAAATGCATAACATTAAATATACATCATCTTAAATAGAAAATTAGTTGGTATTATAAATATTCACTATCTGGTAGAATATATTTAACATATTTAAATAACATTCCTTTCTTAGAAGGATAAATTCTCTTACAATTATCAATGCAGTCAGTTGTATTTGCATAACTTGACTTTAGCGCAGAGCCCAATTCCATCACGCTATTTTTACATAAATCTGCATCTCTTCCTGCATCATTTTCACTTAATTAATTAACATCTAATTTATAAGCATCTCAACATTTGAAGCATTCTTATAAATAGGGCAAACTAAAATAGATACAAATGTATTTAAACATCTTGCCCATACTTCTCTGAATAAATGGCCCTTTTCTGTTCTATTTAATAATTTCAAAATCTCTTCCCCTGTGAAGCCTTCTTGAGCTGCTTAATTACAAGTAATCCTTCCATTCTTCATGTTCTTATAACATTTTGTTCTAACATCTACGCTATCACCTGTGTCTCTATAAATAATAATTTCTAAGCTGTGAGTTATTTGGGGACAGAAAACAAATTTTATTGATCTTTGAACACTTTTTGCCTTGTACAGGGTAGGCATTCAGCAGATATTTGTTGAATGACTGAATGCATTAATAGACAATTCTCTTTAGAAACTCTACCCGGGAGGCAGAGGCTGCAGTGAGCCGAGATCATGCCACCGCACTCCAGTCTGGGCGACAGAGCAAGACCAAGAAAGAAAAAAAGAAAGGAAAGAAAGAAAGCAAAGAAAGAAAGAGAGAGAGAGAGAAGAAAGAAAGACAGAGAGAGGAACGAAGGAAGGAAGGAAGGAAGGAAGGAAGGAAGGAAGGAAGGAAGGAAGGAAGGAAGGAAGGAAGGAAGGAAAAGAGAAACTCTACATCAGAATCTTGGGATGTATTTACCAATTTTGGAATTAATGATTGCACAACTTAGTCATTAGTTCACTAAACTCCATACCCTTGCTCACACTGTCCCTTCTGCCTGGAATGTCTTTATTCTACACATCCCTCCCCACCGACCTTCTTGTGAATAACGTCTCTTCATTCCTTATAATTGAGCACAGGAGTTGAAGCTTTTGATCCCACACCTCATGCTGGATTAGGTATTCCCGGTATGTGCTTCCATAAAACCATGCATCCAACTTTAACCCTGCTCTTACCACACTGAATAGTTTTCTGCTTTAAGCCTCTGTCTCCCCTGTGTGCTGCACCAGACCTCAAAACTTCAGTCCAGGTTTCAGGGCCAGCAAAAGACATAGGATGTTCAGAATAAAGGTACAATTGAGTAAGCAGATGCAGCTCCGTGGTACCTTATTTATTACATGCAAGGTGCACCTGGAATGACACAGACCCTGCACCTCCCAGAGTTGAGAAGCCCTGCAAGCCATAGAGCTCAGAACCACAGGCTTAGTCTAGGTGAGTACTCAAGAGGTTGGGTGCCTCATACCAGGCAAGGCACATGCACCACCACTGTCCCCTCCGTCCTCAGTTTTGGGACCAGAGAGCAAGCCTCTCAGCTAACCTATCATTGGCCAACCACCTCCAGGGGACAACTGCAGGTCCAGTCCTCCTTAGCACAGGCTCATTTTGCAAAGGAGCTTCCCACACCTGCTTCCAGGGAAGAGGGACACACTCTCCTTAGCATCGGATCCTTCTGTTGCTTAGTTGGATGCAGCCTAGATTACATCACCAGGGCCACCTTTGTGCCTGTTGCACTAGCAATAGGCTCAGGCCTCTTTCCAAAGCCAGGGCTCAGTTTGTGACTAACATGCTAAGCACCCCTGCTGTCATGGAAGGCTTTGCATGAGTCTGGGAGCATGTCCTAGGCTCTAGTGCTAGTGGGCAATTCTCACCAGCACTGCATTAGCTGCTGGGTGCCTGCCTAGAAGTACTGCTAGTTCTTGGAGAGGGACGGTCATAACTGTGGGGGTCCCTACCTCGAACATACCCATGGAATGAGGTGGTGGTGAGAGGACCCCTGGGATTTCAGAGAATGGTTGTGACAATGTTCAGGCAGGGGCTGGGTCACTGTTACCACTAGCACCTGGGCTCAGGCTTCTGTCCCCCATGGGACATGAGCCATATTCTCCCCTTTCCAAACTTGCTCCAAATGTATCTGTGTTTTGGTTCTGTTGGGCGCTGTCCTAGTTAGTGCCAGTCTCAGAAAGGAACCTGGTTGTGGCAATAGGTGCACCTCAGATCTCTCCCAAAATATCCATGTGCATTGGGGCACAGAGCCCAGTTGTCACTGATGACCGTGGCACAGCAGGCCTTCACAGTGGCTGAGAGAGCTCACATGCTGTCCACTCTTCCCACTCTCCACCAGGGCACAAGTCATTGTGCCAACCTTCTGACTCCAAATCAACTGCAGCAGGCAATAAACAGCTGGTTCAGCATCATAGACAGGAAAGAATGACAACTAGGATTTAGATTGCTTTTATTGTTGTTTACCTTCAAACCAGTAACGAGGCTGTGCAACAGATATGGTTGTACATAACCATCAATTAAGTGGCTTCACCCCCACTGGCTTGCCAGGTGCTCACAGGAGTGCCCCAATTAGGAGTCTTGGGTGAGCACAAGACGTCACTAGGCATGAACTTCATGGGCGGTTCATGAACTTGCCTTTGAAACGTTAACCGGGCACTCCAGGCTCTACCTACAACCAGAGGAGGCAATTTTGAGTTGTGCTCATCAGACCTACAGAAAGGTTGGCCCTGGCCAGACACGCCTCTCTATCCTTTGAGTTTCTTGGAGGAAGGAGAACCATGTCTTGTGTATCTACATCTGCAGTGCCTGACACTGAAGCAAGCCTATAGGAGGCCCCAGGAAATATCTCTTGATCAATTGGATAGACTGACTGACTTTCAGCTCCACACGCTAGGGTGAGTGAACATTTCTCAGAGACGAAATGTTTGGTCGGATAGTCTGGAGGGGTTTCTTCTTTATTCTAACACTGCCAGTTCTCAGCAATGTAGGGATGGAAGTCTGAGCTTTCTCACAGCTCCAGCAGGGCTGCAGAGAACTGGGAAAGGAACATCTGTGTCCTGAACTGGGGCTACTGCCAGGGCAACAGAGCCAAATAGCAGGAGAGGGACAGCGACAGATGGGCGAGGGGGCTGCAGAAGCCTCATGTAGACTACATGAGAGATAATGAATGCACCAAACTTTGTCCTTCTTTTCACATAACACTGAAATATCAACCAACTAAGTGAGGCCATAAGTCTACGGTATTGGTATAAGATTCACAGAAAATAATAAAAATAAGGATAATGTGACTTTTTTCACCAAGTTAATTATATCCTTTTAAACAAATTACTTAATGTAGGGATATGTATTTTTTAATTTTATCTATTTGGGGGGTATTTTTTATGACATTATGGTGATAGTGGATTTTTCTTCCTTTTTAATGTCTTTAGTTAACAGAAGTTTGCAACTTTTAACCAATTTCTCAATTGTTTGTCTGTTTTAATTTTACTCATCTGCGATTTCTGAAAGTTTGGGAACCACTGACACAACCTTTTTTGTAGATGTTGTTTTAAAATCCCTGTCTTTGTCTTTTGTGTTGCTCTAACAGAATGGCTGAGACTTGATAATTTATGAAGAAATGAGATTTATTTAGCTCATGGTTCTGCAGGCTGGGAAGTTCAACAAGCATGGCATTGGCATCTGCTCGGCTTCTGCTGAGAGCTATTGTTGCTGGGTCAATACATGGCGGGAGGCCAAAGGGGAAGCAAATACATGTGAAGAGGTAACATCTGAGGGGTGCCCTGGCTTTATAACAACCTACTCTTGTAGGAGCATTCCCACAAGAGCTCATCCAGTCTCTTGAAAGTGTGAACTCACTCCCTATTGTGAGAAGGGCATCAAGCCATTCATGAGAAATACTCCCAAGACCCAAACACCTCCCACTGGACCCCACCACCCACCACCACCACAATGGGAGTCCAATTCAACATTAGTTTTGGTAGGGACAAACTGAAACCACAGCAATCCCTAACAATATTTGAAGTTCTTTTGTGAACTTCCGACAAGGTTTTCATCACCAGCTTCAAGGCCTAGTAAGTGCTGAGTATATTTTAACCATATTTCAAGCCCATAAGTTACCTCTGAGCTCATACATGTATGTCTAACTATCTTTCTGACATCCTCAGAGGCACCTCACAATTATAATGTTCCAAACTGAACTCATGACCCCCAGTGCCCCACCGCTTTCTCCCCCAGATTCCATGTATTTGTAAATGAAAATATTGTCACTTGGTTGCACAAGCTGGAAACCTTGGAGTCTTCATTGCTCTGCACATCCAACTCATTGCCAAAATAGATAATTTATATTTTATATAAAATTCTAATTCATATTCTTTATAATTTTAAAATCTAATACTCAATTTTTAGAAAAACACAACAATAATGGCCATATACCAGGGAAAAAAGGGGACATATGGGGACCTCCTCTTTTGGCTTTGGAGTCCCCCTCACTCTGTCTCTGTATGGGGGAGCTTTTTCCTTCTGTCTTCTCCCTTCCTTCTTGCCTATTATACTCTCCGTTCCTTAAAACAAAACAGAAAAAAAAGGGGGGGACATAACTTTTTAAAATCTTGGCTTTTGATAGGAATAATGATCTCCACTTTTTTGAGTGTGTGTGCTCTTAGGTTAGAAAATCCTGGGGTGTAAAATAAGAAAGCCAGCAAATAAACTTGTTTCAATATTTTTCTCACTACCTAGACTGGAAGAGGCAGAGTACTTCTCCTAAGTTCAAACATCAGGTTAGTGGGGGCCAGTGCTAGAAGCCAGATCTCTGGTTCCCAATCACACCTCTTTTTCAAGCTCCATATTGTATTTCAAATTTGTTATTTATGTAAGATGATTTGCGGTGGGATGAATGAGGTCATAAGAGATTTTAGAGCCCCCTTTCAATACTTGTTTTTCCTTAATAACATGCTTTCCAAAATTCAGCAACTGACATCAATTGACATTCTCTACTCATTCCAATATTTTAAGGTTGGAAATTGGTTTTGCTGTGTCATAACACTTTGAATTTGCTGTGCTGTGCTATCTGCCCTTACTTCACTGAGCTGGATAAAAACACTTCCTGTAGCCTACCAGAAAGCTGAAAGCAATGTCTATGCTTGATATCTCTGACATTCTATTCTTTCCTATAAACAAATGTGTTTTGAAGTTTATAACTAAAAAGCTTCTGGGTGCTGAGAAATTACCAGGAAAAAAATGTTGCAGAACATGTCATTGCTTTCTATACTAAAGACTTTGTTGCAAAAAACTGACAGAAGGAGAAGCAAACATACCTGTCTACCCAAAAGACTAATCAACTAATATGATGATTAATTTAACTGAATCAAATTTATCCAGTAACAAGCAGGGTGCGGTGACTCACGCCTGTAATCTGAGCACTTTGGTAGGCCGAGGCAGGCAGATCACTTGAGGTCAGGAGTTCAAGACCAACCTGGCCAGCATGGTGAAATCTCATCTCTATTAAAAATACAAAACTTAGCCCTGTGTGGTGGTGCATGCCCTTAGTCCCAGCTACTCAGGAGGCTAAGGCAGAAGAATCTTCTGAACCAAGGAGGCAGAGGTTGCAGCTAGCCAAGATCATGCCACTGTACTCCAGCCTGGGCGACAGAATGAGACTCTGTCTCAAAAAAAATAAATAAATAAATAAATAACTAATCCAGTAACAATGTATTGAGTAACCAGTATGTACTACATGCTGAGGAGAAAAAGGAATAAAAGCTGAAATGGGAGAAAAAGGAATGAATGCCAACCCTGCCACTCACTTGCTGGTTATAGACCTTGGGAAAGGCCCCGTCTTTTGGTCCTTAGCTTCCTCATAGTCATCGAACTATAATTTAAAAACTCAGGCTGAGCACAGTGGTTCATGCTTATGGTGCCAGCGCTTTGGGAGGCTGAGGCAAGAGGATCACTTGAGCCCAGGAGTTTGAGGATGCAGTAAGCCGTGATCATGCCACTTCACCCCAGCCTGGGTAACAGAGAGAGACCCTGTCTCAATAAAACAAAACAAAAAAACAAAAATCAATTCTGTCCTAAATAAGATTAAAAATAATCATCAGTAAACACTAACGAACAAAAACTCATTTGCTCCTTTATCCGAAATGACCATCACAAAGACATTGGCAGTGTCACGAGCTCAGGGAAGCCCCCCCTATGTATAGGAAACGAAGAAGGAATGAAGCCTGGCTTTGCCTGGTGGCTCTTGTAGGGCATGGGTTCAGGTGAACCCTGGAGCTCTCTGTGCTGATCTCAAAAGCTACTCTGAACAGTGATGAGTCTGCAGTGCCAGAGCAAAGGGGCTTTATGGGCAGCTCAGTTTCAGGTACACAGTAGTTTCTGGGATTTTAGAAACAAGACATCCGATACCAACCACCAGGCAAGAGGAAGCTTTTTTCTGCTTTCCTCCTCTCAAGCTGACCTGAGAGTGGGATGCATCTGTGACCTGTGAGTCAGAGAACCAGGCTCATTATTTCTGCTCTATAAAAAACCTCCAGAATTCTGATTATTTTCATTGTGCTTTTATACAGTTGACCATAAAATGCCTAAAGAGAACTAAACCCACGCTAATTCTCAGTACTAAGTGGATGTACTTGATGTCTAAAAAGGAGCATTTTTCTGTGCTCCAGGGTATAATGAGCAGTTCAACATCAAGGTGAAGGATCAGTGATTAAAGAATCCCGAAATATGTACATTTAATTAGCATTAACTGCAAACTCACCATATCCTACGTAGCACTGATATTAGACCACAAACCGCAAACAACAGAATAAATAAATCACGAGCAAAGCAACCTGACAACCAACGAACCAATCAACAAAACAGAAAACAAGAAAGGATCAAAACAAAGTTTTAGCAGATTATATTTAGAGCAAATGTACTGTGACTTAATAACATGGTTACAAAATGAAGCTATTTGAAAAATAAAATCGCTGCCTGTAAAAATATTTTTAATATTACAGTTAGGGCTGCCATGGTTACAAATTTAACTAATCTTACAGAAAGTAACATTAGAGTTGCCAAATGAAAGTCAATATGCTTTTGTAATTCTCCTGGGAATTACTTTCTGAGGCTTCTTAGTGTTACCAATGCTGAAGTCTTGCTTAATTGATAATTTCCTAGACAGACCTCAGAGTAACTGATAGATGAATGTGATTTTGTACAGTTGATTTGCTCATTTCTCATATTTTTAAAGAGGGCTCACTAGGCATGAAGCCCTCGGAACCAGAGTCTCAGGCCTGAATTCTGGATCTACTTCCACTAATTTTGATCTTGAGCTAGTCACATCACCTTTCTGAATGTAAATTCCTTCATTTTTTAAGTTATAGAATGATGTTAGAGCATCTTTACGTAACTTATATTCTCAGATTACCTGATTCCATGCCACACAGAGGTAATTCAATGATTCTCTATAATAGATTGGGCACTACAGAAACTCCATTAACTCTTTCTGGCCACAAGACAACCTTGTTGTAAACTGCAACTACCAAATACAGTTAATTGTGCATGTGAGATTCCCATATCAACACTCAATGATAGAAATTATTTTGTTGAAATGTAGAAACACAACTTATTTGTGAAAAGTAATAATAATAACCCTGGCTATAAAGCTTGTGGTCCTCTTCATTAACATTAAAAATGTAATACAGGGCCCAGCACAGTGGCTCATGCCTGTAATCCCAGCACTTTGGGAGGCCAAGGCGGGCAGATCACTTGAGGCCAGGAGTTCAAGACCAGCTTGGGCAACATGGCGAAACCCCATCTCTACCAAAAATACAAAAATTAGCCAAGCATGGTGGCGCTTGCCTGTAGTGCCAGCTACCTGGGAGGCTGAGGCATGAGAATCGCTTGAATCAGGGAGGTGGAGGTTGCAGTGAGCCGAGATCATGCCACTGCACTCCAGCCTGGACCACAGAGTGAGACCTTGTCTCAAAACAAACAAACAAACAAACAAAAAAAAAAACAGTAGCATTATAGAAATATCAGCAAGTTTTCTGTCTAATGAAGTAATAATGGCCTACATGATAGCTGTCAGCTCATTCCAAACTAATTTTTTATGACTCCTAGGTTAAAGATTAATTTTGCTATTCATTGTATGCTCAATGTCTACTCATTGTAAAGTAAAAACCCACCAAATTAGTTTACAAATAGATAATAAAGTCAATTAATATTCTGTCACCTGGTTACTTGTCAGGCTTATCAATAACATAGGTTTGAGAAATTATTTGCGATAGTATGAAAGTAAGTCTCTCTTTACCCTAACTTTTTAAATGTAATAATAAATATTACTCTTACAAATAATATAATATAATTTTATTTTACCTGACAGTGGCTAACTTCTCGTCAGAAAAATTTAGCAAAGGTTTGATAGGTGAGGCGTTTGGCTCCCACCTGTAATCCAAGTACTTTGGGAGGTCGAGGTGGGCGGACTTCTTGAGCCCAGGAGTTCAAGACCAGCCCGGGCAACTGGGCAAAACTCCATCTCTACAAAAAATAAACAAAACTTAGCTAGGTATGGTGGCACACACTTACATGGGAGGATTGCTTGAGCCCAGAAGGTCGAGGCTGCAGTGAGCCAAGATCGTGCCACTGCACTCCAGCCTGGGTGACAGAGTGACCCTGTCTCAAAAAAATCAAAGCAAAGTATTCTAATACCCTATCTAGGAATAATCCCAGAGAAAATCTGCCCATTGATAGGTTCGTGTTCTGTCCAGAAATGACAGGCATTAGCAAGTTGGATGTCATGTCACCCTCTAGACAAAAATCTCAACTTATTTTTAGACAAAAGGACAATAGCTGAGGTTTAGGCATATTTAATATATATTTATATTTCTTTTTTTTTTTTTTTTTTTTTGAGACGGAGTCTTGCTCTGTTGCCCAGGCTGGAGTGCAGTGGCGCGATCTCGGCTCACTGCAAGCTCCGCCTCCCAGGTTCACACCGTTCTCCTGCCTCAACCTCCCGAGTAGCTGGGGCTACAGGCACCCACCACCACGCCTGGCTAACTTTTTTGTATTTTTTTTTTTAGTAGAGACAGGGTTTCACCGTGTTAGGCAGGATGGTCTCCAACTCCTGACCTTGTGATCTGCCTGCCTCGGCCTCCCAAAGTGCTGGGATTACACGTGTGAGCCACCATGCCCAGCCATTTATATTTCTTTACCTTCGTGTATGTAATAACTTCTGTTGCAGGTTATAATAGAAGGTTATCACAGATTCCATTCTGTGACAGACTTTGTAGCTCTTAGTTAATCACATCCTTCAAATTTTATTTACACACATGATGCCTAAGAACAAAGGACAAAGAGCTAATCTATACCACCTGTATTTATGATAAATTATGAGGAAAAATGTTTATCTGATACTATGCACCAGACACCTCCTAATTCCTTGCTAATTGAACTCTTGCTATCTGAATATGTGTTACATGCTAAAAAGCCTATCAAAATGAAGCAGAAATCCTGCTATAATGAATCCAGGTGCGCATGTCAGTGGAAACATTGAAATTATGTGCAAGATACATGCAGGTACACACATACACATGCACAAACATATATCTGTATGACTGTATATACATACATCAATATCCTGGCTTGGTCTGCTGAGACAGCCTAGAATCAATGAGATCTCAGTAGCAATGAGCTTACACCTAGCACCCAGAAGGTGATTTCTTTTTTTTTTTTTTTTTTTTTTTTTTTTCCGAGACGGAGTTTCGCTCTTGTTGCCCAGGCTGGAGTGCAATGGCGCGATCTCAGCACCGCAACCTCCGCCTCCCGGGTTCAAGCGATTCTCCTGCCTCAGCCTCCCGAGTAGCTGGGATTACAGGCATGCGCCACCACGCCCGGCTAATTTTGTGTTTTTAGTAGAGATGGGGTTTCTCCATGTCAGTCAGGCTGGTCTCCAACTCCCGACCTCAGGTGATCAGCCCACCTAGGCCTCCCCAAGCGCTGGGATTACAGGCATGAGCCACCGCACCTGGCTCGGAAGGTGATTTCTTAAAAGCACTGCCTACCCTTTTTTTCTCAAACATCAGGATAAAGACCTGAAATGTATGATTCCATTTCCCCTTTGCTCCGCAGGTAGACAAAGAATAAATGGAGGCTAAGAAATGCAACGAGGATAACGAGCTCGTAAACAGCAGATGTTTGAATGCAGCTCTATCTGACTCCAAAGCTCAGCCTGTTCCACACTAGGCCATGATGACCTCTCATGAGTGGAGCTTCTGTCTTGCTTCAAATCAGCATGGATGAACTAATGTTGCTACATGTGTTCATTATTTGCTTCACAATCAGCGATTCCTCCCAATATTCATGGGCAATCGCATTATCCTAATGATTATAAAGAATGAGAGGAAGCTAGTATAGCAAAAGCTTGTATTTAGAAGTAATTTATATGAGATCTGGCATTTTATTCAGCTTCCAAGATCGCTGAAGCTATTGGATTAAATATGAATCACAAGAAAGAAATTATGAACTTGGGATAAAGCAGGCTCTTTTCAGAAATCCAACACAGTGAGTAGGATTCAAAATCTTCCTTACTTCTTTTTGAAGCAAGCCATAAGTCTCACTTAACCTTTCATGGATTTCACGTGAACAAGAAATAGACTTCTGTTAAGTAACCAGGATTTGGGGGTTATGTGTTGCAGCAGTTATCCCTCCATAATTAATAGAGAAATTTGTGCCTATAAGTGGAGTGCTGCTTTAACAAAAACCTAAAAGCTTGTCTTAGAGTTCAGGCAGTGGGAGGTGAGGACATTGCCATATGAGGATGGAGACCAACAAACTGGAGATCTGTGCTGTGCAGGGCAGAACATTTAATCACTGCCTGTGATAACCCAGAAGGCAGCCTGCTAGCCCGCTGAGGCAAAGAGGTTGGAAAATAAGAATGTTAGTGGTGAGCGTTGGTCATTACAGGCTGTGATTAGCATAACAGTAGAGGAAAGAGGTAAATTGGCCAATTTTAAAGCAGAAATAAGAGGGAATACAATTGTGGGTTCCACGTCAGAGGATTCAACCAATGATAGATCA
The DNA here is from genome assembly GCF_000001405.40 of Homo sapiens. NCBI lineage: Eukaryota > Metazoa > Chordata > Mammalia > Primates > Hominidae > Homo > Homo sapiens. Next base: position 6,096,465 of record NW_018654717.1, read on the forward strand.
GAAATATTCTTTAAAACCCTCCAAAATAAAAAATAACAGTGTAACAATAAAAAGGGATACAAATAAAAAATGATACAGTATAACAACTACTTACATGGCATTTACATTGTATTAGGTATTATAGGTAATATAGGGATGATATAGAGACTATTTAAAGTATAAAGGAGGATAGGCATAGGTTATATGAAAATACTATACCATTTTATATCAGGGACTTGAGCAACTGAGAATTTTAGTATCCTCGGGGGTCCTGGAACTAAATCCCCTCACAGATGGACGACTATAGTCTAGAAATGTAGAGCCTTGCAGAGTTGGAAAAGTTGACTATTTCTAGACCACAAACAGTAACAAGTAAAACTCGAAGGAAAGATTTTGAATGACAAAGGCTCAGTAATTCCAAGTCTCAACCAGCCTTTATATTAGTATTAACATAGAAAATATAGAGAGGTGAATTTCCAAGTAAAAAGTTGTTATTTAGGCATAATATATAAGAAGAAGGATTGAAATCCAGGACATAAATATGGATGGTGGTGGCTTCTAGTATGTCCAGAGAACAAAAGATAAGGTTAAGTTTTTCTTGGGGAAATAGGAGGTGTGTAAATTGTTTGGAAAGAAAGTTTATTGGCATTGGCAAAGTCTTACAAGGGCTGGCGAGTTTTGATTGGCAAATGTTGGAAGTTGCTGGTAGGACCCGTTATCTTATTTAGTTATGGCCTGATAGCCAAATAAATTAGGAATATGCCCTTGAAGTTTTGGATTGGGTTTGTGAGACAGTGTGCCAGGCAAATGTTCTTGTATATGTGCCTAGCTGTGCTCATGTGACTCATGTAGTAAGCTGTGGTTTAGAAAAATTTCCTGTGGCCAGGCCTGGTGGCTCACGCCTGTAATCCCAGCATTTTGGAAGGCCAAGGCGGGCGGATCACTTTAGGTCAGGAGTTCAAGACTAGCTTGGCCAACATGGTGAAAACTCACCTCTACTAAAAATACAAAAATTAGCAGGGTGTGATGGTGCACGCCTGTAATCCCAGCTACTCAGGAGGCTGAGGCACACGAATCGCTTGAACCCAGGAGGCAGAGGCTGCAGTAAGCTGAGATTGTGCCACTGCTTTCCAGCCTGGATAACAGAGCCAGACTCTGTCTTAAAAAAAAAAAAAAAAAAAAAAAAAAAGGTCAGGCGTAGTGGCTCACACCTGTAATCCCAGCACTTTGGGAGGCTGAGGCAGGTGGATCACGAGGTCAGGAGATCAAGACCATCCTGGCTAACATGGTGAAACCCCGTCTCTACTAAAAAATACGAAAAATTAGCCGGGCGTGGTGGCAGCCGCCTGTAGTCCCAGCTACTTGGGAGGCTGAGGCAGGATAATGGCGTGAACCCGGGAGGCGGAGCTTGCAATGAGCCGAGATCGTGCCACTGCACTCCAGCCTGGGAGACAGAGCGAGACTCTGTCCCCAAAAAAAAAAAAAAAAACCTCCAGCCTGGGGCACAGAGTGAGACTCCATCTTAAAAAAAAAAAAAAAAAAAGAAAAAAGAAAAAACAAACAAACAAAAACAACAGAAAAACTTCCTGTGATAGTTTCTGTTATCAGGCAAATCATGCATGAGAGTCCTCTCTTGATGGCCTTCTGTAGCTCCAGTTTGAATCTTACAACTTCTGCATTAGAAAAAATAAACTTTTCTTTTGCTAGGCTACCAAGGTTCTCAAGTTTTCTTCTATCAGTAGTTAATGGACCCTTAACTGGTACACATTTATCATATTTAATCTATGGAGCACCCATGCTTCTCAACCAGGAGATGTGTGTCTATAGATATGTTTGAGCGATTCATAGGTAAGCTCTATAAGAATTGTATCTTAGCTGAATACAATCATTTGAATTTTAGTAGTGTTCTTGCTGTTGTGAGTCTTTGTATTAGTAACACTCAGTGGTTAATACTGGAATTGTTTTGATCCCTGATTTTAATATCCAAAATCTTCTGTTCTCTCAATTGCTAAACCTGCTTGCTTTCTCACCAATGACTAAAAAAGTTTAGCTGCTTAGCAATTTAGTATATTCTGTTTTGGTTTAGAAAAAGAAAGAAAAGACATTTCGGTTGACAAAAATCAGAATCTGCTTATAACCATTTTTTTAAGTACAAATTATTTTTTAATGGAGTATAGCATCCTTGTATTTGAAAGTAGAATCTTAATGATTAAAAACAGGTAATAGGACAAGTTCTTTCACCTATTCACAGCTATTCCCAGTTCATTCCATCCAATCCCTGACACAGAGTAGGTGCTTTATAAATAGCAGTTGATGGATAAAGAATTACTGAGAATGTGATAATAAATGTAAGGAAATCTGAAAGCTAGATTTTCTAAAATATGCCCTCCTCTGCTTTTTCTTTTCTGAGCTAGAACTTATTTAATCCCAAAAATCATGTGAAACACCTTGTTCCCTTAGGCATCCAATTTTTTTTTTTTATTATTATACTTTAAGTTCTGGGGTACATGTGTAGAACATGCGGGTTTGTTACATAGATATACATGTGCCATGGTGGTTTGCTGCACCTATCAAGCTGTCATCCAGGTTTTAAGCCCCGCATGCATTAGGTATTTGTCCTAATGCTCTCCCTCCCCTTGCTCCCAACCCCCGACAGGCCCCAGTGTGTGATGTTCCCCTCCCTGTGTCCATGTGTTCTCATTGTTCAACTCCCACCTATGAGCGAGAACATGCGGTGTTTGGTTTTCTTTTCCATGTTAGTTTGCTGAGAATGATTGCTTCCAGCTTCATTCATGTCCCTGCAAAAGACATGAATTCATTATTTTTTATGTCTGCATAGCATTCCATGGTGTATATGTGCCACATTTTCTTTTTCCAGTCTATCATTGATGAGCATTTGGGTTGGTTCCAAGTGTTTGCTAATGTAAATAGTGCTGCAATAAACATACATGAGCATGTGTCTTTATAGTAGAATGATTTATAATCCTTTGGGTATATACCCAGTAATGAGATTGCTGGTCAAATGGTATTTCTGGTTCTAGATCTTTGAGGAACTGCCACACTATCTTCCACAATGGTTGAACGAATTTACACTCCCACCAATAGTGTAAAAGTGTCCCTATTTCTCCACAGGCTCACCAGCATCTATTGTTTCCTGACTTTTTAATAATTGCCATTCTAACTGGCATAAGATGTGGCTTTGATTTGCATTTCTCTAATGACCAGTGATGAGTGTTTGTTTGTTTGTTTGCTGACTGCATAAATGTTTCCTTTTGAGAAGTGTCTGCTCATATCCTTCACCCACTTTTTGATGGGGTTGGTTTTTTCTTGTAAATTTGTTTAAGTTCCTTGGAGATTCTGGATATTAGACCTTTGTCAGATAGGTAGCTTGCAAAAACTTTCCCCCATTCTGTAGGTTGCCTGTTCACTCTGATGATAGTTTCTTTTGCTGTGCAGAAGCTCTTTAGTTTGATTAGATCCCATTTGTCAATTTTGGCTTTTGTTGCGATTGCTTTTGGTGTTTTAGTCTGAAGTCTTTGCCCATGCCTATTCCTGAATGGTATTGCCTAGGTTTTCTTCTAGGGTTTTTATGTTTTTGGGTTTTACATGTAAGTCTTTAATCCACCTTGAGTTAATTTTTGTATAAGTTGTAAGGAAGGGGTCCAGGTTCTGTTTTCTGGATATGGCTAGCCAGTTTTCCCAGCACCATTTATTAAATAGGGAATCCTTTCCCCATTGCTTCTTTTTGTCAGGTTTGTCAAAAATCAGATAGTTGTAGATAAGTGGTGTTATTTCTGAGGTCTCTGTTCTGTTCCATTGGTCTATATGTCTGTTTTGGTACCAGTACCATGCTGTTTTTGTTACTATACCCTTGTAGTATAGTTTGAGGTCAGGTAGTGTGATACCTCCAGCTTTGTTCTTTGTGCTTAGGATTGTCTTGGCTATATGCACTATTTTTTAGTTCCATATGAAATTTACATTTTTCTAATTCTGCAAAGAAAGTCATTGGTAGCTTAATAGAAATAGCACTGAATCTATAAATTGCTTTGGGCAGTTTGGCCATTTCCATGATATTGATTCTTCTTATCCATGAGCATGGAATGTTTTTACATTTGTTTGTGTCCTCTCTTATTTCCTTGAGCAGTGGTTTGAAGTTCACTTTGAAGAGGTCCTTCATGTCCCTTGTAAATTGTATTCCTAGGTATTTTATTCTCTTTGTAGTAATTGTGAATGGGAGTTCACTCATGATTTGGCTATCTGCTTGTCTACTGTTGGTGTATAGGAACGCTTGTGGATTTTGCACATTGATTGTGTATCCTGAGAATTTGCTGAAGTTGCTTATCAGTTTAAGGCGTTTTTGGGCTGAGACCATGGGGTTTTGCAAATACACAGTTATGTCATCTGCAAACAGAGACAATTTGACTTCCTCTCTTCCTATTTGAATAGCCCTTATTTCTTTCTCTTGCCTGATTGCCCTGGCCAGAACTTCCAGTACTATGTTGAATAGGAGTGGTGAGAGAGGGCATCCTTGTCTTGTGCCAGTTTTCAAAGGGAATGCTTCCAGCTTTTGCCTATTCAGTATGACATTGGCTATGGGTTTGTCATAAATAGCTCTTATTATTTTGAGATATGTTCCATCAATACCTAGTTTATTGAGAGTTTTTAAGCATGAGGGGATGTTGAATTTTATTGAAGGCTTTTCTGCATCTATTGAGAAAATCATATGGTTTTTGTCAAACACTTGTAAACTATTAGGTTGGTGCAAAAGTAATTGTGGTTTTTCCTGTTACTTTAAATTACTTTTAATGGCAAAAGCCACAATTACTTTTGCACCAACCTAATAGATTGGGTAGGCCAGAGGCAAATATGTTAGAAAATAAAATGATAAGAGAACTACAGAATTGAAAAACCATAATTTTTCATTGTAAATTTCATGATTTTGTGGCTCTGGCGTTGTTGATGAGTAAATATTTTAAAGTAAAACATTTCTATAACAGTCGTTTTGTTCTTCAAATAAATAATAAAAAAGGATCTTCACCTTTCTAACTATGGTGGTTTCTAAATAGTATGAGATGGCCAAAGTAGGAGGATTGCTTGAGGCCAGGAGTTTGAGACCAGCCTGGGTGGCAGAGCAAGACCCCGTCTCTACAAAAAAAATATTTTTCTTCTTTTTGAGACATGGTTTCACTCTGTCACCCAGGCTGGAATGCAGTGGTGTGATCATGACTCATTGTAGCCTTGACCTCCTGGGCTCAAGCAGTCCTCCCACCTCAGCCTCCCCATAGCTGGGACTATAGGCATATGTCACCACACCTGGCTAATTTTTGTATTTTTTTAGAGACAAAGTCTTGCCATGTTGCCCAGTCTGGTCTCTCACTCCTGGGCTCAAATTATTCACCCCTCCTTGGCCTCTCAAAGTGCTGAGTGTGGTGGCATGTGTCTCTAGTCCCAGCTATTGGAGTGGCTGAAGCAGGAGGATCACTTGATTCTTCTGCAGTGAGCTATGATCACACTACTTCACTCCAGCCTGGGCGACAGAGCAAGATCCTGTCTCTAAATAAATACATAAGCAAATAAATAGTATGAAATGAAGAAAAAAGTTGACAAATATATGGTGAATATGATCAATATGAATAGTCAAACTGTCCAAAAAATCAATTATGAAGTCTAGGTTGTTCCAGAGTATTTTTTAGATATAGACTATGTCTTCACGTTAATAGGTACATAACTAATTCAGACGCATGAATACAAAAAAATAATAATTTCTGAAATAAAAACTGGTCTTCCTTAGGACAACTGCATTATCAGAATAGTATCAGTTTTTCAGAAGAGCAGGTGGAGGCCAAGGCAGGTGGATCACTTGAGGTCAGGAGTTCAAGACCAGCCTGGACAACATGGCAAAACCCCGTCTCTACTAAAAATACAAAAATTAGCTCAGCATGTTGGCACACACCTGTAATCCCAGCTACTCTGGAGGCTGAAGCAGGAGAATCACTTTAACCTAGGAGGTGGAGGTTGCAGTGAATGGAGATTGTGCCACTGCATTCCAGCCTGGGCGACAGAGCGAGACTCCGTCTCAAAAATAAATAAATAAATAAATAAATAAATAAATAAATAAATAAATAAATATAAATATAAATAAAAAAATTTCAGAAGAGCAAATTCTTACTAAAAACAAGTTGTAAGTAATTTTTTTTTGTTACATTTAGCTTTCAAGATGAGTTTCTTTAACAGTTGTGCAGAACTGACGTATTCTGTCTGGTCTCAATTTTTTAATGTTGAAGCAGGAGGGCAACCATGGGCCTTAGTGATCCTTGCAGGATCTGAGCACTCCCGCACCAGCCTGCGGTTTTGTATTGCTCTGAGCCACCTCATCTCTCCCCTGGAGAATGTCAGCCGCTCGTCAGTTGGTCACCTGGATTCTGTCCTTGCCTTCTATATACTGCAGTCTCCAGAGTGATCCTTTCTGAAAGGAAAGTCAAAAACTTAAAAATAGAACTACTGGCCAAGTCCAGTGGCTCATGCCTAGAATTCCAGCACTTTAGGAGGCCAAGGCAGGAGGACTGCTTGAGGCCAGGAGTTCAAGTCCAGACTGGACAACATAGCGAGACCCCATCTCTAAAAGAAGAATTAACCAGGCATGGCAGCATGTGCCTGTAATCCCAGGAGGCTGAGGCAGGAGGATTACTTAGGCCCAGGAGTTTGAGGCTGCAGTGAGCTGTGATTTTGTCACCACACTCCATATTGAGCAACATAACAAGACCCTGTCTCAAAAAAAAAAAAAAAAAAAAAAAAAGACTACCATATGACCTAGTAATCCTGCTTCCGGGTGATATATCCAAACGAAATAAAATCAACACCTCAAAGAGATCTGTGCTCCCATGTTTACTACAGCATGGGTCAAGATAATGGGAACAACCTAAGGGTCTGTTGATGGATGAATGAAGAAAGAAAATGTAAAAGATCTATGTATGTACCACACATATGTATATACCATACATGTGTATATACCATATTATACAGTATATATATTCTGTACAATGGAATATTATTCAGCCTTAAAAATGGAGAGCTTGCCATTTGCAACAACATAGATGAAGCTGGAAGACATTATGCTGAGACAAGCCAGACACAGAAAGAAAAACACTGCATGAGCTCACTTACATGTGGAATTTTTAAAAGATGAATACATGGAAGAGGAGAGTAGAATGGTGGTTTCCAGGGTCTGGGGAATGGGGGAAATGGGGAGGTGTTGGTCAGAGGGTAGAAATTGCATTTACGTAAGATGAATACATCTAGACAGTTGATGAACAGTGTAATGGCCACAGTTAATAATTCTGAACTGCATACTGGAAATTTGCAAAGAGAATGGATTTCAAACTCTCTCACTACATGCACACAAATGATAGCTATGTGAGGAGATGCTTATGTTAATTTGCTTGACTATAGTAATCATTTCAATATGTATATGTGTATCAAAACCTGTTGTACATCTTAAGTATATATAATGTTTTAAAGTCAGATCACATCATTCGTCTGCTCAAACCCCTTGAAGGTCTCCGAATTTCCCTTGGAGAAAGCCAAAGACACTCCGGGATATGGACTGCACTTCATTGCCGCTCAGATCTTTTCTCCTCTGCCTTCAGTGCTTGCTTTTCCTTTCACTGGGATTACTCCCCCAGGTACCCGCGAGGCTGGCATTTGCCTTCAAATCTTAGCTCCAGTATCGGCTCTGCTGCTTCTGCTGGCTACTGCATTTAAATGCAGCCTAAGCCAGGTGTGGTGGTGCAGGCCTGGAGTCCCAGCTATTTGGGAGGCTGAGAAGGGAGGAGAGCTTGAGCCCAGGAGTTCAAGTCCAGCTTGCGCAACATAGCAAGACTCCATCTCTAGTAAATAAATAAATAAATAAATAAATAAATAAATAAATAAAATGCAATTAGCCCTCACTTCCCACCGCTTCCCCCTTCCGATCTCTTCCAGTCTGCTCTTCTTCTTCCAAAGCGTCTATCACCTTTGGACATCCTATATAACTTATTTATTATTGTTTATTGTGTCTGCCACCCACCACCCTCTACAACATACAGGCCATGAGAGCTGTGATTATTTGTTTTGTTCACTAATGTTCCCCAAGTTTCTAAAAGTGCCTGGCCCGATTGGGCACAGTGGCTCACGCCTATAATCCCAACACTTTGGGAGGCCAAGGGGAGCAGATGGCTTGAGCCCAGGAGTTTGAGATCAGCCTGAACAACATGGTGAAACCCTGTCTCTACTACAAAAAAAAGACATAAAAATTAGCTGGACCCAGTGGCACATGCCTGTAGTCCCAGGAACTCAAGAGGCTGAAGTGGAGAATCAATTCAACCCAAGGGATTGAGGGGATGGCGGCCCCAACTCCTGTAGGAGCAGATTGCTGTCCCCTGCCTTGCCAGGGTCAGGGTCTGGGCTGGGAGCCTGACTTGGGTGGGGAGGGCCAGGGCCTTGGGCAGGACAGGGCAGGGTGGCTTGTCACCCGTGTGAAGATGAAGGAGCCCTTATCTGCCTGCACTCTCATCCAGTTTTTTAGGATTAAAGAGTTTGGGACTCTTGTGGAGGAGTGGGTAGCAGGTGGGGGTGGGCTGCTGCAGTGAATCTCTGCCTCTCCAAGGCTGTTCCCCTCCTCCAGGGCCTCCTGGGGGGATCTTTGTACTTTGAGTCAATTAAAAATATGAACTAAAAAGAAAATTTGGGAAGTGATTTCAGAATTAGGAAATTTCTGTTTCCCTGTGCTTTGAATTTTGAGGGGTTTCGTGCAAAGCTGAGACAGAAAGTCTGCTAGTAATGGTTGCTGTCTGGATATGAAATGCAATTTGTACATGAAAATGCAATTTTATTCAGCTGTGGAAGAAATGCATTACTGAGCTATGATCACGACACTGCACTTCAACCTGGGTGACAGAGCAAGACCCTGTCTCAAAAATTAAAAATAAAAATAAAAAATATTGCCTAGCCCATTGGAGGTACTCAAAATTGTTTGATGAAGGGATGAATAATTAACAAGCAATTTCACTTTTAAAATTAAAATAACGATTTATACAATAAGTGCTTTTCTATGGGAAAGCACCTTTTCCATAGAAGACACTGTTTTTTTTTTCTTTTTCTTTCCTTTTTTTATAATAGGAATATGTTTATTATTGCAAATATTTTTCTCCGTGTCCTCAGTTTTTAAATATACATTATTGGTCATTTCCAAACTCAAGGTCAGCAGATACTGATTTTCCATATACTTGGGTTAATGCAAATATGTGAACTTCGTGTAAGTCACGTTGATAATTTCACCTTTGATTTGATTTCACTCTATCTTCAATTTCTTCACTCTATGATGGCTACTAAGTGTTTATAATAAAATGTTCCTTAAGACTTGAAAAGTTGTTTCTGCCATGCTGGTAAAAGAGCCATTTTGAAAATAAATATTCTCACAATGTTAAAGAACTGTATTATAAATAATGTTATTGTTATTCTTTTTGTTTTGTTTTATTAACCTTTGTTTCCCAGGTTTCCCTCTAGTAATTGGTTCTCGTGAAATTTGATGGATTTTAGGACTAAAGTTTACTAAAGTATGAATAATATTCTAGCATTGGTTTCACAGAAAGATTTGGTGTTCATTTGCATTTATTCTCCAGAAGCTAGGTTTTATGTCACGTTCACGCATATTGTTACTTAGCTAAGAAACAAAAACCATGCAACTTAATTTCTTCTGCAAAACAGCATTATTTGGAAATGCAAGGAAGTTGTATTCGGTACGGCTTGACAACATGTTCCACTTTTGCAGGAGGTTTTTGTGTTTTGCAATCAGTGCTAAGAAAAAGAGTAAGGTCCAAAGCAGGTCTGTTATCGTTTTCAACTACCTGTAAAGATTTCTCAAACTGAGGTCTCACAACAGTGAGAAATGTGTAGATAATTAGAAAATATTTATCTTCAATTTATTTTTTCCAATGGGTTTTCCTTCCTGGTTGTGATTGTTACTGACTTTTTTCCAAAAAAAAAGATATGTTTACTGGGCTTACACTGATTCAAGGGGAAGTGATTCCAGAATTAGGAAACTTCCATTTCTCTGGGCTTTGAATTTCGAGGGGTTCATGCCAAATTGAGACAGAAAGACTGCTAGTAATGGTTGCTGTCTGGATATGAAATGCAATCTGTACCAGCTTACCAGTCAGAGTGCTTACTGTGTGTTTAGGACACTTCCAGCTGTCTTCTTTACTAAACTTTATGTTCTAGGTTGCATTTACCATAGATTAGCTTCTATGTTCATTTTAATCTAACTCACATAAAATGGCTAGATTCGGAAGAGGAGGTTTTCTATTTTCTCTAAGCATAGATGTGTCCTGGGTAGATAAAAGAGCCTTGCATTAAGAACCAAAAGAACCTAGCAGGTCCTGTTCATAGCAGCACTATTCACAATGGCCAAAATGTGGAGACAGCAGAAATGTTCATCGGCAGACAAGAGATAAACAAATTGTAGTATACACAGAAAATGCAATATTATTCATCTATGGAAAAAATGCAGTACTGATATATGCTACAATGTGAATGAACATCCAAAACATTATACTAAGTGAAAGAAGCTAGACACAAAATACCACGTACTGTGTGATTTCATTTATATGGAAGGTCCAAAATAGATAAATCCATACAGAGACAACACAGATGGGTGGTTGCCAGGGGAAAGGGGGAGAAACTGCTTAGTAGGCAAGAGTTTGACTTTGGAGAGACAAAAATGTTTTTTTTTTTTTTTTTTTTTTTGAGACGGAGTCTCGCTCTGTCGCCCAGGCTGGAGTGCAGTGGCGGGATCTCGGCTCACTGCAAGCTCCGCCTCCCCGGTTCACGCCATTCTCGACAAAAATGTTTTGAAACTAGACATAGGTGGCGCTTCACAACATTTTGAATGTACTAAATATCAATGAATTGCTCACTAAAAATGATTAATTTTGTTATGTGAATTTTACCTTAATAAATTATTTTTAAATGATACACGTGAAAGAGAAATGGACATTTAAAAATTATTCAATGTATTTAATCAATATCAATGCAAAGGCCAACAATCAGATGCAAATTCTACTTAAAATTTGTTCATATGTTCCAAAATGCCTTTTTCCATCAGCCAGAAGAATTGTGCCAAGAGGAAATGAATTATTTCATTTCAACTGAGCTCTCTTAACACCAGACACTTAAAAAAAAAGGACGTCAACTTATTGGGTTAAGTGGCCAAAGGAGAAAAAGAAGGAAGGTTGGAGAATGAGACACTTATGCATTCTCCACATATTTTCCTGCTCCCTTCCTGAAGCATGTTATGCTCATGGTCTCAGCAATGTTTCTTCATGGGAATACATGTGCTGAAAATGATTGGGATATCAGGGATCCTTCTTGGATGATAGCATGACTATAACAAGACTCCATTTTAAGTTGCTTGGTCAACAGAGAAATGCATAGCAGCTGGATCATTTGAACTCACATGAAGCAAATAAACTACATTCTGCTATTGTGGTTAATTTTATGTGTCTACTTGGTTAGAATATGGTGCCCAGTTGTTTGGTCAAACATTAGCCTAGATGTCGCTGTAAAAGTATTTTTTAGACGTGATTAACAATTATCATTAGCTGACTTTAAGTAAAGCAGATTACCCTATACAATGTGAGTGGGTCTCATCCAATTAGTTGAAAGCCTTAAGAACAAAGACTGAGGTTTCTAAGAAAGAAACAGGGAGTTCTCCCTCTAGTCTGCAACATAGAAATTCTGCTCAAATTTCCAGCCTTTGGATTCAAGACTACAATATTGACACTTGCCTCAAATTCTAGGCTGCTAGGCTGACCTACAGATTTTAGACTCACCAGCTCCTCAATCATATGAGCAGGTTGTTTAAAACAAAACTCACAATAGATAGATAGATAGATAGATAGATAGATAGATAGATAGATAGATAGATAGACAGATAGATATCCTATTGGATTCTCTTTCTCTGGAGAGCCCTGGCTGATAACAACAGATTCAAGGCAGGGGAGCACTCAAATTAGAACTTAGCCTTAGGAAGGTTGTTGACTTCTCCCAAGAAAGAATTCAAGGGCAAGCTGGTGGTGACAGAAAGCATCTATTATTGAACCAATGCTGTTCTTCGTAAAGCAGAGTTAACCCATAGGCAGTGCGCGCAGAGTCAGCACCAGTGGGCTGTAGCTTGCTGTATTTATACCTACTTTTGATTACATGCGAATTAAGGGGGGATACTCAGAAATCTCTAGAAAAGGGGTGATAACTTCTGAGTCATTGTCATGGCATTTGTATACTGTCATGTTGCTAGTGGGAGTGTAGCTCATTATGCTAATGAGCAGGGAGGACAACTAGAGGTCACTTTTGTAGCCATCTGCCTTTTTCATTGCACCATGTTTCAACCACAACCTGTTCTGGTCAGCAGGGTCACTGCTGGAAAACAAATCCTGCCGGTCTCCTGCCTCACAACCACTTAAGCATCCTCCACCCACAACCCACCACCTTAAACGGATCTCGGGCACTATTCCTGACTATTAAAAGAGGGCTGCTACCACCTGGTTAATATCCCCCCTAAGTCCACTATATCAGAAACTAAGGGATTAGCCCTCACAGGTTTATTTGCCATTAGACTCACTCCGAGAAACCAGGGCTTAATTTTACTGTTCCCTGATTCATACTCTGTAATGAGACAAGGTTTAACAATTCCAAGAATCACAGACCGCTGGTGTCATCAGGTCTCAAAGATAGAACAAAATTATGGCATGCTGTAAACCAAACTATAGTCAATAGCAAAACAGATTCAATGTAATGTTAATTCCTCAAAGAAAATAAATTACAATAGTCAGAAGGAAGAAACCGATAGCTGTTGTCTTTTCATTATCTTCCAAGATGGGAAAATAACAAACAGAATTTTTGAAATATCCTGTACACAGCCTGGATCAAATGAATTTGGAAATAGCCAGTTTTATTTCATCTTATTCCAGGAAGACGGAATCTATATAACACAGGCATGTCAGGCAAAAGCAAGCATCTGCACTTACGTGTGCTGTGCAGTAACACATGCAGCTTCCTCAAGGCAAATAAACTTCATTTTTCTCTCGGCCTCTTATAAATAATAAATAAAGAGAAAAAATATGGTTCTTGGCCAGGCATAGCAGCTCACACCTGTAATCCCAACACTTTGGGAGGCCGAGGCAGGTGGATCACCAGAGGCCAGGAGTTCAATACCAGCCTGGCCAACATGTGAAACCCCATCTCGACTAAAAATACAAAAATTAGGCTGGTGTGATGGCACGCACCTGTAGTCTCAGCTACTCGGGAGTCTGAGGCAGGAGAATCACTTGAACCCAGGAGATGGAGGTTACAGTGAGCTGAGATCACACCACTGCACTCCAGCCTGGGCAACAGAGTGAGACTCCTTCTAAAAAAAATTAAAAAAGAAAAGAAAAATATGGTTCTCATAGGTCTTATAAGCTATAATTAAGGAGAAAAGTTTTTTTGTTTTTTTTGTTTTGTTTGTTTTTGTTTTATTTATTTTTTTGCCTGAGATGCTCAGTGTTATTAGTAGTTGGGAAAACGTAAATTAGAAAAATTATAAATGATCATGCATCAGATTTGTAAACATTAAAACATTATAACAACCAGTGATAACCAGGATATGGTAAAACTAATAAAATTGACACTTTCAGAGCCAGGCATGGTGGCTCCTGCCTATAATCCCAGCACTTTGGGAGGCCAAGGTGGGTAGATCACTTGAAACCAGGAGTTCAACACCAGCCTGAACAATACAGTGAGACCCTGTCTCTAAAAAAAAATTTATTTAATTAGCTGGGCATGATGGCACGTGCCTTTAGTCCCAGCTACTTCAGAGGCCGAAGCAGGAGGATCCTTTGAGCCCATAAGTTGGAGCCTGCAGTGAGCCATGATTGTACCACTGCATTCCAGTTTGGGTGACAGAGCTAGATCCCCTTCTAAAAAATATAAAAAATTTAAAAATTGGCACTTCCACACATTGCTGATCTCAGGTTCAATTGCTAAAACATTCTGGAGAAGAAATCTGTCACGATCTCCTCTATCAATCAACATTTACAATGCATTCTTGATGCAACAATCCCACTGGAAAAGGGAGGCATGAGAATATGAGGATTTATGACCACAGGTATTTATGGAAGCTTATGTGTAATTATTTTTTAAAAGAAACAAACCTGAAAATAGCCTATATGTCTGCAAAGAGACAATGGTTGGATAAATTAGGATATCCACCCTATAAACTATAAGCATCGATTAAAAGTAAAGTTATATCTCCTTGCATCAGTGTTAAGGGCTGTTCATGAAACCAACTCAAGTGAAAAGTAAGAAGCAGAGAGATGTACAGGGTGTGAACTCATTTTTATTTTAAAAACCTATATTTGGGTATAACATGTTTGTGCACCTGTGTTTGCACAGAGCATATGCACAAGAATACACATTCAAGTGCCAACTTAACTTCAGATGAGATGGAATTGCACATGGGCGTTGGGGAGGGTGTGGATAAGATTGTTCATGCTTCATTTTTAGGCTTCTGTATTGTTTGATTTTGTGTTGCTTCTATGCTTTTTTATTTTCAGTATATTAGGATGTGTTGACATCTTAAAAACCTTTCTGGCTGGGGAGACACTGCCCTTCCCAGAGCTAGTCAGTTCTTAGAGACAGCAAAGGTCAGCCAGGAAGAGCACGCCCATATTATTCAAACTAACCAATCCAGAGCCACCACCCTCCTCCATCCAACCCCTCCAGCTCAGGAGGTGGCACTCCTCTGCCTTAATCATCCCAGGAGAAGTACCAGGAAATTAGGACCACCCCTATAACCTATAGCCTAGAGCTGCTGAAATTTTTCCAATTAGCCAGTCGTAAATTGTTTCCCCTCCCTGCCTTGACTTTCCCGCAGAAGTCTAATAAGGCTGTAGCCTCCACGTTCGCCCTGCTCCTGTGTTCTACCTCCTGACCACCCTGAGGCTTCCCCACATGACCCTTCATGACCTGCCATACCTCCTATCTCTTGAGCCTGTGAGTATAATATGTAGTCTTTTGCCAGACACAGTGGCTCACTCCTGTAATCCCAGCCCTTTGCGTCTGGGGTATTTCTGAGATTCCATGATGAAAATCAAACCTATAGGTGTGTCAAAGGAAAGCACGACTCAACATTGAGGAGACAGCTCTGTGGCCCTTCTCTGGGACAGGCAGCACTTCACCATCACACTCCGAATCCCAGGGTAGGACTGCGAAAGGCAAGAATTTGACTTTATCATCCTCATCCTTCATCCTTCCTCCCTCCTGTTCTTTCCATCCTCTCTCTGTCCTCCCTCCCTTGTTTCTAGCATTCCTGTTTAGCTTTCTGTTTCAGGTACCAGTCCAGATGGGTGGAAATCTCCTGTGATGTGTAACTCACAGGCAGTGATACATACATTCTCATCATAGCTTTCAAAAATCATAGGCCAATCTCAGTGGCTCACACTGTAATCCCAGCACTTTAGAAGGCTGAGGCAGGTGGATCATTTGAGGTCAGGAGTTTAAGACCAGCCTGGCCAAAATGGTAAAACCCTCTCTCTGCAAAAATACAAAAATTAGTCAAGCGTGGTGGCGACTGTCTGTAATCCCAGCTAATTGGGAGGCTCAGGCACGAGAATCACTTCAACCCAGGAGGTGGAGGTTGCAGTGAGCCAAGACCATGTCACTGCACTACAGCCCGGTTGACAGAGCAAGACTCCATCTAAGAAAGAAGAAGAAAAGAAAGAAAGAATGAAAGAAAGAAAGAGAGACAGAGAGAGAGAGACAGAGAGAGAGAGAGAAAGAAAGAAAGAAAGAAAGAAAGAAAGAAAGAAAGAAAGAAAGAAAGAAAGAAAGGAAGGAAGAATCAAAAACCTTTAACTTTTTTTACCAAAGTAATAAATACGGACATTTCAGGTACCAGATCAAGGAAGGCCAGAGAGAGAAGGAACCAAGGACGAAGTGCATTCCCCATCTCTTTAATCGCAGTGTAGAAAAAGCCGTCTCTGGTGCAAGGCTCTCAAAGGACGAGAGCCAGACAAGGGTTCAGGTCTGAAACTACTATAAGCTGTTCACAAAAGATGGCGAAATGATCAGACTGTGTATGTGAAGAGAGAAACAGAATAAACTGATTCATGAAGGCTTCTCTCAAAGGTGCCCCTACCACCTAACTGTGCCCCTCTCCATTAAGTACTTGATGTATAACACTATTTCATCAGAAGAAGCATGAGATGCTGGTGGAGACGTTTAATTTTAGCCTCTCATTCTTTCCTTTAAGTATGATTCAGCCAATTTGTTTCAGGCTTTTGGCTTCATTTGAGGAAGCAGATGTTTAACCTCCTGTTCCTTGAGCTAGTAATCTCTATAATTAAGAGTTTTGAAAGAATACTGGAAGGGGTACAACCTAGTTCTTGGATAAATTTATATCTGTGCGTGGGAAATCTATTTCCTTCCGATGCTTTAATTGTAATCTGGAGCGTCTACAGCATTTGTTTAGCATTTAAATTTTAACAACAAAGCTTCACTTGAAAAAAAAATTGCAGAGATTCTTGAATGACTTCTTTCCAAGTAATCTTCTATTTTTACTTTTTTTATTTGCAACCAGTGAATTCTTTTGGACAATTTTGAAGTATAAGTGTACATTTACTTCAATGTATAAGTCAGGCTAAGCTCAAAGTGGCTTGGCTCTGCTATATGAATGACAAAACCCTGAAATTTCAGCAGCTTTACTTCTTTAAGAGACAGGGTCTCACTCTGTCACCCAGGCTGGAGTGCAGTGGTGCAACCATAGCTCACTGCAGCCTAGAATTCTTGGACTCAAGTGATCCTCTTGTCTCAGCCTCCCAAGTAGCTGAGACTATAGACACATGCCACCATGCCAGGCTGATTTTAAATTTTTTTTTTTTTTTTTTTTTTTGTAGAGAAGGGATCTCCCTGTGTTGCCAGGCTTATCTCAAAGTCCTGGCCTCAAGTGAATCCTCCCATCTTAGCCTCCCAAAGCACTGGGATTATAGGTGTGAGCCACCACCCCCTGCCAAATTTTGGTGGTGTTAAATCAGTAATAGCTTTGCACAAAGTCATTTAGATCAGTTGGCTCTCATTTATTTTATTTTTATTTCATTTTATTTTATTTTATTTATTTTTTTGAGTCAGAGTCTCGCTCTGTCACCCAGGCTGGAGTGCAGTGGCATGATCTTGGCTCACTGCAACCTCCACCTCCTGGGCTCAAGCGATTCTTCTGCCTCAGCCTCCCAAGTAGCTGAGATTACAGGCATGTGCCACCACACCCAGCTAATTTTTGTATTTTTGGTAGACACAGGGTTTCACTATGTTGGCCAGGCTGGTCTCGAACTCCTGACTTCAGGAATCTGCCTGCCTTGGACTCCCAAAGTGCTGGGATTACAGGCGTGAGCCACCATGCTCTCTGGAACACAGGGCCTCCAAGGCCACTGTGGCAGGGGAAGAGAGGATAGAAGGAGTGTATGGGATCTCTTATAGACCAAGACTTAAAGCAACTTTCGTTACTTCTCCCCAGATTCTAATGGGCAGACTTATAGCCAGCTTAACTGCAAAGGCAGCCGGGCATGTAGAAAAGTCAAGCGAGGTGTGGTCAGCATCATCAGCTTCTACGTTAGATAGAAGCATTTAAAATAAGTCTTCAAAATCGAAAAACAAGGGAGGAAGAGGATTATTTTAATAGTGCACCCTTTCTGTTTGCTTGACATGGCTTTGACACTGAATATCAGAAAGGCACTGATTCTTACACAGAACATGTGAAACACTCTCAGGTGGCTAAGTGTAGAACAGGCAGTGGGGATGGGCTGAGCCTGAAATACAGTCAAGAGTTATGCATGGCCCCTGTGAAGCGAGAGACAAAAAGAAAACAGGCAGCAAAGTTGGGGTGTGAAAGAGAGAACAATGCTCAAGGGGGACGCACTTCTGAAAGGGACAAGAGTAGTTAGATTTTCAGTTTCAGAAACTCTTTTTCAGGCTGGGTGTGGTGGCTCATGCCTGTAATCCCAGCAGTTTGGGAGGCCTACGCAGGTGGATCAACTGAGGTCAGGAGTTCAAGACCAGCCTGGCTGACATGGAAAAACCTCATCTTACTAAAAATGCAAAAATGAGCTGGGTGCAGTAATGGGTGCCTGTAATCCCAGCTACTCAGGAGGCTGAGGCAAAAGGATCGCTTGAACCCTGAACCCAGAAGGCGGAGGTTGCAGTGAGCCGAGATGGCACCATGGCACTCCAGCCTGGGCAACAGAGCAAAACTCTGTCTCAAAAAAAAAAAAAAAAAAAAAAAAGAAACTTTTTCACACGTTGATCTTTCCCTCATTCTTATTCCCTAAGATTGCCTCAATATTCCTCACTCTCCATTTCTCTACTTTACCCACTTCTCCTAGTTGGTCACCACTGGAAAAGAAAAAAAAAAACCTTGAAAATTTAATTCAAGGGGAAAAAAAGAGGTAGATGATTAAAGACAAGTTAATGTTACCTCAATTGTTATAAGAGAAAAAGGAATATATCCAGGGACAGATAATTAAGCCTCATGTCCGTGTCCGTCATGAAGGATGCCGAGATGAGTGCAATAGAGTCTCTTCCCCGAAGGAGCTCACAGTTGGGTAGGAGGAGGTGAACTGTAACTATTATACAACACGACATGAACATAAGGGCTCTATATGCAAAGCATAAGGGAAGCTTTAAAAGCACGGCAAACATTATCCGCCTGGGAGTGTGGGGTACTTATCACAAAAGTGATATTTGAATGTGTCTCAAAAAATGAGATGGGTAAAGTCAGAGAAGTTTCAACTGATACAACTTGGTCTAGAAGGGCGAGCCCAGTTGGATGTGGGAAAATGAGAGGGGCCAAAGCTAGAAATGTAGGCTGGGACTAGACTAGAGTGTGCAGGTCCCCAAAAGCCAAATTAAGATATTTGAATATTATTGGGCAAATGATAGAAAGACATCACAGGTATTAAATTAAGGGAAGGAGAATGATTCTATAGGAAGTTTCCCAAAATGGTGTTTGTAGGACAGTGTCCCTTCCCAGTGCTCTGGTCAGTATGGTTTAGGAAACATGTCATTATGGATTGCCTTCTCGGAAACTCATAAGAACATTAATGAGCATCGATATACGTTTGAGAATTTTTGAAATAAAGAAATGTGTTAAGCTTAACTCAGTATGTACAAAATGTAGTTATTAGTCTTTTATTTGTGTGTAACAAATGACCACGTGTTTAGCGGCTTAAAATAAAGCCTGTGGCTGGGCACGGTGGCTCATGCCTGTAATCCCAGCACTTTGGGAGGTTTAGGCTGGAGGATCACTTGACCCCTGGATTTTGAGACTACCCTGGGCAACATGGTGAAACCTCATCTCTACAAAAAATACAAAAGAGATTTAGCCAAGTGTGGCGGTGCATGCCTGTAGTCCCACCTACTCAGGAGGCTGAGGCTGGAGGATCACTTGACCCCTGGATATTGAGACTAGCCTGGGCAACATGGTGAAACCCCATCTCTACAAAAAATACAAAAAAGATTTAGCCAGGTGTGGTGGTGCATGCCTGTAGTCCCAGCTACTCAGGAGGCTGAGGCTGGAGGATCAATTGAGCCCAGGAGGTCGAGGCTGCAGTGAGCTGTGATTGTACCAATGCACTCCAGCCTGGGTGACAGAGCAAGACTCTGTCAAAAAAAAAAGCTCTCTTAGTAGCTCACAGTTCTGCAGATCAGAAGTCTGCCACAGCATCATGGGTTTCTCAGCTCAGATTCTCACGAAGTTAAAATCAAGGTGTGGGCCAAGGGGAGTTCCTGTTCCGAGGCTCTGGGGGAAAATTCACCACCAAGCCCATTCTCTTTTTTTAATTGTATAAATTTAAGGGGTACAAGTGCAGCTTTGTTACATGATATGTTGCACAGTGGTGAAGTCTGCGATTTTAGTGTAGCCATCATCTGAATAATGTACATTGTACCTACTAGGTAATTTCTCATCCCTCACCCCATCCCACCCTTCCAAGTCTCCAGTCTCTATTCCACACCGGATATCCTTGTGTATACACTGTTTAGCTTCTAAGTGAGAACATTCGGTATTTGACTATCTGTTTTTGAGTTGTTTCACTTAAGATAATATGTATATATGTATATATATATATACTCACACACACACTGTATATATATGTACGTGTGTGTATATATATATATATACCACACTATATATATACTTACATTTTCTTTCTTTTATTTTAGATGACATCACCTTATTATCACTGCTCCCTCTCTCCTCCCTCTAGTAGTCCACAATGTCTATTATTCCAATGCTTATGTCCTTGTGTGCTCAATGTTTAGTTCTCACTTATAAGTAAGAATACATATATATCACTCTTTCCTTTCTTTCTTTCTTTCTTTCTCTCTCTCTCTCTTTCTTTCTTTTTCCTTTTTTTTTTTTTTCTGCAGTTTCACTCTTGTTGCCCAGGCTGGAGTGCAATGGCACTATCTCAGCTCACCACAACCTCTGCCTCCCGGGTTCAAGCGATTCTCCTGCCTCAGCCTCCCAAGTAGCTGGGATTACAGGCATGTGCCACCACGCCTGGCTAATTTTGTATTTTTAGTAGAGACGGAGTTTCTCCATGTTGGTCAGGCTGGTCTCCAACCCCCTCCCTCAGGTGATCTGCCTGCCTCAGCCTCCCAAAGTGCTGGGATTACAGGCGTAAGCCACAGAGCCCGGCTGTATTGTATTTTCTTTATCTATTCACGCCTTGATGGACACTTAGGCAGATGCCAAATCTTTTCTATTGTGAATAGTGCCGGAAATCAGTTATTTGATATTGTAGAACTGAAATCTCGATCTACTTGCTGGCTGTCAGCTGGGGGTTGATTTCACCTCTTAGAGGCCCCTTTCGCAGTATGGAGGTTTACGTTCTGGGCTGACCAGAACATATGTCTCTGTCCTTCCTTCTCTGACCAATGAGGAAAACTTTGCTTGCAAAGCATTCATGTGATTTGGTCAGGTCCACCAGGATAATCTTTCAATCTTAAAGCCAATGGATTTGAGACTTAAATCACATCTGCAAAATCCCTTCACAGCAGTAAGTAGATTAGTATTTGATTGAGAAACCAGGGTTCAGGAATCTTGGAGATCCTTCTTAAAAGTCTGCCTATCTTTTTTTTTTTTTTAATGGAAAAACTTTTAGCATATTTCAAAATTTTTAGAGGTTTTAGAGGTGCCCAGTTTAGCAAAAACTGAGTTGATGTTGTAGAAAGAACATTCTGGAGAGGGCAATGGAGGGTGGAGCCATGGGAACATGGAAATCAATTTAAAATCTACTGTGGCTATCAAAATGAGATAAAATTAGCATCTAAATTACAATTTCTTGGAGATAGAATTGATACAACTTGATGAGCAAATAGGTAAAGTCGGCAATTGAAACAGGTTTTTAGCCTAAAAAATTGGGTCAAAAAAATTTGGTGATACCATAGCAGAAATAAGATCTAGAAGTGGGATTGGCAAAGGGAAGATAATTAGTTTTTCATGTGTTGAGCTTGAGGTCTTGTGTTAGGCCATTCTTACAATGCTATAAAGAAATACCTGAGACCAGGTAATTTATGAGAAAAGAAGTTTAATTTGCTCATGGTTCTGCAGGTTGTAGAGGAAGCATAATGCTGGCATCTGCTTCTGGGGAGGCCTCAGGAAGCTTTTACTCACGGTGGAAGGTGAAGTACGAACAGGCACTTCCCACAGAGAAAGCAGAAAAGACTATATCTGGCCAGGTGCAGTGGGTTACGTCTGTAATTCCAGCACTTTGGGAGGCCAAGGCAGACAGATCACTTGAGGCCAGGAGTTTGAGACCAGCCTGAGCAACATGGTAAAACCGCATCTCTACAATAAATATAAAAATTAGCCAGGACTGATGGTGCACACCTGTAGTCCCAGCTACTGTAGAGGCTGAGGTGGGAGTATCACTTGAACCTGGGAGTTTGAGGCTGCAGTGAGCCATGTACTCCACTGAACTCCAGCTTGGGTGAGAGAGCAAGACCCTGACTCAAAACAAAAACAAAAACAAAAAACAAAAATCCAGATCTCATGAAATCCCTCTCACAAGGGCAGCACCAAGAGGATGGTGCTAAACCATTCAGGAGAAGTCTGCCCCAATGATCTAATCACCTCCCACCAGGCCCCACCACCAACACTGGGGATTTATAATTCAATGTGAGATCAGAGGGAAAACACATTCAAACTCTACCAAGTCTGTAGTACAGATAGGAAGAGAAAAGTTTGAACCTCTGAGGAAATATAGCGGCTGAGGATATATTTCTGGAAATCACAATGGATAAGATTTCCTCAATTTAATGAATAACAGAATGGAATAGGACGAGGATGGAGTGAAAAACAAATTCATTAATATCCAAGCAATGTCAAGTTAAGTCCATATAATCATTTACTTATTAGGGCAGGAGAAGGGTACAGACAAATTTATCTTAATATTAACAAAATATTTCATAGAATATTCCATGATATCCTTACATATAGATGAAAGTGACACAAGGGCTATATTAGTCCACTTTCACACTGCTGATAAAGACATACCCAAGACTGGGCAATTTACCAAAAATAGAGGTTTATTGGACTTAAAGTTTCACATGGCTGGGGAGGCCTCACAATCATGGTGGAAGGCAAAGAGAAGCAAGTCACATCTTTCACAGATGGCAGCAGGCAAAGAGAGAGAGCTCATGCAGGGGAACTCCTCTTTATGAAATGATCAGATCTCGTGAGACTTATTCACTATTACAAAAACAGGGTGGGAAAGACTTTCCCCCATGATTCATTTATCTTCCACCTGGTCCCTCCCACAACTCATGGGAATTATGGGAGCTACAAGATGAGATTTGGGTGGGGATACAGTGCCAAACCATGTCAGGGCTTTGAGAACTACATAAACAACTCTATTCAACAGTGATGATTAATTCTGCATTATCAAAGGAATCAGTGGAAAACAGCCCTGGCCTTGGTGTTGCAGAGTATCTAGGCTTTTCCACCAAAAGGCAGTTCATGTAAGAGATTAAACAAAATACACACACAAGGATTTCTTAATAAATGGATAACTAGTTGTGTGACACTGAACCAGTCAACCCACTTTCTAGGTCTTTGTGTCTCAGCAATATGTATGTTGCATTCAGTGTTCTGAAAAATCCTTTCATTCCAAAAAATTCTAAAGGTTATAAATGACAGGGGGTGGAGTGCCCTCTTGCAAAGCATCACACAGTTCACATCTTTGTTCTGCCTTGTTTAACATTTTTATCTATGATTTAGATAAGTACATCTGTAGCAATTTCATAGTTGAAACAAATCTGAGAGACACAGCTAAGTGACAGATGGCAAAAATCAATATTAAATTGCTGACGGGAATCTGGAAACAAAAACACAAATAGCCAATACTTTGACTAACTAAAGACGGTTGCTAGAACTTAGAATATATTTTTCAATAAATATAACATGAAAGATTATAATATGGGCTGAGTGTGGTGGCTCATGCTTATAATCCCAGTGCTTTGGGAGGGCAAGGAAGTTGAATTTCATGAGGCCAGGAGTATGAGACCAGCCTAGGCAACACAGCCAAACCTCCTATCTACAAAAAATAAAAACAAAATTAAATTTAAAAGATTGTAATATGGTTTTCAGACCAAGCCCCAAAGTCCTATTTGGTCAATTTCGGAGTTGTGGGTTACCCTAGCTCATGTCTGGTGGGACTCCCATTAGGTTGCAGGTGGGAACCTCAACTCCTTTCCTGAGTTGTCAGTTTCCACCTGCCACTGCTCTCTGACTTACTGTTTTCATGCTCCCAAATCACTTCCTATCTCATTTCTCTATGTATCTTGCCCTCAGAGCAAAATTTTCTTCTACAGTGATCTTGACTAGATGCTTTTCTCAAATAATTTATTATTTTTCAAATTTTCAAAATGATCATGCTCATACAATAGAGTTATGCCTTTCATGTTGTGGGTGGAGGGTGGGTTCTAAAGCCAGTGTGTAAAGGTGAAATATCCTATAGTCAAAACTACCATTGAGAACTCTGTAGGAAGCCACCATATTGAAGAGTGACCTATGGTAATTGTGTAATTCCAGCATAGCTGTTCCTCCATGTTGGAACAGGTCATTGTTTCTTCAGCTAAGCACCAGATGAAGTGGTTGGCTTGCATTCAGAGGTCACATTGTACCCCAAAAAGTACACATCTTAAAACCCTAAACTCACACTGAGCACAGCCAGAAGCTCATTCTGTGGGCCACTTAGTTTTCAATTCCCACTTTGTCCTCAGCTTTGAGTAGACAATCATTGAGTAGATCATGACTGGAATGGTTTGAAATCAACATGCGTTTACCCATCTATCTGTCTATTTCAAATGCACCCCTGATGGGATGGCATTGTACCACCAGGAGGTTAGAGAAAGATGGTAGACTGAGCAACCTATCCCTCTAACATAGTTTGGATGTTTCGTCCCCTCCAAATCTCGTGTTGAAATGTGACCGCCAATGTTGGAGGTGGGCCTAGTGGGAAGTGTTTGGGTCATGGGAGCGGACTGCTCAGGAATGGCTTGGTGTGCTCCCCATGGTGGTAATGAGCGAGTTCTTGCTCTATCAGTCACTGCAAGATCTGATTGTTAAAAAGGGCTTGGTAACTCCTCCTCTCTCTCTCTCTCTCTCTCTCTCTCTCTCTCACTCCCCCTCTCACCATGTGATATACCTGCTCTGCATTCACCTTCAACCATGAGTAAAAGCTTCCTGAGGCCTCACAAGAAGCCGAGCAGATGCTGGTGCCGTGCTTTTACAGCCGACAGAATGGTGAGCATCTTTTCTTTATCAATTACCCAGCCTCAAGTACTTCTTTATAGCAATGCAAAATGGACTCATACACCCACTGCATCTAATTCCCTAGAAATAACATTAAGTACGTATTTTTAATATGCCAGTAAATAAGACTGTATGGTCTCAATTGAACAGAAGTTATGGAAAATGCCTAAAAGAGATGAAATGTTTGACTGGCGGATCATAGCCTAAAACATAAGTAACAGAGCACGGGAGTGGGAGTTGGGTTGCAATGCACCTTGAGCTTAGAGGTGGTGATTGGAGAGCAGGAGAGAGAGGGAGGCAACCATAAACATAACAGTTGGGGCACAGCAAAAAGAGCATCTAGGCCAGGTGGCCACTTCCTGTCTCCCCAATTGCACCAACCAATACACTACAGAATCATCAGTCCTCATGTCCAGGAGTCCAGCTACTGGCTTTGAGACCCAGCAGCACAACCCATACTTTCTTAGCAAATTCTGCAGATAAGCTAGGGTTAAAAAAAATACTAAATTCACTAACCAGGCTAAAAAATAATCAATCATCATCAAATATTTAAGGAAAATGTATACAATGAAATATATACAGAACAACATTTTTTTGACCTGAAAAGTGGCAATTTAAAAATTGAAAACATCTTACATTGATGATGTGGAATAAGAACTTTCTTACAGTATTGGTAGGAGTAATGTTATTATAGTCATTTTTTGCTGGTCATTGAGCAGGATTTTAAAAATGTTTAAAGGCACATACCCCTTTAACACAGCAATTCCACTTCTTAACAAGAGTGAACTTTTAAAACTATTTTAAACTAGTTCTTTTGTTTTCATTAAAGTGATACCTGTATGTGACAGAAGGAAAAGGAAATCAAGCCATTTAGAAGCTTCTAAAAGGGAAAGTTTAGAATCTCCTCATCTTGTTCCATTCCCCCGAAGGCAGCACTTTCTCCAGTTTCTATTTGACAGTGTTTTTGGTAGTAAATTGTACAACTTAATATATCCATTTATTGATTTTTTGAATGAAAAATTTAGTATCTACATGAACGATGAGAAACATACAGTTAGACTACCTTCCACTACCTCTCCCTGCCTCGAATGCCCCATCGCATTGAGAAATTAAAGTGATTAGAATAAGTTCCACGGATATAGCAGCGATTACAGACTCCCAAAGCTATCTGCATTTCAAATGTTTCCATGCAAACTAATTTCCAACCGATAGAAAGAGAAAGAGGAGACAAGTCAAGTAGAATTTTTGAACAGGTGGATGTGCAATGGAGAGGCTCTCCCACTCCAGGCCACCTCCCATCCCTGTCAGAGGGCAGCCCTTCCCTTCTTCCTCCAAACCCCATCATCCACCTCAAACACAAGGCCGTCCTTTCTGAAATGTTCCCGCTAGCCTGGATGGTATGGTTATTTATGCAATATTTCTAATTTTTCAGCTGGGAACTCTCTTTATGTCAGCCTATCCATTTGCAGAATGTATGAGGAGAGGGCAGGAAAGATTCTCCCTCTTCCATGATCTCTTTAGTAGTTACCACCAATGAACACCTAAAGGTGCTAACCTGCTTCCACTGCATCTATTTTACTGAAATCAAAGTCTGAAAACACCACTGATATTTCAGCCTTCCTCAGGGGTGGGACCTGCCTAGCACTAAAATCTCCCTGTCAGAGAAGGGTGACTCAAGCCCAGCACTCGTCACTGTAATTAGATTTAAAAATGAGTGATTGCATTAGAGAGAGTACAAATCTTTTCAATTACCTTGATTTAATCTCTTCTATTAACTTAATAGAAATCTTGGTCAGAGGAATCCACCAGGAATACTATGTCATTTGCTCATTAAAAAATTGCATCACAATAACAAGAAGGCTATGATCCGACGAATGCATACGGCTCCCAAGCACGGCATAGTAATAGTTTTATTTGTTTCTTTCTACAGATTTAAAAAGGAAGGAAGGAAGGAGGGAGGGAGGGAGGGAGGGAGGAAGGAAGGAAGGAAGGAAGGAAGGAAGGAAGGAAGGAAGGAAGGAAAGGAAGGAAAGGAAGGGAAGGAAGGGGAAGAGAAACCCAGCTCAGTTAAGAGGATTTCTTAGCCATCATTACTATCAATCCATACAATTAAAGTTACGCCTGGCCTAATCCGACTTTTTAATGACAGTGGATTGCAATATAATATCCTAGATGTCTGTGTCTCTTCACAATTCTGATTCTATGGCTCCTACATTGCTATATCCTGGTGGGCCTGTTTGTGAATGCGGAGTTTGATTTATGGGCTGTAGAACATGTTGACTGGGTTGAGAATTTCCTTACTGAGAAAATACAATCAGACCATGGCCCTTGGTCCAAACTTCTGGACCCTGGACTCAGAGGAGCATGTTATATTTGGTACAGTGATGATTAGGAGGTGGGATAGATAGCCCTAAACACAGGGCCATATTTATAATCTAGTGAAGCATTCTCTGAGGCCACTTTGCTTTCCTATGAGAAGACAGATTTGGGGGGAGGAGTAATCAGGGTATTCTTCCACAAACAGCTTCAGTCGGCTTCCTGGGATGTTGAAACCTAAATGCAAGAATCGTATTCCAAAGTTGCACACAACTTCAGTGGACTACAAATTTTGGATCTCATATTTAATTTCTTCTTTATGCTTAAATATTTGTTGAATTCTTTCTGCCACAGGTAAGGCACGTGCATTATGGCGGCTAGGAAATTGAATAAGGCAGAAGGTCTATCTCGAAAGGGAGTGTGGAAGGCCTGGCACGGTGGCTCATGCCTGTAATCCCAGCATTTTGGGAGGCTGAGGCAGGTGGATCACTTGAGGTCAGGAGTTCGAGACCAGCCTGGCCAACATAGTGAAAACCCGTCTCTACTAGAAATACAAAAATTAGCTGGGTATGGTGGTGTGTGCCTGTAATCCCAGCTACTTGGGAGGCTGAGGCGGGAGAATCGCTTGAACCTGGCAGGCAGAAGTTGCAGTGAGCCAAGATGGCGCCACTGCACTCCAGCCTGGGTGAAACAGGGAGATTCTAAAAACAAACAAACAAACAAACAAACAAACAAAAAAAAAAACAAAGTGAGTGTGGAGACAGATCTGAACTAAAGGAAGGGAGCAATATTTGGGATAATTTGGTGGCTGGCAGACATATGCAGAGTGATGGGTGAATATGATTTAGCAAGGCAAAATTTCCAAATTGGAACTGTAATAGGTAGGTGCAGCTTTAAAATGAAATCTTAGCATTTGATTCTGAAACGAGTGTTTTCCCAGATCTGGGGGCTGAATAGCAGATCCAGTAGTGAGGTTAATTTAAAAATCCATTCCAGTGTCTGAGTTACATGTACCTAGTCCTGCTAAGTACTGCCAATCATTTGAATCAATAGCTAACTTCCATCTCTGTCAGCAAGTAAGTACTTCAAATGTCATAAACTAAGAGCTGGATGATGAGGACTTCAAAAAAGGCTCTGACCGTCTGGCTGCACCCCTCCAATAAACAGCTTCCATTTCAAGATCCTCACAGACAGATGAGATAAAGGCAATTTAATATGTCCTTGCTGGAAATCATTTGACACAAGCATCTCTCTGAAATTCCTGGAACCATAGACCAATAGACTTAAATATTTTACTGCTGTCAGGTTGGAAGGCTCTTGGAACATTGAGTTTAAGCAAGAAAATTAAGTTTAAGCTTTTTAATCTCTTAGTTATTCTGGGGGAACTGGCTGATAAGGACAGTGAGATAGGCATGAAAATACAACAAAGGAGACTTTTAGATCTTTTTGATTGTGCTTTGATACATCAGCATAGTCCCCTGTGTTTGGCTCCCAAGACAACCAATTTAAATAATCACAACTCACTTGCTGGTCCTTGTCAACCAGCATGCACTGAACCCTAATATGTGCCTGTCCATGTGCCGACAGGGCAGGGAACACCAGCAGGAGCCAAACTTTGCTTCCTTGGGAATGATTTCCAATTGTGAATTAGCTGTTTTCCATGATATTAAAACAAAAGAAAGATAAAATCAGAAATCGTAATAAATGAGAACTGAAGGTCAGGAAGAGCAAGAACCGATTTCTGGCCAGGTGCAGTGGATCACGCCTGTAATCCCAGCACTTTGGGAGGCCAAGGAGGGAGGATCACTTGAGGCTAGGAGTTCAAGCACAACCTGGATAACATAGTGAGACCCCATCTCTACAAAAAAATAAAAAAATTAACCAGGTGTAGTGGCACGTACCTGTAGTCCCAGCTACTGGGGAGGTTAAGGTGGGAGTTCAAAGTTGCAGTGAGCTAGGATCACACCACTGCACTCCAGCTTGAGTGACAGAGTAAGACCCTGTCTATATATTTTTTAAAGGCCTGATTTTTATTAATCACATACTATGTGTTAGGCACTAAGCCAGGCAGATCACATTTGATATCTCACTGAATCCTTCAAATATCCATAAAGGTAAATAGTCTTACTAACTTGTTGAATGATATAAGAAAAATGTCTTTGTCCTTTAAAGACCCTCAAATGTTACCTAGGGAGCATAAATTCTGGTCACCTGAGGGTCTGTTTGCTGATCTTGAGATGGGGTGGAACATATTACATATTAGAGATGCTAGAGCTGAACTGCCCTGCTTAAGAAAGGCTGAGGGAAATAGAAAGGATTAGAAGAGTAGAGGCAAATCTGCAGGGGAAGAAGAGGCTGTGTGAGGAATCATGCAGGGAGGAACAACAGGCTGGCCACTGAGAAGAGACATTAGGAGGGGAAGTAAATGTTTACGGAATTTTTAAAATAATACCGGGCATGGTAGTTCATGCCTGTAATCCCAGTACTTTGGGAGGCCAAGGTGGACAGATGACTTGAGGTCAGGTGTTCGAGACCAGCCTGGCCAACATGGCAAAACCCCATCTCTACTGAAAATACAAAAATTAGCTGGGCCTGGTGGCGTGCACCTGTAGTCCCAGCTACTCAGAAAGCTGAGGTGGGAGAACTGACCTTCCTAAATCTCCTGTGAGTGCTTCTGATTGGTGGAACCTACATCCGTCCCATCCAGAACCCCAGCTACACAGGAATCCAGGGCATGTGGTTTTCCCTTTCTGGTCTCTGCAGGACTGCGGAGCACTCTAGAAAGAGGCTGGAAAGGATCCTGAGCGCCAGGCCTCAGGACTCATTCATTGCCCTCCCCTACTTAACCACACAACAGCCAGAGTCACCCTGTTACACACAGTCCTCGCTGGTCACCGCCCTGTTCACGGCCCTCCTCAAACAGCGTGCCATCTTGCTGAGAAAAAGATCTCAAGTCCTTAGCAGACTTGATTGACAGCAGGCTCTGCTTCTACTCTCTTTGCTCTTTTTCAGTGGCCACCGTAGCCTTCTTTCATTTCCTGAAACCTGCTAGAACACGCCTGCTTCTAGAACACTTGCTGTTCACTCTGCCTAGAAAGGTTTCTGCCCCAGTGGTCATGTTGCTTGCTGTCCTACTTAGGTTGGGGGGTCAGGCCGGCGGGAAGCTCGGGCATGGCGGGCTGCAGGTCCCGAGCCCTGCCCCGCAGGGAGGCGGCTGAGGCCGGGCGAGAACTCGAGAGCGGCGCGGGCGGGCCGGCAGTGCTGGGGGACCCGGCGCACCCTCCGCAGCTGCTGGCCCGGGTGCTAAGCCCCTCACTGCCCGGGGCCGGCAGTGCCGGCCGGCCGCTCCGAGTGCGGGACCTGCCGAGCCCGCGCCTACCCGGAACTCGCGCTGGCCCTCGAGCGCCGCGCGCAGCCCCAGTTCCCGCCCGCGCCTCTCCCTCCACACCTCCCCGCAAGCAGGAGCCGGCTCCGGCCTGGGCCAGCCCAAAGTGGGGCCCACACAGCGCAGTGGCGGGCTGAAGGGCTCCTCAAGCGCGGCCAGAGTGGACACCGAGGCCGAGGAGGCGCCGAGAGCGAGTGAGGGCTGCTAGCACGTTGTCACCTCTCAACCTCATCAAAATGTAAGGGTTGCAACTTCGTGTAGTCATACCCAGGACTAAGAACAGGGTTCAGTCCATGGGAGGGGCTCGATATGTATTTTTCAGGAAAAAACATCAAATAAAGTAAAATAGTCAAATCAAAATTCAAGCTTTTCAGCGAAACTTAACATTTTAGATAACTTGAATTTACCTTAGCGAGCTTGTCCGCTTTCCACTGCTTGAAGACCTTTTCTGAATAAATGGATTATTCAGTCCATCATGATAAGCCCCCGGGTGTGAACTATGAAATGGAGAAATCAGTAATGAAGTAAATGTAATTCAGGTCCACCCTTCCTTATTCTCAATTCTGACCTTCAAAAAGCTCTATCAACTTAAAGTTTAAACAAAATTTTTTTTTTCGGGTAATGTATTCTCTTTTTTTTCATGGAATACTGTTTTTACTTGAAAGAACAAATAACAGAAAACTCTTCGCTATTGGGCAGACATTTTCTTTAAAAAAAGGGAAAGAAGTGGTCGGGCGCGGTGGCTCACACCTGTAATCCCAGTCCTTTGGGAGACCGAGGCGGGTGGATCACGAGGTTAGGAGATGGAGATCATCGTGGCTAACACGGTGAAACCCCGTCTCTACTAAAAATACCAAAAAAAAATAGCCGCGCGTGATGGCGGGCGCCTTGTAGTCCCAGCTACTCGGGAGGCTGAGGCAGGAGAATGCCGCGAAATCGGGAGGCGGAGCTTGCGCTGAGCCAAGATCGCTCCACTGCACTCCAGCCTGGGCGACAGAGCGAGAGTACGTCTCAATAAACAAACAAAAAAAAAAGGGAATGAAGCGGGCCTGTTGCTTCAAAGAAAACAACTGACCGTGTTTATTGCTAATGAGAAGATTTAAACTTTTGTCAGGTGGGGGGGGTCACATCTGTAATCCCAGCTACTCCGGAAGCTGAGGCAGGAGCATCACTTGAGGCCAGGAGTTCAAGACCACCCTGAGTAAAGTAGTGAGATCCCATCTCTAATAATAAAATAATAATAATAATAATAATAATTTAAGCTTTTAAATGAAACTTAAAATTTTGGGTAACTTGGATTTATCATAATGAGCTTGTCAGCTTTTCAATGATTGAAGACTTTTCTAATCAGATCAGTGGTAATATTAATGAATGTGCTATCTTGATTTCGTATAATAAGATGTGTTAATATCTGGAAGATCACCATAACTCAGTGAACCAATGTTTGCCAGATGATCAGTGAATCATGTTACAAAATGCATGAATAAAAGATCTAATTAAAAGAACAAGACAGATCAATGGCTTTTAAAGTATCCAAGTAAAAAAATTTCATTGACAAATTTTCAGATTCAACATTTTAGCTAACCTCTATGAAAATACTACTTATCAAGTTGTGGTGCAGTAGCAAAGAAAAATATCCACACTTATCTGAAATGGCTATTAAAACACTCTTTCCTTTTCCAATTCCATACCTGTGTAAGGCTGATTTTTTCATATACTTCAATCAAAACAACATATCACAGCAGATTGATTGCTGAACCAATATGGGAATCCGGGTCTCTTCTACCAAGCTAAACATTGAAGAGATTTGCAAAAATGTAAAATAATTGCAAAAATGTAAAATAATCTTCTCACTAATACTTTTGTTTTGGGAAATATAGTTATTTTCCTAATAAACATACAATACATTTTATCGTTATATTTAGGAGTTAATAAATATTTCTAAATTTTATCAGTTTTAATTTCTGACATGATAAATATTAACTGATATATCCCACATAAGCAAGAGCTCTCTAACGTCTTTATTAATTTTCAAGAATATAAAGGGGTCTTGACACCAAAAGGTTTGAAAACCACAGTTTTAAAGCATCTTACCAAATTAAACTCTACATTTAATGTAAAGGAAATCATAATGT
This sequence comes from Homo sapiens, assembly GCF_000001405.40. Taxonomy (NCBI): domain Eukaryota; kingdom Metazoa; phylum Chordata; class Mammalia; order Primates; family Hominidae; genus Homo; species Homo sapiens. Next base: position 6,129,160 of record NW_018654717.1, read on the forward strand.
TGATGGTACATTTTATGCAACTCAGCCAAATAATTCTGAAGTTTATTTGGGAAGGAAAATGTTCATGACTAGCTGAAGAAATTCTGAACAAGCAAATCAATGGAAAGAAACATCCCTACTCATAGTAAGCCATCATATAAAACACAAAAAAATAGCAGTTAAAACTGTGTGGAATCGGCCGGGCGCAGTGGCTCACTCCTGTAATCCCAGCACTTTGGGAGGCCGAGGCAGGCAGATCACCTGAGGTTGGGAGTTCGAGACCAGCCTGAGCAACATGGAGAAACCCCATCTGTACTAAAAATACAAAAAAAAAAAAAAAAAAAAAATTATCCGAGCATGGTGGCACGCGCCTGTAATCCCAGCTACTCAGGAGGCTGAGGCAGGAGAATCGCTTGAACCTGAGAGGCGGAGGTTGCAGTGAGCCAAGATGGGGCCATTACACTTCAGCCTTGGCAACAAGAGCGAAACTCTGTCTCAAAACAAAACAAAACAAAACAAACCTGTGTGGAATCAGTACAAAAGTAGATAAACACATCAATAAAATACATTAAAATACAGAAATTGATCCTTCAAATATAATTATGAAGACTTATGAAAAGAGGCCTTTAAGTAGGGAAAAGGTTGTACAATAAATGATGTTGAAATAGATTCGGGGCAAAAACGGAATGTCATATGTTGTTTTGGTCAAGGTTCATAGTTTCAAAAAATAAAATTCCTTCAAACTAGTTTAAGGTAAATGGAACATATTAGAGGGTACGTGGAGTACACAATCCTTGCAGGGAATTCGTGAAGAAAAAGATTCCAGTGTTTATTTTAAGGAATGACCAGCAAAACCAAACCACAGAACTAAACAGCCCGAGGAACTGGTGCATATACTACAAAAGGGGAAGCTGCAAAAATCAGACGTTTCTACCACAGCAGTGACCAGAACCACACCACTTCTCAGGAAGATGCCAAAACAGGAATCCATCTGCCTGATGAGAAGCGGCCACCATAGTTGTTGATTTCAGACCTTGCTACTTCCACCATGACCCAAACCTGCAAAGTGAATGCCCCATGCCCTTTCTTTCTCTCAAAATAACTCAGTTCAAATCAAAGTCTCTTGTGAGAACCTCTGATTGGTAGAATGAGACTCGCATCCCTAAACCCTGGTTCTATGGAAGTCTGGAAGGTCAGAATGGTCATTGAGACATACTGCATTTATGACATGATCCTTATCTCTCACCACAGCAAAAATAAATAAAGAACAAAGCCATTACACAAAAATATAGGCAAGCGTTTTTATAATCATACGAAGGAGAAAGATTTCAAAAACAAAATATGAACCCCAGAAGTCATTGTATAAAAAAGATTAATAGCCTTGACTCCCTAAAAAGTGAAAACTTTTAGATGACAAAAGAGAAACAAAATTTAGAAGTCTCATAGCTGGGAGAAAATTTAGCAACATTTATAGCAAAAAAAGGAGGGTTTAGAATTAATAAAAAGACCTTACAAATCAGTAAGAAAAAGATATCCAGCTCTATGAAATTGGGGAAGTGAAATGAGCAAGCAACGATATTCGACTGTTCTTGCATTGCTAGAAATACCTGAGACTGGATAATTAACAAAGAAAAGCCTTTAATTGGCTCACAGTTCTGCAGGCTTTACAGAAAGCATGGTGCTGACATCTGCTTGGCTTCTGGGGAGCCCTCAGGAAGCTTTTACTAGTGGCGGAAGGTGAAGCAGGAGCAGGCATGTCACATGGCCAGAGCAGGAGTAAGAGAGAGAGAGTGGGAGATGCCAGATACTTTAAACCAGATCTTGCGTGAACTCACTCATCACTAAGGTGATAAGCCATTCATGAGGGACCCACCCCCATGATCCAGACATCTCCCACTAGTCCCCACCTCCAACACTGGGGATTACATGTCAACATGAGATTTGGAGGGGAACAAATATCCAAAGTATTTCAGTGATATTTAAATAAAAGCTACTTTTTATCCTATTTGTATAAGGATATAGTTGTTTTGCAATTGCACAGAAATCTAGAGGAATAAAACACCCTTAAAAGAGGCTAATTCTGGGAAGGAAAGTGCAAGTGAGGGGAGAAGGAGGTTGTCAAAAGGGCCCTTTCTTTTGTACATCTTCCCTGTTGTTTGAATTTTTACAAAAATATATTTGGGTATTAGCTGTACAGTTAAACTATAAAATCTTATTTTGCTGTCTTTATAATAGTTAGCAATAAACATATATTTTTGCATTTCAGGGTATGGCTGGAGGCCATTTCAGTGCAATAACAACCATGGTGGGCTTTTTCAATGCTTAGATGTATTTTCTGAAATCAGAAGCTTGTGTTTATACTTTGGATAATTACAAATCCTTGATAATTAATTCCATGCAATTTTTACCATTTTGCTCATATGATATACATTTCTTGATTTTATAATTGGGAAATAAATATTTTATTTATTTCATTTTTGAGACCAGGTTTTACTCTGTCACTAGGCTGGAATGCAGTGGTGCTGTCATACCTCACAGCAACCTCGAACTCCTGGGCTAAAGTGATCCTCCCACCTCAGCCTCCTGAGTAGCCGGGGCTACAAGCACAGGCCACCACCCCAGCTAATTTTTAAATTTTTTGGTAGAAGCAGGGTTTCACTATGTTGCCCAGGCTGGATTGAAACTCTTGGCTCAAGTGATCCTCTTTCTTTGGCTCCCAAAGTGCTGGGATTACAAGCATGAGCCACTGTGCCTGGCCTAGTTTGTTTTCTATTTATAGTACTACTTACTGAGCCTTCAGCAATAGAGTAGGCGTCACCAATTGCCATCTCCCTCACTTCTCCCTAAATAATGATATTCAATTTTTCACCTTCATACAAGCATAGATTTGTGACTAATTATAGAAACCATAAGGGAAAAAGAATATACGGAGGGAGAAGTGTCCAAAAACCCTGTCTTTCCTGAAATAATTCAGCAGTATTGATTTAGAGCAGTTGAATCATTACCACCCCTTCTGTAAATATATCAGTCAAGACAGAAATAGCTTCTGAGAACTGAGCCTCTTCCTACTCAGAAGTGCTGTGACTGAAGGTAACAAAAATCATTAAAAACTTGAAATTGCAACAAAAGGAATTTAGTTTAAATTTAATGACAAATTTTCCCGCTGTGAAAGTTATTAAATACTTGAAGAATTATAAAACTGTGAACACTTATATTTAAAAAATGCACCTCTCTCAATCATCATTAATAATACTTTAGCAATTCCACAAACATTTTTTGAGTATCTACTATGTTCCAAGTTCTGTGCTTGTCACTGGGAAGTATAAAGATGAATGAGACATGATCCTACACACAGGGAATGTATCAAACCTGTGAGAGAAATGAAATGCACCAATTCATTCATTTGTTGGATAAATATTGTAAATGCCAACCATTGGGCATTAGGGATATGATGGTGACCAGCACTCGACTATGGATGTGGAATAAGGGAAGAAAATTCTGTGATGGGTTACAGTGGAGCAAGATTATTTTGCCTGTGATATGAAACAAAGCTTTATGTAAGGGGCATTTGAACTCTGTCATAAGTACAGTTTTAATAGATAAAAATATGGAAAGAGGAAATGTCAGGTTGAGAGAACAGTATGAGGGAAAGGAAGAGAATGTGATAGTAGAGGGTGTGTTGGTATGTACCTGAGGCAGAACTGAAACTCAGTACATGATAAACACAATAGGATGCTAGAGGCTATCACAAACAACCCCTAAATCTCAATAGCTCACATCACAGTCACATTTAGAATTCAGACTGTGATCTTCTACATGGAGATTCATGAATCTCTTGGGTCTCTCTTCCTTACTAATTCTACCTGTATTCAGCAGACAAAGAGAGACAGAGAATGAAAGAGCAAGAAAGAGAGATCATGACATAGAGGAGGCTGTACAGAGTGAGCACTAGAACTTGCCATGCATCATTTCTGTCCACATTCTATTGGCCAGAACTAAGTCACATGGATGTGGTCCCACTTAAACACAAAGGAGACTGGGCTATGTAGTCTCCTGCGTGCCCAAGAGGTAACTGAGCCTAGTTTGTTGATCACTTAACGTTATCTCTGCCACAGAGACAATATTATCTATAAAGACCAATTTATTTAAGAGGACTATTGTTTAGTGTTTAAGTAATTTGTATTTAGTTACTGATACATGAAACATGAACAACATTATGTACGTTGCAAACAACTTTTTTTTAATTTTCTTTTTTTTTTAAGAGACAGGATCTTGATATGTTGCCCAGGCTGGAGTGCAATGGCGATTGACAGGCACAATCATAGCACAGTATAGCCTCAAACTCCTGACTTCAAGAGATCTTCCCACCTCAGCCACCCAAGTAGCTGGATGGAAGCAAATATTGAATAACTATTTTACAAGATGCACTCGACTCTGAAAATGCAATAAATGATATAATTACTGAAGGTGCTTACAATTTAGACAAGGGAGAGGACACACAGAGTGAGAGAGTTACAATATAATATGGCATATGGTAAATGACAATATACAAAGCAACACTTTATATGATTTTAATTTATGATTCATATAATGCTATTCTGAAAAAGAAGCAAAATATATTGTTATTTGGATTTCATTACATAGTTTTAAGGTAGGCTTATCGTATTCTCCAAGCATAGACAAAATATATTGGCCTTTAAAAAATCAGACAAGTGCAAATGAAAACTGAAGACCTTGATAAACAGACAGTATTATTTACTCTCTAAGGAAAGATACAATTCACATAGCTGTCATGGCGATTTAGTCAGTACACCTGAAAAAAGTTACTTGATCTCTTGACAAGTTAAAAAAAAAAGATTTTGACATTTCATTTGAATCATTTACATTTCTCACATAGAGAAAGTTTACCATAATCATTAAGAATATTGGCATTAGAGTTAGATGCAAATCATTTCAAGTCACAGCCCAGCTTTTTGTTGGCTTGGGGCAAGTTCCTTAACCTCCCTTAACCTCGGTTTCCCCCATTTGTGAAACAATAGGGATCATAACAATAATAACACTAATGCTTCCTCAGGATCTCCTGAGGATTACATGAGTTAAAGCTCCATTGTATTTCGTCCACCACAGGGCACATTATAAATACTTTTTAAATGAAAGATTATGAGAGTGTTAAAAATCAATGTTTTGTAGATTATTTAACAACACGATATGTTGCACAAAAAATGCAATTTAAAGTAAAAATGAATACAATGTAATCCCAACTTTGACTGACACAGACAGACAGAAAAGAAATGCACCAAAATATTAACAATGATGTTTGTAGGCGGTACAATTATGGATGTTTTTATATTCCGGGTCATACAATTCTGAATCTTCAGAAGTTTAGGGGTAAACATTTGTTTCTTTTATTTGCATCGTATTATTTCGAAAATCCCTTACATCCCTTAAACTTTGTATGCATACATAACTGCTTTATTAACATGATGTGATTCCATCTGTTATTTTCTCCTAAAGACAAGGCCACCCTGAGGAAACTCTTGACTTTGCTCTTGCCTTAGAATAATTGGCCAGCAACGTTAAAAATTCATCTGCTGAGAAGCAAATAGGTGTTTTGTTTGTTTGTTTCTAGTTTTTTTCTTAGTCAATAGTAAAAACATAACATACCTTTTCAAATCCTCATTTTTTTCCCCTTTTTTGTCTAATATTTCCTGGATCCTGAATGAATACATATTGGAATAATTCCAAATAATTTCTATTGTTAAATTTTACTGACATTTAAACATGACAATTGGAGATATCAAACTCTAGAACCCCAAACCATTGCAGAGTTTCTTTAAAGCTGAAGCTAAGGTATACAGAGTGCATACATTTATTTGGCTTTGTACATTTAGGTATAAATTGCAATCTTGAGAAAAAGTGTTCATTTTTGTTTCCATTTTAAATAGCTTTCTCTTTTGCATGAACATTTCTTTAAACATTTTTTAATTGACAGATAAAATTGTCTGTAGTATATATAGAGTAGAATGACTAAATCTAGCTAATTAACATATGCATTATCTCACATAGCTATCATTTTTGTGGTGAGAGCACTTAACATGCACTAACTTAGCATTTTGCAACAATACAAGATGTTATTAACTATGGTCATCATATTTACCATAGATCTCTTGAAGGCATTCTTCCTATCTGACATTTTGTGTTCTTTGACCTATATCCCCACCACCAAATTGCAACAAAAGGAATTTAGATTAAATTCCTTTTTTAGATTCCACATATGAGTGAGATCACATGTTTTTTGTCTTTCTGTACCTGGCTTATTTCACTGAACACAATACCCTCCAGGTTCATCCATGTTGTCACAAATGGCAGGATTTTCGTCTTCTTTTTTTGAGACAGGGTCTCCCTCTGTTTCCCAGGCTGAAGTGCAGTGGTATGATCATGGCTCACTGCAGCTTCGACCTCCTAGGCTCAAGCAATCCTCCTGCCTCAGCCTCCTGAGCAGCTGGAACTACAGACACACAACCACACCAGCCTAATTTTGTGTGTACGTGTGTGTGTGTGTGTGTGTGTGTGTGTGTGTTTTGGTAGAGGCAGAGTTTCACTATGTTGCCCAGGCTGGTCTTGAACTCCTGGGCTCAAGTGATCTGCCCCACCTCGGCCTCCCGAAGTGCTGGGATTACAGGTGTGAGCCTCTGTGCCTGCCTGCCTTTTTTTTTTTTTTTTTTTTTTTGGCTAAACAGTGTGCATGAACATTTCTTGAATCTTGATTACAAAATTACAAGTTAAACTTTGTGTAAACAAAATTTTCTTTTAACATGTATTAAGTTTGAATATAGGAAAATTGTGCTTGACATTTTTCTTAAATTGTGTGCTCCAGGTTATGCTGATCCGATTTGTAATCAGATAGAATTGAGAGAAGTGACCTATGTTACCTTACAGTTGCCTGTATACGTCCTGAATAGTAAATGTAGAAAAGCTTTGCTGTGGGGAAAGAAAAGAGCCACTGTCCAAAATCATGGATGAATTCTCTCCTGCAATTAAGAAAGTGATGGGCCATCGGAGAAATGCAAATCAAAACCACAGTGAGATACCATCTCACACCAGTTAGAATGGCTATCATTAAAACGTCAGGAAACAATAGATGCTGGAGAGGATGTGGAGAAATAGGAACACTTTTACACTGTTGGTGGGACTGTAAACTAGTTCAACCATTGTGGAAGACAGTGTGGTGATTCCTCAAAGATCTAGAACTAGAAATACCATGTGACCCAGCCATCCCATTACTGGGTATATACCAAAAGGATTATAAATCATGTCGCTTTAAAGACACATGCACACGTATATTTATCGCGGCACTATTCACAATAGCAAACACTTGGAACCAACCGAAATGTCCAACAATGATAGACTGGATTAAGAAAATGTGGCATATATACACCATGGAATACTATGCAGCCATAAAAAAACGATGAGTTCATGTCCTTTCTAGGGACATGGATGAAGCTGGAAACCATCATTCTGAGCAAACTATCGCAAGGACAGAAAACCAAACACTGCATGTTCTCACTCATAGGTGGGAATTGAACAATGAGAACACGTGGACACAGGAAGGGGAACATCACACACTGGGGCCTGTCCTGGGGTTGGGGGAGTGGGGAGGGATAGCATTAGGAGATATACCTAATGTAAATGACGAGTTAATGGGTGCAGCACAGCAAGATGGCACATGGATACATATGTAACAAACCTGCACGTTGCGCACATGTACCCTAGAACTTAAAAGTATAATTTAAAAATAAATAAATAAATAAATAAATAAATAAATAAATAAATAAATAAAGGACGAGCCAAGGAAACTTCCCACCCGTCTGGCCCTGAGCAGTGACTTCAACCTCTGTGCTATTTCACCTGCAATCTTCTCCTGCGAATGGCATTTTCTCCCGTTTTGTTGTTTTTGTTTCCTGATGGTAATTTATTTTTCTTTTAGACAAACTACAAGAAAAAAATAACTTCTCTGACCTTTAGTGCCTGTTTTGACTGCTCAGTTGGATTTTTAAAATGCTTCTAGTCATCTTTCTACTGATAATTGTTATTTGTGGCAACCTCATGGAAGAAGCTAAGGCACAAAATATAATTTTAAAGCGTTTACTTGAGCCAAGATGAGGACAGCTGCCTGAAAGACTCAGACCCAAGTAACTTTGGATATGAGCTTCATTCAACCTTTCTTACAAGCAGGTTTTTAAAGGCAACAAGGCAGACAAGTTGTCAGGAATTCCCATTGGTTAACAGAAATGACAATGATTAGTAATTAGCTATATATTTTTGAACTATAGGATATTAGTTATGGTGTCCAGTGCATGGCATTGTTAGGTTAATTTACAGCTACTTGTGGCGACAGTCAGTCTAGAGCAAGCAGATTCAAGAGATGATTAGCTTAGCTCCAGGGGAGAAGTGGGGCCTGACTGCTGCCTCATTCCCTTGCCTCTCTGGGCCTGATCATTTACAGGAGGCTTGCATTCCTCGGATAAAGTTTCTTTTCTTTCTCATTTGCTTATTCTGTTTCCTTTTCTTCTTTCACATTAAATGGGAAGAAGAAAGTACAAATTCCAGTTCAACAGGTATGTGCAGTCTTATGCCGAAACTAGGACGCCATTTTCCTGGATTATCCATGAAAACATTTTTTCATGGTCTCCAAGGCGGATTCCCTGTTCTGGTCTCAGCTGGATCCTTCAAATAAATTGGATGAAACCAATCTTTGCCATCTCTTTCTCGCGTTATTTATACCTTGACTTGACTCCTATTCCAAACATAACCAGTTTCATCACCAGTACAGAAGGTGACACCATCGGAGCAGGAAAGAGAAATAAGAGCTGCAAAGCCTGTGTTGTGAAAATACTAGGCTCATTCTTTGTCCAAACACCTGAAAAGACTGTGTATTCTGCCATTTGCCAAAGTACATTGTCATATCACATCAAAGAACCCCAGCCCAGGAGGGGACATTGAGGTGTCTGACACGACTTCCTGTCTGATGTATGGGTACCCTCTACAAACATCACCAGTAAACGAGCTGCCCTCTTCCTCTGCCGATCCAGAGACAAAGAGTTGTGCCTCTTGCAAAAGCTCTGCTTTTATGCAGTTCAAACTTTAGAAATCTCTTCCTCTAGTTGAGTCTAAATGTTCTTCCCCGTAACTTGCATTCACTGGTCCAAGTCTGCCCTCTGGAGCATCTCAGAATAAGTCTCCTTCCTCTTCCATCTCACAAGTTCTTCCTAAATTTTTCGGATGAATTAAATAGAAGCTTCTACCAACTATTAACTCCATACCCAGCTTTTTGAAATGCAGCTTGGAAAATGGGAAATTTTCCTACTGAACCTTTAGATCATAAATGGATGCAATAAAGAAAGCACCAAATTCCTTCTTTATTTTACAACTCTACAAATCTCTAGGGATGACATGAGCACAGGTGAGTGCACAAGTACACACAATGCACACACACACACACACAGAGTGACCCTATTTCTCCATTTTTCCTAGAGCTGACTTTCACACAAACCCAAGATTACCATTACGAATAGGTAGATATAATCAAGACACTTAGCCAGGGAGCCAACATTTGCCTTCACCTAACAAACAGAATGTAAATACAATAGGTAATTTATTTTTGACATAGACATAAAATAGCTTTTTACAATGGAATGATTTTCACTCCAGATCTAAGCAAAAATGCATTTTCTTTTAAGAATCGTGGGTGATCTCAGTGATTATCTGACTCAATGCTCTCTCTTTTTAGATAAGTAATTTAAGGCCCAGAGGTCTTGATTAAGATCAGTGTCACAGAACTCGGGTTATTTGAACTCTGAGAGGAAGGCTGAAGAAGATTAGTATTGTCTTGCTTGCTCTCAGAAGATAAGAGCTGTGCTTTGACAATTGCAAATAGTTTTCGAACAAAATTTTCTTATGGCACAGCTTTCTGAAACTATTTTACAATGCGTTAACTTCTAGTAACATACATTAGGATCTAATCTTAAGTATTAATTTATTTGAAAATATCTCAAAACTTGTATCCCCCAAAAAGTTCAAAATATATCTCCAGAGAAAAATAAAAACCAACTATCTCAAAATTCACCCTTTGTTTTCCCCAGAATCAAATCTCTAGGGATGACACGAGCACAGGTGAGTGCACAAGTGCACATAATGCACACACACACACACACACACACACACACACACACACACACACAGAGTGACCCTATTTCTCCATTTTTCCTAGAGCTGACTGTCATACAAACCCAAGATTACCATTACTAATAGGTAGATCTCATCAAGACACTTAGCCAGGGAGCCAACATTTGCCTTCACCTAAAAAACAGGATGTAAATACAATAGGTAATTTATTTTTGACATAGACATAAAATAGCTTTTTACAGTGAGAATGATGAGGTCATTGTGACTTCTACACTTGAAACAATTGGACTTTCTCGTACTTTTGCACTTGAGAATTTAAAATAATAATAAAGAGAACGAAAGAGTACTATGTTGGTACTGCTCCTCACATATTTCATTGGTAAGAGCAGTGATGAAATAGCAATAAAATTTATGAGACAAGAGTTGTGGCTATAAATAGGGATATGCTTTGCTCGCAAACTGCATAGAATCCCCTTCCCTTTAAAAAATATATAGAAGAGGCCAGGTGTGGTGGCTCATGCCTGTAATCCCAGCGCTTTGGGGGGCCAAAGTGGGTGGATCACCTGAGGTCAGGAGTTTGAAACCAGCCTGACCAACATGGTGAAACCCTGTCTCTACTAAAAATACAAAAAAATTAACCAGGCCTGGTGGCACGCGCCTGTAATTCCAGCTACTTGGGAGGCTGAGGAAGGAGAATCACTCGAACCCGGGAGTCAGAGATTACAGTGAGCTGAGATTGCACCACTGCACTCCAGCCTGAGGGACAGAGCAAGTCTGCCTCTCTCAAAAAAAAAAGTATATATATATATATATATATATATGAAAATAAAATTCCATCACCTAGAGAAAATCACTAGTCACATTTTTGTATGGTTGTCCAGCATTTTCCCCTACATATATGTAAATATACTATATAATGTTAAAATATTGGGGTGAAACTGCTTTTTATTTAACACTGCATTGTATCTCCAGGTCATTAAATTGTCTTCAGGATCATGGCTCTGCATTTTTTAACATGTAGTTGCTCCCTTATTTATATAACACATTCTCTGTTGGTGAAATTTATTGTATTTTTTTGCAGTTTTTCTTTTCCTACCATGACAAATAAGCTCATCTTTTCCAGTCCTTGTTCATTCAAAGCTGGAAACAAACAACACACACACCCAAATCAGACCTGAGATTCTATGCACAAAAGTGCTTCTTGAAACAAATTATCTAATAGTATTGTAAAAAGAAAAAAAAAGAGATAAAATAAGCCAAGTGATATGTGTCACTCAGTGTTCCAGCGAAAAGCTGACTCCAAAAATTACGTGATCATAATAGCAGAATGATGAAAGAGTGACAGACAAAAGGTAAGAGCGTGAGGATGAAGAGGTAATACTCAAACAGCTTTGGAAATGGAGAGGAAGCTGGCGAATGACACAAAGGACAGCTGGAGGATGAACCAGTTTCCCAAGGGGCAAAAGAAACAATGTTGTTTGACATCTTCAGCAAACATTCCAAACTGTAGGGAAGAGGGATGATGGGTTTGTGTTGGTGATAACAGCAAAGTATTAAAGCATGCCTAAAAACTTTCACCATAAAGCAACAATTATTCTTGGTAATGCTACCAGGATAACAAGTTTCTACATGTTGTCATGCTGGCAAAGAAAATAGGGTGTATTTAGAGATTAGATGCCCCATGGACATGTGGTCATGGAAACAAAAGCAAACAGCTAACGTGGCTATGTGTTGAGGTCAGTATTTGAGGGAACATCCGGTGTGTGTTTTATTCAGTATTGTGTAGTACAGAAAAGATCACACATGTATATGTCAGAAGTAGATGCACATGTTCTTTTGGCTTTTTTTCTTTGTTTTATTCTTTTTTCATTTTTTGTGTTTTTTGTTAGTTTGTTTTGAATTTTTTTTCTTGATGCATATGTTCCTTCAACTTATTCAGTACTTCCATGTGCAGGGCTCTGGACTAGACTTTCAGGATCTAAGGCTGAATCCTACACAGTCCTCCCTCTGGGAAAGTGATGAAACCTGTGAGCTCTCCTAGCAACTCTGCAGTCTTCCTTCAAGGTATGTGTTGCAATTTGGGGTTGCACATTTTAGTTGTGATATTTGTGATTAGTTGATTAATGTTTGTCATCCCACGAGACTATAAGTGCCATGAGGGTAGATATCTTATCTGTTTTGCTCCCCATTGCTTTTCTCACAGACTGCTCAGCAATGAATCTTTGTTGAATAAAATAATACTTTATACAAAGGTTAGTGATAAATGTAAGAAGGATCTAGATCAAGAACTGATACATTCTTAGGACAGAAAGATTAATCTAGACAATAGCTTTTTGTCTGGAATTATCTTTTATGGAAGAGACGGCCTTGGCAATCAGAAGAGCAGATTAAGCAATTAGTGTAATCATCTAGGTGGGAAGTAATGGGACATAAAGAACTAGAATAGAAACAATAAGAAGGGAGCAGAGTTGATAAATAAAAGCAGTACAGATACAAAATTGTCAGATGGTGGTCACCCATGGGCTATGAAGGGCAAGAAGAAGCAGAGTCTAAGAATGTGCCAGGTGACTGGGAGGACGGAGATTGTAGAAGAAAGAAAAGGGCAGCTGCTTTAGGTGCACGGAGGGCGAAGGACCTCAGGTTCGAATGTGTTGAGGTCACCCTGGTGGAGATGTCAAGCAAGATGAGAGCATGGGATCTGCAGGTTTATGAGAAGACCAATTCAGAGAAACAGAATTTTGAGAAATCTACACAGCGTTTTTCCTTGCAGTTAGAAAGGTGGATGAGGTTGTCTAGGGAGATTATATAGAGAGAAAAGCAGAGGACCAAGGACAGGTGCTTGAGAAATGATGAGACTTGGCAGGACTACTTTTTTAAAAGTTCAGGAAGAAAGAGAAGAAGTGGCATTTCTCTTTTTGGTGCATAAAACCCTATAAGAGAAGAAACCATCCTATTCCCAATGCCAGGAAGTTCCCTATGTACCTTGAGAAGGTCTTCCAGGTTTCAGAGGTGTGGAAGATATCAGTTCCTTGGATAAAGGCAGCAGCTACACACTTTCTAGCAGCAAAATGGCTGAAGAACTGAAGGGTTTAGGATTTAGGAGATGGCTACTGGGACTCCAGCCCGTGAACATCCCAAAATGACAAAGACAGCTCTTGGTTAGCATGTCTGTCTCTAAATTGTGCTGACTAATAAACAGCTGTGAGCTCTTTGATTCTCAGTCCATTCTGACTGGGTCACTGTGGGGAATCCTTTAAAACCAATGAGGCCATAAAGCTTGAGCTTTGCCTATCCCTGTTGTTGGAATATTTTGTCTCCAGTCTCCTAAAGATCAGTCTGAGAGACTGGAACACACCTCACAATTTCTTCCTGCAATCTGAAGTTAAGCTCACCCGGGTCTACCATTCAGCCTGGTGATGATTCCACTTCCTTATGCATCAAGATGTTATCATGCTAAACTAGCTAAAACCACTAAAAAAATATGGGATGACTTGGAAAGGTGGAGAAAAGTGGGTAAAAATACAGTAATTTTTTTGGTAAGTCTCCATTAAGCTAATAATAGGTAAGCACCCTCAATGGCTAAGAGCCAGTACCTTAGACCACGTCCTTGAATAAAATAGATGGTCAAGGCTGAAGTGAATGAAATGGTGACATAAGCATCATGCAGCACATTTTGAGGCTTATGGCAACACATGCATATTAATGCAAATATGTGCATTGAGTTCTAAGTGCTAAGGACTGTGATAGCCAATGAGGATAAGTAAAATAATGGTCAAAAGCTTTAGGAAAAGAACTTACGTGAATTCCTTACTTAAATGCCATAACTTAAGAGACTTCAGGTGTGCAGTATTTATTACATAAGCTGGAGAAATTTCATGCTTTGCTAGGCAACAGCCTTGTAGTCCACAGGACATGCTAGATAGCTCCTTTGGTTGATTGAATTGGTCACATTTGGAAAGTGTGCAGCCTATGTATAAGGAAGCATTGGGGCTGCCTTGCTCAGAAACAGGCAGTGAGTAAGGCAGGCATTCAAGGAATCATGGCCGGCCATCTGTAGCCTTAAGAGGTGTGTGCCAGACCCAGGGAGTTGACTAATAAAGAAACTGAGTTAACTGAGAAAGGTCATAATAATATTATATAGTACTGTTGCTCCTTGACTTACGATGGGGGTTACATCCTAATAAACCCATTGTAAATGGAAAGTGTTGTAAAATGCATTTAACACACCTAACCTACTGAACATGATAGCTTGGTTTAGCTTAGCCTTAAAATGTGCTCAGAACACTTACATTAACCTGCAATTGGGCAAAACCATCTAAGACAAAGCCTATTTTATAATAAAGTGTTGAATATCTCATGTAATTTATTGAATCCTGTAGTAAAAATGAAAGACAATGGTTGTATGAGTACTAGAAGTATAACTTCTTGTGAATATGCATTGCTTTCAAATCATCATAAAGTTGAAAAATTGTAAATGAACCATCGTAATTCAAGGAACATCTGTATATATAATATATATAATATATTCTGTTATATATAAATATATGTATGTATATAACACATAATACAATAATTTATATTATATAAATATATTAAAATATATAATACATGTGAATATATATTCATATTGCATATATATTTACATTGCATATGAATATATAATATATAAGTATATAAATTATATGCATGATATAATAATAAAATGTAATGATAAAGAAACTTAGTTAACTAAGCAACACACAGTGAAGTTAAGTGTAACATTAGAAAAAAACAGAAGGCCAGGCACGGTGGCTCATGCCTGTAATCCCAGCACTTTGGGAGGCCAAGGCGGGTGGATCACGAGGTCAGGAGATCGAGACCATTCTGGCTAACACGGTGAAACCTCATCTCTACTAAAAATACAAAAACTTAGCCGGGCATGGTGGCAGGCGCCTGTAGTCCCCGCTACTTGGGAGGCTGAGGCAGGAGAATGGCGTGAACCTGGGAGGCGGAGCTTGCAGTGAGCCGAGATCGCACCACTGCACTCCAGCCTGGGTGACAGGGCAAGACTCCGTTTCAAAAACAAACAAACAAAAAACCAGAAAAACACGTGTTCAACGTTTCATAGTTGTCTAATTTCTGTTGAGACTATGGCCAACACACTTTATAATTCTTCCTCAGAGAAAACGTATTGTTTCTACATAGACTCTACTTATTAATAACAATCTTATGTGTGGCATCACTGGCCTGTTTGTATTGTTTTCTTTTTCTTTTCTTTCTTTCTTTTTTTATATACAAAAATCTCCATTCTAAGAACTCAAGTTAGGAAATGCCATAGGATTGGTTATGACTACCGAGAGTAAAAATCCACTGAAATTTTAAAAAACTGAAAAACGTTAAACCTCACAAATAATGAGAAAATAATGCAATAAACCCCCATGTGTACACCCAGCATCAGCAACTGTCAATATTTTGACAGTCATTTTTTATCCTTTCCTCCTTTTTGCTGAGATGTGAAAGTGAAATTCTCTGGTACAAAAATAACATAAATGGCTTAAAAGTCTAGCTATGCTTCTCTGGTGTACAAATTTTCTTTACAGTACATTTTTCTTTCCTTTCCCACAACCATTACCCAAATTCTACTGGTGGTCACTGAAATGCCGCTTATGACGGCCTCAACTAGAAAAATCTCTTTATTTTTCTACCTGCCTCCAAACAAGAAAGAAGTTGGTAACTCATGTCATAGTTCACAAGTCTCTAGGGATTCTACATGTCTGCTTCAAGCCGTCAGTGAACTTTCAGAAAACAAATGCAAATATTTTACATTTGTTTATTATATAAGGGGGTTTCAAAGCTTCTATCAACATTTTCATAGGGGCCTATTACCTACAAAAGGTTAAGAATCTCTGCCTCTATTATGTCTTGAAAGCATATCAAATATACTTTCTCACTTCCACTCCCTAGTTAATTCTATTTATTTATTTACTTATTTTGAGATAGGTTCTCTGTCACCCAGGCTGGAATGCAGTGGTGCAAGCACAGCTCACTGCAACTTCAAGCTTCTGGGCTCAAGTGACCCTCCTGCCTCAACCTCCTGAATGGCTGGGATCATAGGCATGCACCACCACGCCCAGCTAATGTTTTGTATTTCTTTCAGAAATGAGGTTTCACTATGTTGCCCAAGCTGGTCTCAAACTCCTGGCCTCAAGCGATCCTCCCACCTCAGCCTCCCAAACTGCTGGAATAACAGGCATGAGCCACCTCACCTAGTCCTTAGCCAATTTTTTATATCTAAATCAGACATTGGACACCACTTCCAGGATGCCTTCCCTGACAATGTCACCTATAACTGATTTCCCTTATGTTTTCCTACAAAAGTTAAGGTAGGTTACTTTCCTGTTTATCACAGTCTTTCAATCACTGGACGAGTATTTATCAGGTCCTACTATTTGCCAGGCACTATCCTATACTTTAGGTATGCTTTGTCTCCTAATGCACTGTTAGAAGAGGACAAGGAACATCACAGTATCCAATACGTCTTCTGTGTCCGAAGACATATTGTAGTTGTAGCTCCAGTGAATGGAAGCAAGGATGAGCTGCTGCATTTCTGTAGCTGGCATTCAGCTCAAGAATACGTAAAACCAGACTCGTGGTTTTTTCTTTCTTTCTTTCTTTCTTTCTTTCTTTCTTTCTTTTTGAATGTGAGGCCTTTACAGAAAAAGAAAATGTCAGTCTGATTATCCAGGGCATGAGGATAAAGAGAAGCCCAAACAAAGGTTTCCCCCACTCCACCCCACCCAATATACTGTGGCACTAGAAAACGATTCCAGAATCAGAAACTATATGCTGACGTCCATTAGCCCTCTTAGTAGCACCTGAAATAGACCAGCGTCTATGTGAGACCTGTAGTTGTGTCCTCACAAATAACCTGTTATAGACCAGCGTCTATGTGAGACCTGTAGTTGGGTCCCCATAAATAACCTGAACTGGAAACAACAGCTCGACATGAACTCTGCCCCCTACGCTGGGGATCAGGAGCACGAACCTCTATACAAAGGGCGGCAGAGCGGTTACTAAATGTGCTCATTTTTCGTCACTAAGAACGTGCATTTTTAAAGTGCATAGATCCCTGATGATAACGGAGTTGTTTGATAATAGGCGGTTGAAGATACTATTACGTTAGGGACCTGGAAGAAAGTAGTTAACGCTATTGTCATAGAAGCAATGGGGGGAGGAAAGGTTTGTGTCCAGTTTTGGGCAAAAACTTCTAAGTTCCACCCCGCCTTCTGATGGATGCTTTTTTGATGGGGCTCGTTTTGCAAAACTCAGCAGATTAGGCATGTTGTGTAGTGGAATGATTTGGAGCGTCTAAGCCGTGGCACCCTACTTAACCCCCCCATCTCCAGTTATCCCAATGAACCGACCCCGAGGGGGCATTTCCGCTGAAGTCCGGGGCTGTAAAAAATTAAGTGAGAAGAGCCGCGCTAAAGCCAAGCGTCGTCGTCACCCAAGGTACTGCGCTGATGCGCTGCGGGCCGACCAGGTGCTCCCGCCGGGGCGTCTTCTCCTACGCAGGAAGGGCCACGCCGAGAGAGGCAGGCAACAAGGGCACGGCTGGAGGCCGGAAGGTCACCCCGTCCCCGGCGGGGCGGGCGCGGCCCAGCCTCACTTCCCGGGCACGTTCGGGCGGGGCGATTGCAGGGAACGGGGCGGGGAGGCGACAGTCCCCGGCTCCGCCGCGCGCCAGCCCGCCTTCGCTGCCCGGAGGCGCCGCAGGCCTGGGTTCCCGGACAGCTGAGCCCGAGCGCCGCCTCCCGAAAGGTGAAGGCGGCCCGGGGAGGCGGGGACGGTGACGGGGGCGGGGGCCGCGGGCGGTCTCCCGACGGCTGTCGCGGGGCCAGCCCAAAGCCCCCGATCCCCGGTAGCTGCGCTTCCCGCGCGGGGCGCCGGAGTAGGGCGGGCCAAGCTGGCCTGCGGCCGCGGCGGGAAGAAGGGCTAGCGAAGCACCCCCGACCGGGCCCAGGCGCCGGACGCCGGGGGGCGCCTCGCTGCAACTTCTCTTTGGAAGCCCCGACACGAGCCCCGGCCCGCGCGCGCGCTCCCCCACGGCCACGCGCGCACCCTGCCGCCCGCACCCCCGCGCGCCCTCCGTCTATTTTTTCCTCTTCCTTTCATCCTCACACTCTAAAATAGGTCAAGGGGTGGAAGTTACACCTGGTGCAGCCCTCGGCTCTGATGCAAAAGCAGCTTTTGCCCCTGGCTGCGGGACAGCGCTGTGACTACTCGCAACGGGAGAGCTGCTGCCAGTCGCCACACCGTGCGGAAAGCGCCGGCGACCGGAGCACTGACAATGGTCTGCATAGGGGAGCGGAGAGAAGCTTCTGTTGCGCCCTAGATCCGCTGCCTCGGCGCCCGCCCGCAGGGAGGAGGGGGCGCGACAGGTCGTCTAGCGCGTGCCCCGGAGCCCGCGCCCGGGTCTGGCCGCCTGGGTGAGTTCCTGCTCGTCCCCTGCCTTTCCAGTAGCCCGGGGTGGCTGTTTACCTTGCAAACAGCCTTGCAATACGATCAAAACAGGCGAGACAGCCATGCAGTAAGGGATTGCGGGATGTGCTTTGGGTGTGAGATTGGATAAATCAGAATTCAGAGATAAAGGACATGTCTAGTGCCTTAAGGGTTAAAGTGGATTCGTATTTTTTCATGGAGTGCACGTGTATCTTTCCCTGGGGAACTGATTTTTAATTAGTAAGAGGCAAAGAACTAAGATAACTTGAAGCCAGAAAGTTTTCAAAGCTCACGATGAAAATACAGTTTAAGAAGGAATGCCAAAATAGGAAGGTAAGGATTTGTATGATATTACTTGCTATGTGTGGGGTTTTTTTTGTTGTTGTTTGACGGAGTCTCTCTCTGTCACCCAGGCTGGAGTGCAATGGCACGATCTCGGCTCACTGCAACCTCCGCCTCCCGGGTTCAAGCAATTCCCTTGCGTCAGTCTTCTGAGTAGCTGGGATTACAGGCAACCGTCACCATGCCTGGCTAATTTTTGTATTTTTACTAGAGACGGGGTTTCACCATGTTGGTCAGGCTGGTCTGGAACTCCTGACCTCGTGATCCGCCTGCCTCGGCCTCCCAAAGTGCTGGGATTACAGGCGTGAGCCACCGGGCCCGGCTGATTCTTTTTATAGTACTTGGGTTCTTTGTGATAAATGATGTGAGCCCACAATGCTCTATGTAGAAAGAAGATAAGGCTGTAAACGTCTACTTGCAGAGCTTTATGTTAGGTGGTAGGCATGAATTTAAATGTACATTGAAAATTTAGTGTGTAGAAAGAGCTAAAATATATCTATATTGTTTTCAGGTTAAGATTATTGGTAATATTACAGCTAACCATTGGCATTTCACCCTGTTTCAGCAATTAAAATTGCTATTATTCATGTGACATCAGCAAATGGAAGCCTTTATCTTTCTATTTTTTATTATTTATTTGTTTGTTTGTTTATGTTTGAGATGGAGCCTCACTCTATCGCCTAGGCTGGGGTGCAGTGGTGCGATCTTGGCTCAGTACAACCTCCCTCTCCCGAGTTCAACCGATTCTCCTGCCTCAGCCTCCCCAGTAGCTGGGATTACAGGTGCAAACCACCATGCCCAGCTAATTTTTTTGTGTTTTTAGTAGAGAGGGGGATTTCACCTTGTTGGCCAGGCTGGTCTTGAACTCCTGACCTCAAATGATCCACCCACCTTGGAAGCCTTTATCTTTTAGCTAACGAATGGTTAACTTGGTTGAAGTTTGGGGAAGGGAGAGTTAGAACTTTCTCTGTCTTTGATGGCTGGCTGAGAATACAGGGTAAAGAACTGTCCAGTGTTGTGAGTGGTGCCTTAGAGTTGCTCATAGCAAGAAAATCACTTGGGAGGGTGGAAGTGGCTCTCAGATGGTCATTGGTTACCTATAACTTATTTAAAGAAGACCTTGAGAAGTTGGGACATATCTTGTCACTGAGGAAATTGTGCCAAAGAACTGCTGCTTTATTAACGCATTTGATCAGATTTGAAAAGAGAGCTCTGTATACACTCTTTTTCTAACTCCAAAGAAATTTTGTTTCTAGAAAGATTCAATTACCGTAATGATGTTCTTTGGAAATGTGCCTTTTTGCGTGTATATCTTAATATGGATAAAGTTCCAAGGTAGTTCAAAGGTTTTAATAAAATTTTACTTACCAGAGTGATGTGAAATTGGGAATACCCTGTGTGAATGGTTAACTCTACTTTAAATTGGAAGGTCAATGGGAGTGGGGATCTTCCCAGTAAATCTTAAATCTCTGTGTACGTGTATCTCTGACAGCGAAATCTTACTGGAGATTGCAGGGGTTGTAAAGAAGAGACCAGACCTTATAGTATTTCTGATACGCGGATATGTGAATGCTTAAATGCATTTCACTTGTAAAGAATTTATATGCTCCTTTAGAGAACTAGTCTCCAAAATTTGAAACACATTTATGAAGAAGCCTCTATCATTGCTTTGAAGAAGACACAAGCAAGACATATTTGGCACTATACAGGCTCATAATATTGAGAGCAAAATGCAATTAAATGCCTGTTTACTACATGTCACTGTTCTCATTTGTGTTTTTAAACAGGAATTGAGTGAAAGCTCTCATTGCGATTAAGCCCCTGGTATAATGCATTATTGAAATTAGGCTGTCAGCGCTTGACTGTGCAATCTTATGTTTTTACTCGTAGATAAATTAGGAATTCTTCTGAAAAGAATGGCATGAAAGCATTAAGATAACTGGAGAATTCATTTAAGGACAGACTGAAGAGTGATGCCAAATGGCCATTTAAATGTCCTTCAGCTTTTGTGACTCACTTCTTTTGATGCCATAAAGAAAGTACATTGCATAGAACTCCTAGCTGAGACATCTTCAAAAAGAGTTAACATCATTCATTTTGGATACTCACTTCTCATCCAGAGAAACTTCTAACCACTCAAAGAAGACATTTTAAGAGTTTGAACTAGATCACCTGGATTAAAAAGCCCAGCTCTGAGCCATTTCCTTGTCTGTGAAATGGAGATAATGACACCTCCCCAGGTGGCTGTGGGGAGCAAATGAATAGGTGTAAATGCTGAGTACACAGTTGGCACATTGTGAGCAGTCATAAAGAGGGGTTTATAATAAGAAGTAGGAGTGTGTTGACTAAATATCATCTCCTGGAGGCTGCAGAGAGGTTGCTGCCTAATAGACTCTAGAACTGAATATTTGGGTCACTGGTTTAATCCCCCATCTGGGTATACTGAATATACTGCTAGTATACTCCTATAGCATAGAGTATAGAATATGCTGTACTCTTAGTAATCAGTGTCCTTTGGGAGCCAGAGGCTGTCACACTTGCATCTTCTCCACCCTAGACAGGCCTTTGACTCAGCTAGGTTAAAGAAGTAACCTGTGGTTGTTTTTAGAGATGATGATGAGGTGGTAGGGGAAGGAGGGCACTTGAGGAGTTTGGTGTATGGTCCTCTTCACACATATGCGTGTTTTTATTCTCTTTGCCTTTCCCCGTTCCCTCCTATCCTCCCTTCTTTTCTCTCTAGGGGTCCCGATCATTATTTCCCAGCCTTTGTTAATATGTCTCGGCATCAACCCTAAGCCCTAAAGGGTTGTTAGTCCTGATTTGGGTAGTCCTGCAAGGTGCAGCCTATGAACTTCTTGTTCTTAAAGGTGTAACTGCGAATGTCAAATAGGCACAACCTTTGCCACTTCCATGGTTCTTCTGGGGTGTTACGTCCCATTTTGCTGTATCGAATGTGCTCATTTCTACCTTCTCTTTCTTCTCTGTTAGGTTGCAGATAATGGAAACTATCCTAACTATTTCGAGCAGGAAGGGGTTGAATATGAGAATTAGATGCTCACAGGAAGGTTGGAATGAAGGTTGCAACTGAAAGTAGGGGAGGGGACCTGGCCTGAGCCTCATGCGTTGGCTCCCGGGCGGCAAGCTTGATGGGCCCCCAGGGTTGCTGCTGTCATTGCCACAGCCTGGGGGCTGGGAATCAGAACCACCGCTAGAACTGCTAACATCAAGGGTGCACCTTTTGGGCTGTGTTCCATTGATCAGAGAGGCTGCTGCAAAATGCCTCTCCACCCTAGGAAGCTGGTGAATGAACATTGCTACCAACAACAAAAACAAGAAAGCAAATGTTTTCCTTAGATGCTCTCCACTTTCCTTCTTACGCTACTCATCTCCCTGCAAGAACACTGTGCCCAGAACCCTAGCTGCAAGGGACTCTGGGAAATGCAGCTTATAGGTTTCTAGCCTCAAAGGTAGAGGGATGCACACTTGAAGGAGATAGGAGTGAATGTTCTGTGACAATCCATCATGCCTAACACATATCTAAAATATATTTCATCCGAGATTTGGCTAGAGTATTTATTTTTAAAATTGGTAGAGATTGACTTTGGAAAGGTAAGAGGATATGTTGTAAAAATTTTTTAAAGGAGCTAGTTGCTAACCAGTTACCTTTTCAAACAGATGGATGTTATCGTTTTGCAGCTGAAATTGCTGGAAAAAGCATCAAGCAAATGAATAACTAAAAATTACCAAGCGCCTGCCTCTGCATACGGTACTAATTGAATGAAAATAATGTTTCTTAGGTTTGATTTCATAATCAAGGTAAAATATTAGGAAAATGATTGTTTAAAAATTATTTTTCCTTCTCAAAGCCGCAGATAGTCTACCCATTTAATGAACCACAATACAAAGGAAGAAAGTAATGTACTAAGAGAGAAATAATAGCACCTGGCTTGTTAGTTCTTTCATTAGATGAATTATCTGTGTTTTTCCCGAATCTTTCTCTCCCCTGTAACTTTCAGCATGCTCATTTTAAGGATTACAGAAATAGACATGACTTGTTTATTGGAGAATAACATAAGAGTATGCTTGAATTCACTTTAATTACTTATTTCATACCCTGGTGCTTGTCAGATTCCTTTTTTTCCAAACTATTGAAGTAGATATGATTGGATCTCTTCTATTTTTAAGCAGTAAATTACCAGTTTATTTGCACTCACAAATTACATTAGCACATCAAGGGATGGTCTTGATTATTGAACAAAATTTTGTTATATTTACCTCTGATATTTGGAGTTGGAAAATGAGAGAAAATATTCGTCCAGGGAGTGGATAACAATAAGGTTATGATAGTATGGTACTTTTATTATAAGTGCAGAACAGTAGCTTACTCGAAGAGAAAGTGGTGTATTCTCTCATGGTGAGGTGGAAGATGGAAATAATTGAAACATGAACATGTTTCTGCTTTCAAAGAATATTTGTTGATATTTTTAATAGCAACAAAAAGGTAGCCAAGAGAGGCAAGAAGTAGCAACTGTCTGGGCCCATGTCTTTGTCTTCTCTGTTCCCTTTAACACAGAGCTAGTGAAGTAGGTGAGCTTGATAAATGTTAGAGAGTTTTAGTGTTTAGAGAAATAATGTGTTTATAAGAAATGAGGACTGCTCTTGGTGCTCTAATCAGTGTTCATAAAGTAATCAGAAGCCATTAAAATTTTATCAGAGCCTATAACATTCCATGGGACATCAAATTTATGATTAGAGTAATTAAAAAAAATACAGGTACATTCTCAATGTTAAGACATTTGCATACAAAGATGGTAATTCAATGACTTAATACAATTATGAAATAGATCTAAGGTGATCAGATGACTTATTGTTCAAGCCAGGACACTTTTGAGAGTGAAGAGGGAATGATTACTGATTGCCCTGAATACAGAAACATAAATGGAGACTACCTCAGCAAACCTAGGGGTGACCAGGACTTAATGGTCACTCAAGATTAAGGTGCTAGTATTATAGCTTGATTGCATTAACTGCAACATTGATTTTAAAAAATTGTAATAAAATATGCATAGAATTTTGTATTTTGCATAGAATGAAGTGTACTATTTTAACTGTTTTTTGAGTGTACAGTTCAGTGACATTTATTTTCACATTGCTGTGCAACCATCGCTGCCATCCATCTCCAGAACGTTTTTATCTTCTCAAAGTGAAACTCCATACCCATTAAACCATAACTCCCCATCCCTCCTCCTCACAGTACCTTTTTGTTGCTGTTAAAAATATCAATAAGGGATTCCACTTATATAGTATATTAGTCCGTTTTCACCCGGCTGATAAAGACATACCCGAGACTGGGTGATTTATAAAGAAAAAGAGGTTTTTTGTCCTTTTGTGATTAATTTATTCCATGTAGTATAATATTTTCAAGGTTCATCCATGTTATAGTGTATATCAGAATCTCCTTTCTTTTTAAGGCTGAATAATATCCCATTGTTTACGCCACATTATGCTTATCCATTCAGCTGCAGTTCGGATACATGGCTTGCCTCCACCTTTTGCCTGTTGTGCATAATGCTGCCGTGAATATGAGTGTACGGATATCTCTTAGAGTCCCTGCTTTCAATTCTTTTAGGTATATACCCAAGTATTGGTTTTTAAATGAAGAAATTAAAAATGGAAGGAAAAGAAAAGCATTCTTTTCTTCTGTAAGATATTTCTGATCCTGTTTCTCCAGCATAGTACTGCATCAGATTGGTGCCCAGCTATGCCTCTGTAGGGTTCATCAGAAGAAGCAGGTAATTGAAAGAAACTACCTGCTGAAAAAAGCACCCAAGATCTTAAATTTCATCTCCATACAAGAAAGGAAGCTAGTTTTTCTGTCACAACTACCATGATGCATTTACCACAGATGTATGTCTCTAAATGAACAAGGCTAGCATCTAGAATGTCAGAATCTGAACAAAGTGAATGATGGCCTTCAGTAGCACAAAGAACCAGCATGAGATTGAACAAAAGAATTCTCCATGTGACATATACACCATGGAATGCTATGCAGCCATAAAAAAGGATGAGTTCCTGTCCTTTGTGGGGACATGGATGAAGCTGGAAACCATCATTCTCAGCAAACTTTCACAAAGTCAGAAAACCAGACACCACATGTTCTCATTCATAGGTGGGAATTGAACAATGAGAACACTTGGACACAGGGCGGGGAACATCACACACCGGGGCTTGTCAGGGGTCGGGGGCTGTGGGAGGGATAGCATTAGGAGAAATATCTAATGTAAATGACAAGTTGATGGGTGCAGCAAACCAACATGGCACATGTATACCTATGTAACAAACCTGCATGTTGTGCACATGTACCCTAGAACTTAAAGTATAATAATAATAATAAAAAGAATTCTTCACGTGACCAAGAACATCTTTGTAACACAGGGGACCATGAACTTCCTGGGTGAAAGGGAACAGGTCTAACAACTACACCTTGGGCATCCCTAACCTGAAAATCCAAAATTTGAAAAGCTCCAGTATCCAAAAATTTTTGAGCACTAATATGATATGCCAAGTGGAAAAATCCCACACCTGACTTCACTTGACAGATTGCGGTCAAAACGCAGTCCAAACTTTGTTTCATGCGTACAATTATTTCAAAAGATTGTATAAAATTACCTTCAGCTATGTGTATATAAATCATAAATGTATGTTGTCTTTATGTCCATGCAAATATGCCACAACTGGAAACACTTCTGGTCCCAAGCATTTGTATTTTCCTCTCCTCTCCTCTCCTTTCCTTTTTCCTTCCTTTTTTTTTTTTTTTTTTTTTTTTTTGACAGAGTCTTGCTCTGTTGCCCAGGCTGGAGTGCAGTGGCACCATCATGGCTCATTGGAACCTCAATCTCCTGGGCTCAAATGATCCTCCTGCCTCAGCCGCCCAAGTAGCCGGGGCTACAGGTTCACGCAACTACACCTAGCTAACTTTGTTTAGTTTTTGTGTATACTAGGTCTCACAAAAAGGCTACTTTGCCCAGGCTGGTCTTGAACTCCTAGGCTCAAGCGATCCTCCCACCTCAGCTTCCCCAAGTGCTGGGATTACAAACGTGAGCCACCATGCCTGGCCTGGTCCCAAAGATTTCAGAAAAGGAATACTTAATCTGCTTCTCTTGATTTGGAAGCTGAGATGAAAGGAGACAGGCTACAGCAGAATAGGGAGCTTCCAGGTACCCAGAAAAGTATTCTTCCTTTGGCTGTGGAAGTAGACACCTGAATGCCAGTGTCAAGAACATACGTGCAGCTGATCTCAATTCAGACAATCCCTTTATGGAAGTGGAGACATCAAATTGCAACTCTTCATTGGAAGTTTTAAGTAACACAATTTCCACTGGAGCTTTACAGTCCTGGAAAGTAATGTCCATGCCTCTGGGACAAATAAGGAGTTGCTGCATTTACTATATGGGAATTGCTCCCCCTGTTTAATTCTCTGAGCCAGTTTTGGCACTCTAAGGAGTCAACAGAGGAAATCTGCTCATTTTTAGTGGCAGCCTTAAGGGAAATAGTTACATTTCAGTCACTAGTAGTAACCAAGCTTAAGAAAATATATCTGCAAAAGCTACCTGACAATCAGAAATGGTAGCTGAGAACCAAACACGTATTAAGGAGCTTTCCGAAAAATGGAGCCCACGGAGTATCTTACGGCAGCCCAGAATGGACAGTGTTCCCAGGCCTGCTCTCCTTGGACTGTACCTGTATGGGTGAAGACTGAAAAATGTACAGGCAACTCCACACAGAACCTGCACACAAATGTCTGTAGCCACTTTGTTCCTAATTGCCAAAAACTGGAAGCAACCAAGATGTCCTTCAATAGGTGAATGGATAAACAAATTGTAGTATATCCTTACAATGGAATATTATTTAGTGATTAAAAAGAAATGATTTTTCAAGTCACAAAAAGACACGGTGGAACCCTAAATGCATATTACTAAGTAAAAGAAGCCAGTCTGAAAAAGCCTAAATGCTGTGTGATTCCAGCTAATTGACATATGCAAAGGCAAAACTCTAGAGACTGTAAAAAGATCAGTGGTTGCCATGGGTCGAGTGTGGGGGTAAGAGAAGAATAGGTTAAACACCAGGGATTTGTAGGGCAATAAAACTGGGCCGGGCGCGGTGGCTCACACCTGTAATTCCAGCACTTTGGGAGGCCAAAGTGGGTGGATCACGAGGTCAAGAGACCTAGACCATCCTGGCCAAAGTAGTGAAACCTTGTCTCTACTAAAAATACAAAAATTAGCTGGGCGTGATGGTGCGTGCCTGTAGTCCCAGCTACTCGGGAGGCTGAGGCAGGAGAATCGCTTGAACCCGGGAAGTGGAGGTTGCAGTGAGCCGAGATTGCACCACTGCACTCCAGCCTGGTGACAGAGTGAGACTCCATCTCAAAACAAACAAACAAACAAAAAACTATTCTGTGTGATATAGTAGTGGTGGATATGTGACATTATGCATTTGGCAAAACACAAAGAACTGTCTAATACAAAGAGTGAATCCTAATACAGCCTACGAATGTTAGTTAATAATAAATATCAATAGTGGTTCATCAGTTGTAACCCAAGTACCACACCAATGCAATATTTTAATTTAAAAAAATCATATTTTTTTTAAAGTTAAGAAATACCTCACTTGATGCTAGCATAGGAGTTGTAGAAAACATTACCTTCGGCCGGGCGCGGTGGCTCACGCCTGTAATCCCAGCACTTTGGGAGGCCGAGGTGGGCGGATCACGAGGTCAGGAGATGGAGACCATCCTGGCTAACACAGTGAAACCCCGTCTCTACTAAAAACACAAAAAATTAGCTGGGCGTGGTGGTGGGCGCCTGTAGTCCCAGCTACCTGAGAGGCTGAGGCAGGAGAATGGCTTGAACCCGGGAGGCGGAGCTTGCAGTGAGCCGAGATCACGCCACAGCACTCCAGCCTGGGTGACAGAGCGAGACTCCATCTCAAAAAAAAAAAAAAAAAAAAGAAGAAAACGTTACCTTCAGGGATCCAAGTGATGGCAGGTCAAATGGTAGGCTACATAGCTCCAAGTCAAGAGAATTAACAAAACAGAGCAGCTCTGTTGCCTTAATCCCAGAGGAAACATCTAATCAGCTACACTGCACCTTCAGTGCAGACATTTCACCCAGGCTTTTAGCAGGAGAGGAGAATATATTCAATCAGACTTCTCAGCAGACCACTTCCTTGCCATCCAGTTTCATATTGGTTAAAGACTTGGATCAGAGACCACAGAATCCATTAACAGACACACCTGAAACCACAGAGAATGCCAGCCCTGAAGCTGCAATGCCAACCATCCACAAGTTTCTCCAACCTTCTACCATTAATGTTTTGTCCTACAGACATGGACTGGATTCTCCATGCTAGCTTTCCTCTGCAGGAAGCTCTTGGGGCTATGCATTGAGTTGGCAGAAATGCAGACCTTGATATTCTTGCTTTGCTAGGACACCATCATAACTATGGAAAAATGGGCTTCATCATATGCCATTCCCTTCAAAAGGCTGTGTAGACACACCCATACATATACATTATGTGTAGAAACCTACATGCAGAATGTTGAGTTAGATAATTTCAACGATTTTTGTCAGCCAAAATAATTTATGATCTCTTGTCTGATAGTTTGTCTACTTGTTAAAATGTGGGCCTTTTAAAATGTGTTGGCAGTATGTGCATACAGAAGATTTTCGTTCTCCTTAAGATGATGTGTTCTGGCTTAAATTTTTTTTTTCGTTTGTTTTTTGTTTTTTGTTTTTGATAGGGTTCCCCTCTATCACCCAGGCTGGAGTGCAGTGGTGTGATCTTGGCTCACTGCAACCTCTGCCTCCTGGGTTCAAGCGATCCTCGTACCTCAGCCCCCCAAGTAGCTGGGACTACAGGTGTGTGCCACTACACCCAGCTAATTTTTATATTTTTTGTAGAGACGGGGTCTCGCTATGTTGTCCAGGCTGGTCTGGAACTCCTGAGCTCAAGTGATCTTCCCACCTCGCCCTCCCAAAGTACTGAGATTATAGGCATGAGCCACTGCGCCTGGCCAGATTGATGGTTTTATGTGTAGCATACCACTTTAGAATGAAAGTGAGTCTTTGAAAAGCAGAACCTACTAGAAATCCTACCACTGGCACAGCTAACAGCTGACTGACTTCACGCTGTGGCTGTGTGTTTGTGCTATAGACGAGGTAGGGCTTGTCAACTGAATTGTCAAGTTAAAAACTTGTAGCCACATGATTTGGGGGTTTGATTTCTTCCCAGTCCGCTGAGTATTATGATTTATCCATTAAAGCAGGAAATTCAAGAATAATTGAATAACTAAAAAATGGAGGAAAAATTATGTTATATTTTTACATGGAGCTTTTTATTACAGGTAAATAGTAATCACTAAACCATGTATACTGGCAGCTGGGCATGGTGGCTCACTCCTGTAATCCCAGCACTTTGGGAGGCCAAGGTGGGCGATTCATGAGGTCAGGAGTTTGAGACCAGCTGGCCAATATAGTGAAACACCGTCTCTACTTTAAAAATTCAAAAATTAGCCTGGTGTGGTGGCATGCGTCTGTAATCCCCGCTACTCAGGAGGCTGAGGCAGGAGAATTGCTTGAACCTGGGAGGTAGAGGTTGCAGTGAGCCAAGATTGCACCACTGCACTCCAGCCTGGGAGACAGAGTGAGACTTTGTCACAAAAACAAAACAAAACAGAAAAACACATGTATACTGACAGGACACAGTGGCTCATGCCTGTAATCCTAGTGTTTTGGGAGGCAGAGCTAGGCAGATCGCTTGAGCCCAGGAATTCAAGGCCAGCCTGGGCAACATGGTGAAACCCCGTCTCTACAAAAACAAAAATTAGCCTGGCGGTGGTGGAGTGTGCCTGTAGTTCTAGCTACTCGGGAGGCTTGAGCAGAGAGGATTGCTTGAGCCTTGGAGGTCAATGCTATGATGAGCCGTGATTGCACCACTGCACTCCAGCCTGCGCAGCAGAAGAAGACCCTGTCTCAAACAAAACAAAAATGTATACAAGTTTTTTAAAACCTTGTGCAATGGCTACTTTCATTTAAGCTGTGCCTGAGTAGCTCCTGTTTTCTGTTTATTTAAACTAGGCTGCAGCGTGGCATGATAGATCTGTGGACATGTGGAATCAGCCCATATGGGTTCTAGTCCTTGCTCCTCAAGAAACTAGTGATATTGTTTCCATACTGGTTGATTCCCAAATATTTATAAATGACACCAATCGCATCAGCTTTGGTTTTGTAAACCATTCACTTGTTTTTGACTCTGATCTTCTCGTACATGAACTGTGTAACTTCTCATTTTCTAACAATTTAGGATGCCCTAAAACAGAGGTTTTATGATCAAGGTAGAATATTGGCTTTTCTAAGGAAACTCAAAAAGACTCGTGTCATTATTGTGACATTAGTTTTGTTATTTTAAAGCTATTTTTCAAAAATATTGTATTGCATCTTTTTGAAAAACATTATTTTACATTTCAACATCATTGACATGGGGTACATCCTACAGTTGATAACACATCCTCATCTTTCTTGGCAATAAGTAAAATAGTTGTGTATTTTACAAAATAGATGGCCTCCTAGCTTCTGTGAAATGTGTGATAGCCACTTACCAGAACATTTCCATCCTGCCGCAGGAACTTCATGTCGAATGCTTTGTCTTATTTATTTTGTAATTTTAAATTTGGAGCCAGAGTTCCGTATTCCTGTTTAATTTGTTTTTTACTTTTAAAGCAGTTTATGATAGAACTCCTTGAGGTTAAAAAATAGTATTTGTAGTTTTTAACTCTAAATAATTGCTTTTTGTTTGTTTTTGCTTGTTCGTTTGTTTTTGAGACGGGGTCTCTCTCTGTCACTCAGGCTGGAGTGCAGTGGCACAGTCACAGCTCATTGTAGCCTCAAACTCCCGGGCTCAAGCGATCTTCCCTCCTTATCCTCCTGAGTAACTTGGACTATAAGCATGCCACCACACCAGGCTAATGTTTTTTGTTTGTTTGTTTGTTTGTTTGTTTTGTTTGTAAAGATGGGGTGTCACTACGATGCCTAGGCTGGTCTCAAACTCCTGGCCTCAAATGATCCTCCCAGTTCGGCCTCCCAAAGTGCTGGGATTACAGGTGTGAGCCATGTGCTTGGTTCAGAGATAAGACTGTTTTCTTACACACAGGCTTATCTCTGAAAAAGCAAACACAGTCATAAAATGGAATATGAAAACCGAAAAAATTAAACTTTCCAAAATAGTCTGGTTTATTCTGGTCACAGACTTAATAACCCCTCCCACTAGAAGAAGTACAATTTGCTGCCACAGGAAAGCTTAAAATGTCAAACACATTCTTATAGAATACAGTGCAAGCTGCCTGCAAATGAGGCCATTCTTTCAACTGGTGTTATTCCCTGCTTCAGTGCAGTTTTCATAATCGTGGCACTTACTCAGAACCAAAAGCCTCTGTGTGTGATATAAGCATTCAAGCCATATGGCTGAATTGGTTTTTGTAGGTATTAAGCAGGTGTGGATTCGGAGACTCTGGAGGGAACTACAAAATCCAAGCTATTGAGGAGCTCAGTTGGAAAGAAACAGAGCTAGCATCACAGTGAACACAGAGCATAGAGATGGTGGCAGGGAGATTTGGCTAAAAAGCAGAAGGCTGGCAATCAGAAGGCCAACTACTCAAGGGCTTAGCCAGAAGACATGGTGTGGCCAGCCTTCCCCAGCATCCGGATCCCCGTCCAGAACCAAGGTGGCCTGTGAGCTGTCAGTACAGGATGTCACCAAACTCATTAGTCCAAAGCTGACCTGTCTGATGACCCGAAAGTCTTTTTCTTCATATTTTTGATAGGATCCCAAAAGGCTTAGTTGTCTGATTTTTTTTTTTTTTAAGCCCAAGGTAGACTACAAGCAGGAAATTAGAAAGTGGAGGAGCTTGTGGAGACAGGCACAATGAGAGTGAGAAGTGGCAGCCGACAGCAAGGTGGGGCAGGCTGGGGCACAGCAACTCACGCCTGTAATCCCAGCATGTGGGGAGACTGAGGCAGGCAGATTGCATGAGCTCAGTAGTTCAAGACCAGCCTGGGCAACATGGCAAAACCCCATCTCTACTAAATATACAAAAATCAGCCGGGTGTGGTGGCGGGCACCTGTAGTTCCAGCTACTCGGGAGGCTGAGGCAGGAGAACCACTTGAACCTGGGAGGCGGAAGTAGTAGTGAGCCAAGATAGTGCCACCGCACCCCAGCCTGGGTGACAGAGCAAGACTCTGTCTCAAAAAGAAAAAAAAAAAAAGAAGCACTCCATGGCCAGGCATGGTGATGTACACCTATAATCCGAGCACTTTGGGAGACCAAGGTAGAAGGATCACTTGAGCCCAGGAGTTCAAGACCAGCCTGGGCAACATAGTAAGACCCCCCCCCATCTCTACAGAAAGTGAAAAAAACAGTAGCCTGGCATGGTGACCCATACCTCTGGTCCCAGCTACTCAGTAGCTACTGCACTCCAGCCTCGGTGACAGAGTGAGACCTTGTCTCTGTGCTCAGGGTGTGGGCGGGGGGAAGAAATACTCCAAACAGATACAACCATGTGCCATTTAGTGTGGATGCAGACACTTTGTTAACCCCGGAAAGCATTGCTACTGTATAATACTTTGTCGTCTTTATTGATAACCCCTATGTTATCAATAAAGATGTGTTATTTACAAGCTAGACATTGCTGTTCTGTAATACTTTGTCATAATTAGCTCCTATGTTACCAATAAAAAATGTGTTACTTATAGACTATTTAGATAGACATAAAAGCATGTGTTGGAAAGATTTCCATGATAATACAGCTATTTCTATTGTTTAGCCATGTGGCACAGCATTTATTTAAATTGGTCTAAATTTTTAGTTCAGTGCCCATTTATTTAGCCTGGGACTTCTTTGATTAATACAGGAGATGGCAAGCATGAATACCATCCAATGTATGAGAGTAAGAACTGGATGCTGTGGGAACTCACAGAGCACCCTCATTTCTAGCGCATAGGGTTAGGGGAACCATCCTGTTCAAGATGGGACCTGAGCTTCGTAGGGTTTGTTGAGGAGCTGGGTGCAGTGGGGAAGTCTGCAGGCCTTGTTTTCCCAGAGGAGCAAAAAAATCGGCTTTACCACATTCTTACTACCTTGCTTCCATTTTACAGTGTTCCTTTCCATGTTTACATTATGAGATTATAATCCAAAAGCATTTTAGGGCTAGGTAGTACTCTAGTACTCACCTTCCTTACAGACACCGACGGTGAATACTCCCAAGGTGTGGGAAGGATAGGTAATGACATCCTAGGTATTTTTTTAACAGTACACAAAATTCAAATTGAGAAGCAGAAATGTTTTACAAGTTTCATGTCCAAACAAGACATATCTTTAGGATCCTGGGTAAGTCATCTCCTGAATTTGTTCTCTTTCTGAAATGATCATCCAAAGATATGCACAATGTTCAGAAATCTTTGATCAGTTAAGTTAAATACCAGTGGGTTGAACAAAGGCATAGGTAAAAAGTCATCAAAGGTTTTAGGAACAAATGTATTTCATAGGACTAGACAGTGGCACAGCTGAGACTTGACTTTGGGACTATAGGTCTAGAAAAATCCTTTTCTGAACTACTACTCCATCCTATAGCTCCCCTACAAAGACTGAACCTCACCAGACCATAACGAAATGGCAGGGATGGTGACAACGATGATTTGTTTACCCCAGAGATTTTTCTTGGGTTAAAGTTGACATTAAAAAGGATGACATTCTCCAGTTACCATTTGACCAACTCAGACCCTCTTCAATTAGATTGTTTTTAGCTTTTCTCCACCAATGAACTAATAATTAAATGCATCCTTTCTAATTAAAGCAGCTCATTAACAATGGCAAAGCCTCCTGAGTTTTCAATTTTTCTTTTTAAGTGAGTAGTCACTTCCATAGTAGAATTACTCATCCACTTAAAATGTCAGGAGAGTATTAAATACATCTTTATGCATATAGTGATGGTCAGTATGAAAGTGATCAGTGGGACAAAGCTTAACAAATGGGTTTTGAAGCATTGTTAACAGTTTAATTTTCCCATGTCTTTGGACAGGCTGAAGGTCCTTATTATACAGCTGCTAAAAAAGAGAACAGTCTTCTAATTTGTTTACTTATTTACTTTCTGAGACAGGCTCTTGCTCTGTTGCCCAGGCTGGAGTGCAGTGGCACGATCTTGGCTCACTGCAACCTCCGCCTACTGGGCTCTCACCTCAGCCTCCTGAGCAGCTGGGACTACAGGCACACACCACCACACCCAGCTAATTCTTGCATTTTTAGTAAAGATGGGATTTCACCATGTTGTCCAGGCTGGTCTCAAACTCCTGGGCTTAAGCAATCCACCCACCTCGATCTCTCTAAGTGCTGGGATTACAGACATGAGCCACCACCTGGCCAAAAGTGCTATTTTAAATGAAATACTGTTCAAGTCACGGAAGACATACATCCCAAGGGACTATAAAGTTCTACAGGAGTATATGACTTTCTGGGCATGTGGCCTGTGTGATGGGGATGAGGTCAAGAAGAGTGAGGAAGTGGGCAGATCTTCCTGGTTTCTGTCCCTTTAATCTAGAAAGCCTCAGGCTTGTTGTTTGGTTGGAATTGCTGTAAAAGGAGACTTTTCCTTTCATAAACAGACATTATCCAGTGACAGACATTTTAGCAATTTCTGGTATATTTGTTGTGAAGAGCTACATAGTTTTAAATAAATTACCAAAATCCCTTAATGCTTTCTAATAGGAGGTCTGCATTTTAATGGAATGCAATCAGGTTAACTGGAATCTTAAGAGAGTGACATTTGGAGGCATGAGCTGTGAGCCGATAGCCACGTGGACTCCAGGTTCAACTCCCTACTCTGGGAGGAGTCAGTCCTCAGGGTGGGAGGGACAGCCTGAGCAGCTGGCAGTCCAGAAGGCCCCTCCCTGAGTCGCGAGAGTGCACCCCTACCTCTCACAGGAGGTGTAGTCCTGTTTGACAAGGTCAGTTACTAGAAGAGGTGTAGTATGGTGGGTAGAGAGCCATGCTGTTCATTATCTACACAGGCCTGGCCTGACTCACCCCATGGAGAAGCAACAGATTTGCAGGACTTCGGCAGTGGTCACATAAGCCTGCTCTTACACATATTTATATAAAACCGAAAAGTGGGCTGGGTGAGGTGGCTCATGCCTGTAATCCCAGCACTTTGGGAGGCCAAGGCAGGTGGATCACCTGAGGTCGGGAGTTCGAGGCTAGCCTGATCAACATGGTGAAACCCCATCTCTACTAATAATAGAAAATATTGGCCGGGCGTGGTAGCATGCACCTGTAATTCTAGCTACTCGGGAGGCTGAGGCAGGAGAATCGCTTGGAAGGTGGAGATTGCAGTGAGCTGAGATTGCGCCACTGCACTCCAGCCTAGGCAAGAGAGTGAAACTGTGTCTAAAAACAAACAAACAAACAAACAAAATACTGAAAGGCCCACCGTCTCTTCATTACACAGGTTTCCATCCATCCTAGTCTCTGGGACAGTGCTAGCTACCTTTGGGCTCACAGAGGCCTGTAAATCTACCTTCCTATGTTTCTGTATTGTGTATATATAAGTAAGTAAACAATTGCACCCAGTCACTCCTTTGCATCCAAAGGGGATTGGTTCCAGGACCCACTCTACCCCCACACCCCTGTAGTAAAATTCATGGATGCACAACTCTGTGATACAAAAGGGCATAGTATTTGCATATAACCTGTGTACATTCTCCCATTATTTTAAATCATCTCTAGATTACTTGCAATAACCTAATACAATGTAAGTGCTAAGTAGTTGTAATAATGTATCTCTTATTTGTATTATTTTTTATTTTTTCCTAATATTTTTTCTTTTTTAAAAATTCTCTTTTTATTGTTTCTTTCTTCTTTTTTTAGAGAGTGAGTGTCTCTCTATACCGCAGGCTGGAGTGCAGAGTGCACTGGTACAATCACGGCTCATTGCAGCCTCAAGTGCCTGGGCTCCAGGAATCCTCCCACCTAAGCCTCCCAAGTAGCTAGGACTACAGGCCTGCACCACCACACCCAGCTAATGTTTTAATTTTTTTTTTTTTTTTTTTTTGTAGACACATGGTCTTGCTATGTGGCCCAGGCTGGTCTCAAACTGACCTCAAGCCATCCTCCCACCTCAGCTTCCCAAAATGCTGGAATTACAGGCATGATTCTGATTTTAAATATTTTTGATACACAGTTGGTCAGATTGGTCCGTGTGGAACTCAGAAACAGAAGGCCAACCATGCATAACGAGGCAGAACTTTTGGAGATCCTTGGTGACCTCACTGTTGCTGAATAAACTTTAGCCCCTCACCTGGTGATAACACCAATACCACCTGGTTTTCTTCCAGGTATGTGCAAAGTGTTTCACTTCTGTGAACAAAAATATTTGAAACAAAAAACAAATTTACTTCGTTAGCTTGTAGACATCTGTTGTTATTAAACAGACCAGTGCCTTCCTTCACTGTCCATGAACTTTTGGTCCTGTTTTTTATGTAAGCCTATTTCTCCTCATTTATTCACTCTTATTTTCAAAGTAGCATTTGCCCAACTTTTACGTTGTCATGTATTCAGTATTCTCCATCCCAACCTAACAGTGAAGAGAGCACATTGTGGCAGGTGCCTTCCTCTTCTTATTGCTGCATGATTCCAATCCAATTTCATGGCTTGGTGCAGGGCCTCTTGGTAAACGTGGACTCCGTTGTTCAGATCTAGAGCAGACGCCTTCTGGGCGGTCCTACAGATTTACATCAGTGAAAGAGATGAGCCGGCTGTGCTGACCTTTTTTGAGGCTTGCAATGTATTCAAATGTGTGAGATGGTTAATGCAGCTGTCAATATTAATACTATTCCATGGATTAAGGTCCTAAAAATATCCAGCCAAGTTTAAAAAGTATCACTACAGAAAATCACAATTTTATTTGGAAGTGGAATTAGGAATTGGCACCAAGGCTTTTTATGACACTTTTGGCTTCCTGTCACTCACTTCATGTCTTTCTAGCCTCTTAGTCTGTACAGGGTAACACGTTTGGGAACTGTGATAAGAAGAAATTCAAGTCTGCATATTGGCTGCCAATGCTCGAAAGTTCTGTTGTGATTTGGGGGATGTTAAAACACATTTCTCTATGAAGGCTCAGTCTTAAAAGAGGAGAGGCACTTTAGAAAGTATCTGTATTTCTTCATTTTTTGCATTTTTAAATGATGTATCATAGTTGTACATATTTTGGGGTACATGTGCTATTTTGACACATGTATACAATATGTGATGATTAATCTGAGTAATTTGCATACCGTCACCTCAAACATGTATCTTTGCCTTGGGAACATTGCAGTTCTTGTAGCTATTTTGAAATAGACAATAAAGTTTTGTTAACTGTCGTTTCCCTGCTGTATTATCAAATACTGGTATTTATTTATTTTTCTTTCTTTTTGTTTCCCCTTTTTTCAATTTTTTTCTTTTTTTGTTTTGTTTTTCATTTTGATATTTCTTTATTTCTAAGAGGAAAGAGCATGTACCCAGAGAAGCTAAATATTTTGCTCAAGGTGACTTTGCCAGGGAACGGCGGGCCTGGGCCTGTGACCTCAGGGTTCTCCCGGTACAGCATTTTTTCATAATAATGAAATCCTCTGAGTTCTACTTTTGAAGTTTTCTTTGTGAGGTTTAACATATTGTATTGGTGTTCCGACTTCAAATTGTGTGTTAGCTGGATTTAAAATGAACTTGTCATTGCAGCATCTAGTGCGATATCCAGTATACAGTTGACATTAAAAAGTATTTTGCTGGCTGAATGACTATCTTGTGGATAACTTGCCCTAATCTGCAAGAAAAAGATGGAGAAACAGTACTGACAAAAATTAGCAAACAAGAAAATGGGGGGCAGGGAAAGCAGAAAATGGATATTGCTAAAAATTTCAGAAAAAGAGAGTTCAGCTACTTATTTTCCTCCGAATATATTTAGATGTGGTTATCGCTTTTACATATTATAAGCATATTTTCATGACCAAAATTGCTTTTTTAGTGTTTAAATATTTCCTATTTATTTGTCCAACAGATATGATTGGGTGCCTGCTTTGGGCCAGGCCATGTTTAGAATGCAGAACATAGCATCAGTGAACCAAAAAAAACCCTAATTTCATGGAATTTATAAACTCACTGGGAGAGACAAGCCATAAATAACTCTAGCCAAATACTGAAAAGAAACTCTTTATTGTTTTCATGTTTTGCACAATAGCGCAAAAATACAGCAGTGTTAGGTAGAGTCTGGGAGGGAAAACCCCATCAGTTATGTTAACAGAGAAAATTTAATATAAGGAATTGATTAGACAGATATTAGAGGACAAGCAATGCAAAGAGGGAACAAATGAGGCAGGATGGCAAGAACAACAGCAGGAAGCAGCTGCCCCTGTGCTGAGGGGACAAAGAGAAGAAAATGAGCTTCTCAGAACCTAGAAGCTTGGACGAGGGGTCCCCAGAGCTGGGACCCAGACTCCCGTGGAGGCGGGGCTGGCCGGCTGGTGCGGAGACTTTGAGAGCTCAGAGGAGAGTCCCTGAGGAGTTGGGAGGCAGATCTCTTGGGAGGAGACTTGCTTGTGGGCGAGGTGTCTTTTAGGGGTGTGCAAAAGAGCTAGTCCTGGGAAAGTGAAAGAAACTGGAAACTAACCGACTCCTATTGGAAACAAATGCCGCTGCCAGGGTGAAGGGCTGTTGCTGGCCAACTCTGGCAGGAACAGGAAGCAAACAGAGAGGAGCCGGTCCCCTCTCCCACCCTGTCCTTCCAGGCTCCCTATGGTGTCCCCTTGTCAGCAGAGACACTTAGTAAACTAGCAGTGCTGTTTACAGAGTCCCGCCCTCTCCACACAAAGCGGTGTGTAGGAGGGAGTGTTTGGAGGGGAGAGACAATGGCTTGATAACAGGCATGGTCCCAAATACGCTAGGTGACAATGACTCTCATGTTCTGAAGCTAGTTGCTAGACTACCTCAGCAGGACTTGCAGAAGAAATGACTGAAATGTTTTTTATTGTGGTAAAATATGCATAATATAAAAACGACCATTTAACCATTTTTAATTATATAACTCAGGGGCGTTAAATACATTAACAGTCTTGTGCAACCATCACTATGATCCATCGTCAGAACTTTTTCATCTTCCCAAAGTGAACCTCCAGGCCATTTAAACACTAAGCCCCTTTTACCCTGACTCCCCAGGCCCTGGGAGCCACCATTCTGCTTTCTGTCTCTATGTAGCTGACTGTTCCAGGAACCTCACATGAGTGGAGTCATGCAGTGTTTGTCCTTTCATGTCTGGCTTATTTCACTGAGCATAATGTCTTCCGGGTTTATCCGTGTTTGTGGCATGTGTCAGAATTGCATTGCTTTTTAAGGCTGAATAATATGAAATCTGGTTTTGTGACCCTTAGTCCAACGCCCAGTTGGACACTGGGGAGAAGACGTATTTAGGAAGATTTTTTTTGGCATGCTCTGGGTGCCCCTTCCCTTGCCAGCACATGCACAGCATCGTGGGAGAAGAGAAGGTATTTCTCCCCATCCTCAAGTCAAGTGACAGGGGCTTCAGGAGGACCACACAGAAAGCTGGATATGTGCCACTGCAGATGAGATCTCAGACACAGTGGTCTGGACCAAGCTATGCCTGAAAAAATCTAAAGGCTGGTAGAAGCAATCTATGGCAGCAGAGAGTGGGTATTGCTTGGGAAGTAACTGCTACTTTCACTGAAGAGAGAACAAAGGCACTTGTTTTCCTTGGACTAGATGTGGGCCACGAAAGACAGGTGGCATTGGCTAGGATCTCATCTGGAGAGGTGAAGAGATGGCGGGTGAAACATGTTGGAGGTGTAGGGGTGGATGACATGGAACTGTCATAGGCAGCCAGCAGGACGGTGGATTATCCGTTTCAGAAAACTGCTGGTGAAAGGACTTCAGCCATAAGCGTCTGCACAGAGCCAGTGAAAGATTCCATGAGATCCACAAAACACTTCATGAATGAGAACAGCCTTTAGTTCCCACCGTGCCCAGAGATCACTGAACTCAGTTCACGCCAGTGCCAGTCGAAAAGAACATTTTGGCCATATGCGGTGGCTCATACCTGTAATCCTAGTACTTTGGGAGGCTGAGATGGGAGGATCGCTTAAGGCCAGGAGTTTCAGACCAGCCTGAGCATTATAGTGAGATGTCATCTCCAAAAATATATTAAAATTTTTTTTTTAAAAAGCTAGGCATAGTGGCAAGCACTTATAGTCCCAGCTACTCAGAAGGCTGAGGCGGGAGGATGGCTTGAGCCCAGGAATTCAAGGCTTCAGTGAGCCAAGATCGCACCGATGCTCTCCAGCCTGGGTGACAAGCAAGACCCTGTCCCTTAAAAAAGAAAAGAAAAGGACTTTTCTGGCTCCCTAACCTCTCCTTGCCGGCTCCCTTCACCACCACCGTGACCCTGTCCCATTAACTACTGAGTTGGGAGTGAAGGATGCAACAAGAGAAGAAACCACCTTTCCCACTGCAAGCTTCTTGATAGCAGCAGGTCCAAGCTGGAGATGAGAAGTTTCAAATGGTGATGAAACGTGGAGCCTGGATTTTACACTGGACGGGGAATCAATTTCAGAAGTGAGAACGTTTTGTGACCTGGAGAGCATTTACTTACTATTGAAATTTATGAAAAATCTGTGGGCCTGCCTGAATTTCATTCAAGGGCAATGGAAGAATGAGCCCCAACAGAATAAGTTTCCAGGGATATGAAGTCACCTACAAGTCCTGCCTCGTTCCAGACAACAGGTTGGCCAATAGATGTTTCAAGTGGCGATGAAGGCTGGAAGCAAAACGTGGCAGTCTGGAGTACTGCCTGCGTTGCAGTGAAAGTAATGTTGTGAGGTTGATGAAAAGTAAACGACTGCATTATTTGTAAAATAAAAGCATTTCACTTCTCTTGCATGAAAAGGGACAGGAGGCGGGACAGCAGCAGGCAGGGTTTTGTTTTGTTTTGTTTTTTTAAAGT
Source organism: Homo sapiens (assembly GCF_000001405.40). Lineage (NCBI taxonomy): Eukaryota > Metazoa > Chordata > Mammalia > Primates > Hominidae > Homo > Homo sapiens. The sequence goes on from NW_018654717.1 coordinate 6,170,241, forward strand.
AGCTCACTTGGTTACACAGCTTGCTAGGTGCAGCTCTTCACGCCTGAGGTTGACAGGTGTTTTATGATCCCCTAAAAGATCATAAAGCTAAAGTTTTCAGATCAAAGGAAAACCAACAAATAGAGGCAGCAGCATTATTTGTGAAAGAACTTTGCCATAAAAGGAAGCAGGGAAGTTAGGGTTGAGACTGGATCATGGTCTGTGGTCATACATAAGCAGTTTTTTTTTTTTTTAGTTGAGATATTGAAGTGTATTTTTACACTAATGGGGAAAATCGATGATTGAGAAGAGAGAGAAGAAAATTACAGGAGAGAAGCTGTTAATTGTCCAGAACATAGGATTCCATGTACGGCTAGGAGGGTTTGTATTATAGAAGTACAGATAGTTCATCCTCATCTCTCTTCCAGGAAGAAAGAGTATATGAGAAGAGATACAAATAGATTAGTAGATTTGCTGGTATAAGCCCATGGGAATCAAAGTGGTCCACTCCCCTGAACGATATACTTGATATAGATAACAAATATTTTGTTGATCATGTAATTGTTGAACATATATAGACTGACCCCAGAATAAAATTTAGAACTTATTAATTGCTCCTTTCTTCTAAAAGTAGCAGGAAAGAAAAAAAAAAGCTTTTAAATTGATGTTTCTAGGGGAGGTACAGTAGCTTATGCCTGTAATCCCAGCACTTTGGGAGGCTGAGGCAAGCAGATCACTTGAGGCCAGGAGTTCGAGACCAGCCTGGCCAACATGGCGAAACCGAGTCTCTATTAAAAATACAAAAAATTAGCTGGGTATGGTGGCATGTGTCTGTAATCCCAGCTACTTTGGAAGCTAAGGTCTGAGAATCCTTTGAACCCGTGAGGTGGAGGTAGCAGTGAGCCGAGATGGTGCCACTGCACTCCAGTGTGGGCGACAGAGCAAGACTGTCTCAAAAATAAAAATAAAAATAAAAATAAATAAATTGATGCTTCTAGCTATTTGGGGGCATTCATTCCTTCAATTGATGATAATCCACCACCACCATATTTGCCAGATATGGTGACAGACATTACGGATAAAGAGATGAGACACGTATGGTCATTGTCCATAAAGAGTAAAAGTTGGGGGCAATAAACAAGCATCAACAAATGAATACGATAATATTTTCTCAGTTCTATATGAGCCATGGTTGCTGATTACAAGCAACAGAAACTGACTCGTGATCTTTGGACTGATCAGGAATTTATTGAAATATGAAGGACATAGAAAGCCAGAGAACTAGACTTGGAAAATAAATGTGCCCCAGGGAAGCTCCACCATGCCAAGAGTCTTAGGTACAACAGTCAGTCGGACCAGGACCCAGTGCCACTGCTGAGCTCCTGCTGCCACCCTCGGCACCTGCCCTAGTTCTCCTTTGGGAGGTCTATGTATAACAAAGCCACTTTCCCAGCTCCGAAGATTTTCCACATGCAGCTTAACTGAGCCTTTTAGAGACCATTTCACCATCGTAAAAGGCAAGGGATTTTTAGGTGAGGAAGACATGGTAGGATTAGTAATAGGGCATTGTTTATGCTTTACTTTTTTTTTTTTTCACTATAAAGTGAATTTCTTGGTCAGCAGCAACGTTGTGTGAGATACTATATATTAGTTACATTAACATAGCATATGGGCCGGGTGCAGTGGCTCGTGCCTATAATCTCAGCACTTTGGGAGGCAGAAGTGGGCGGATCACTTGAGGTCAGGAGTTTGAGACCAGCCTGGGTAATATAGTAAAACCCTGTCTCTACTAAAAATACAAAAAATAAAAAATAAAATAAAAATAACATATCAGTACAGATTTCTGTAAAAAGTGGCATATTCAAAAGATGTTACTGAAGAGAGTTTAGTAAAAGGCCTGTTCACAAAGTGTCAGCAAGGTTAAGAAAACTAACCAGGGATGGCAAAGCATCCTGGGGTTAGCACTGACAGGATTACCATCCTTAGCCTGAAAGGGAAAGCGGAAAGACTGGATTCCAGAACTTAGCATAACTTTAAACCCAGGAAAGAGCTGCCCAGCATCAGCTGTGACCTGCAGGCAAAGGACAAAGCCATTGTTCAACCCAGACCTATCTGGGAGGGAGTTGGGGTAATACATTAACTTGACCTCTGCTCCTGCTGCCTCCTCCCAAATCCTGCCTATGCCTGCTCATGCCCCAGATGGAGGCCTGAGGGCAAAGAAACTTCCTTGGAGAGCCTCCTGGAGGTGCTGCTAGCAGATGGTGTTGCAAATAGAAGCATGGTGGGCAAAGAGAAAATTCAAATGCAGATTAAATGTCTACTCTATTGAATCCCTCTCCAGTTGCTGCCCTCTCCAGGTTGGAAGGTGACCCCAGACAATCAGCCTGCTGTCAGACAGATGGCTGATTCCCTTGAAGCTTTGCATAATGCCATGGGCTCAGGGTTTATTACTAATGCTGGTCGATGGAGCACGCAGCAGTGCCAATCACAAGATCAGCCTGGAGAGGAGAGGAATGTGTTACTGTGCACACAGATAACCGTCAACCTGTTCACGACCCCAGTGGAGCAAGCCCTAGAGTGTCAAGCAAGGAAGTCACCATGACCATCTTATTTTCTTGAGTTAAAAATATTCTTGGCCGGGCGTGGGGGCTCACATCTGTAATCCCAGCACTTTGGGAGGCTGAGGTGGGTGGATCACGAGGTCGAGAGATCGAGACCATCCCGGCCAACATGATGAAACCCCATCTCTACTAAAAATACAAAAATTAGCTGGGTGTGGTGGCACGTGCCTATAATCCCAGCTACTTGGGAGGCTGAGGCAGGAGAATCACTTGAACACGGGAGGCAGAGGTTGCAGTGAGCTGAGATCACGCAACTGCATTCCAGCCTTGTGACAGAGCAAGACTCTGTCTCAAAAACAAACAAACAAACAAACTATATTCTTGTAGCTGGGTGCAGTGGCTCATGTCTGTAATCTCAACACTTTGGGAGGCTGGGGCAGGAGGATGGCTTGAGGCCAGGAGTTCGAGACCAGCCTGGGCAATATAGCAAGACCCTATCTCTACAAAAAAAAAAAGAAAAAAATGCAAAAACATTAGCCAGGTGCCGTGGCATGTGCCTTTAGTCCCATCTACTAGGGAGGCTGAGGTGGGAAGACTGCTTGAGCCTGGGAGGTCAAGGCTGCAGTGAGCTGCGACTGTACCACTGCACTCGAGCCTGCATGACAGAGCGAGACCCTGTCTCCAAAAAAAGTAGATGGATAGTGTGGAGTCTTAATTAGGGAAAAGGAGTCAGGCTGAAAGGACCAGGGGAAAGCGAAGAGAGAAAGCAAATAAGCTATAGATCTGCCTTTCTTCATGGCCCAGGAATATAGGCCTCCTGAGCAAATAATGTGCATAACTCACAAACTTCCTGCTCATCATCAAACACTTCGATTTATCATCAAGCTCCTTGGCTGACAGGAGAATGCAGGTGAGCTCCCTGCTACCTTGGCATTATCGATCAGCCCAAGAACCATTCTATAAAATCTCCAGCAAGCCTTTGTTTCCTGGCAGTCAGCTCCTCTTCTGCTGATTGTGCCCATTGCAACCTGGCAACATATTTTCCAACTTTCTCTAATAAATCTGCTTTTCTTTACCTACAACTGTCTTGGTACATTTGTTTACCCCTGCATCACTGGCCCAGACAGTTGCTGCTAACCCGCGACAGAGAGATAGACAGATGATAGATAGATAGATAGATAGATAGATAGATAGATAGATAGATAGATAGATTCTTGCACTATGAGCAATTCTGAGAAGTTCATTTATATGACTCTTCTCCAGATTGTTTCTGTGTCACTAACCAGCCAATATAGTAGCCACTGCAGGGCATGAAACAGGCCTACTTGCTACACCTTAGTTATCTTTAACCAAGACATACACAGCGTCTCAACTCTGGTTAGGCCACCACTGAGTCCAGGTTTTGATTTGACAGATGAGCAAGCTCCTAGAACTGCATTCAGTCGCCCAGGTTGGCACGTGGAGTCCAGACTCCCTGGTAAGCTCACCCATGTTAATAAACTCAATATAGTCTATAATTACATTTCTCTCTCTTTGGCAGTCACCTGCAGAATCTGTATGCGTGGATACTTACCCCAGATCTTTGCCTTCTAAATTCAATGGGCTGTAAATCTTCTGGTGTGTAAACCTTCTGGGTTTGACTTTGTAATATTTTTTCTCTGGAACATGCAGGAAAGTGGCCAGTTACAGACTTGGGGACACTGAGAAGGGGAGGGAACGTGGTGGTGTGGAATGGGCTGAGCTCTCTCCCTCTTACAGGAAACTCCCTCTGGCGGGGGAATGGCAGGCCTATGAGGAAGTAAGCGTTGTCCTTTTCAGGGGAGTGACCTAGTGCTGCATCCAAAAATTCTCATTCCTGTTCTCAGGGCCCAGTTTTGACCCCTGCAGGCAATGCCCTGACTTTCGCATAAAGTATGTGGGGAGGCTGTGAATTCAAGTAATTTGGCAGCCTATAGATTCTCACTAACCTAGAGTTTATATTTCAGCTGCCTTAGCACTACAGCTTCAAGAGATAAGACAATCAAGCCTGTGTCGAGTTAAGAATTAAATGGGAGGTTGCAGTGAGCCAATATCATGCCACTGCACTCCAGGCTGGGCGACAGGATAAGACTCCATCTCAAAATAAAAAAAATAAAAAAATAAAGGTTTGTGTTTCTTTTTTCTTAAGCTCATTCAAATGCCTTCCTGCCTTCTTGAATTCCTCATGCCCTTGGTAGCATTCTCCAGTGAGAACGATGTTAACTCCCAAAGCCTTGCCCTACTTGGGTACCTAATTCCTGCAACTACAGGTGATTAGTTAATGAGCTTTCTGCTACCGTACACCATTGGTTGTCAGAGTCCCATTCTGGACTTAATGATGTTTTTCAGAATCTTCATATTTATCTTGGAATGGCCGGAACAATGACCAACACATTTTTTAAAATTTAGTTAAAATTGTGAATTGCAGGCAACAGAAAGGAATTCTGGATATCTTAAGCAGAGAAAACATTTTCTGGAATACAGTAGGGACTGTACAGAATCAAGAGAACCTCGGCTGGAAAATGGGTTTGAACCCTGATCGTCTGAGAAGGACAAGGGCCCCTTTTAGTGAGAGTGATGTGGCCAGGACACTGTCACCCCGCCTGTGCCTTTGAATGACCCGTTTTGCATTCAGAGCCCAGGATGAGAGTTCATGGTTGATTGAATCTAGGTCATAGGGCCAGGCATCTATATTTGTTTCCCGGGGCTGCTGTAATAAATGACCACAAAGTGGGTGGCTGAAAACAACAGAAATGTATTCTCTTGCAGCTCAGGAGGCCAGACGTCCTAAATGAAGTTGTCAGCGGGGCCTGCTCCCTTTGAATTCTCCACAGGAAAATTCCTCCTTGCCTCCTCCAATTCCCGGTGGGCCCAGGCACTCTTTGGCTTGTGCTAGTGTAACTCCAATTTCTGCCTTCTGTCTTCTCTCCTGTCTATTATAAGGACACTTGTCATTGGCATGTAGGGTCCACCCAGATAACCCAGGATGATCTCGCCTTGAAATCTTTAATTACATCTATAAACCCTTTTTTCCAAATAAGGTCATATTCCCAGGTTCCAGAGGTTAGGATGTGGGCATGTCATGGTGTGACTACACCATCTCACGGGACGGGGAGTGGGCAAAGCTCCCTGCTCCCGTGTCTATGGTGAGAGGCAAGGTTCTGCATCCCCCCAGCACTGCACACTACAGAGTTGAGTAGAAAATGCCGTGAGATATTAAAGCCAAAATAAACCAAGATTGCAATCACAGCACTAGTGCCAAAGCCTACCATATAACACAGGAGAGATAAAAGAGAGCACAGGAGACGAATCCTACATGGGACACAAGAAAAGCTTCGTGACACAAGCTGAACCTTCGAAGATACTTGGGTGTGTTAGGTGGTGTAGAGGAGAAAGGAAATTCCAGGCAGAGAGGGAACAGACAAGCAAAAAGCATGAAGGTATCAAATGTCCAAAGCATTCAGGGAATTTCAAGCCCGGATGGAAGAGCAGTGGCACTAGATAAGGAGCTTGTGCTGAAATATAAATCCAGGAAGTCACTATGCGAATTCTTTTTTGTTTGTTTGTTTGTGTTTCTTTGATCACTGCAAGAGTTTCTCCATGATAGAAGCAACACATTGATTTAGATAAGGAGCTTGTGCTGGAATATAAATCCACGAAGTCACTATGCGGATTCCTTTTCTGGTGGTTTTGTTTTTTTGTTTGTTTGTTTCTTTGATCACTGCAAGAGTTTCTCCATAATAGAAGCAACACATTGATTTAGAAAAGGAGCTTGTGCTGGAATATAAATCCACGAAGTCACTCTGCGGATTCCTTTTTCTTTGATTTCTTTGATCACTGCAAGAGTTTCTCTCCATGATAGAAACAACACGTTGATTTACACTCTGGTGCAAAGTCCTCCTCTCGTTGTCACAGAGAAGTCATTGGCTGGCTACTTCAAATGGTGCTGGCAGAGCACAGGGTGTGAATTGGGGGTGGGACATCATGAGCAAAGATGCAGATCAGATTGTGGGGGGCTTTAGGCGACATGCTCAGGTATTTGGACTTTCTCTTTAGAGCTGGAGAGTGATACAATGGTGACACAGAGGGTGACTTTTAGGACTTGAGTGTGACAGCACGGAGCATTGGAGATTGGAGACCATTATATTATCTGTTTCCCCAAACTCAGTTCTTTATTCCAGTATTGGTTTATTTTTGCTTTCCTTTCTTTCTTTTATTTATTTATTTATTTTTTTTTGATAGAAACAGGGTCTCGCTCTATTGCCCAGGCTGGAGTGCAGTGTTGTGATCATACCTCACTGCAGCCTCAACCTCCTGGGCTCAAGTGATCATCCAGCCTCAGTCTCCTGAGTAGCTAGGACTATAGGCATGCACCACCACACCCGGCTATTTTTCAATCTTTTTAGAGACAAGAATCTCATTAAGTTGCCCAGGCTTATCTCAAACATCTGGCCTCAAGTGATCATCCTGCCTCAGCCTCCCAAAGCCAGTGTTGGGAGGTGACAACGTTTTCATCAATCTGTAGTGAAATGAGAAAATTAAACATGATATAGTCAGTTCTTCATAAATTCTGTTCAATTTCAAAGGACTCTCCTTTGGTTTGAGATCATGACCTCCTAAATTTTATGAGGGTAAAATTGTCCATTTGTCTGTGAAATTATGGTAATAGTAAATAGTAGGCTTTACAATATCTGTATCTATCTATTATATCTATCTGTCTACATACCTCTCCATGTCTTTGCCCTCAAGTAAAAAATCAGCTGGTCCCTCTAGTTCTCCAGTTGTCCCTTTGAGATTTTTCTGGACTGTGCAATCTGCAAGAGTGGGAAATCCTGGACCAGGTGAGGACTTAACCCCAGGCAGAGGTGATAGGGAAGGGGCAGGGTTACTCACAAGAGGGATATGATGGAGCTGGAATCCACACCATGAGATCCTTGACAGACCAGATTCTACTATGCTTTGCATACACATGGACTCTGTCTGAAATTCAAATACATAATCAGGGTCAGACACGGTGGCTTATGCCTGTAATCCCAGCAGTTTGGGATGCCGAGGTAGGTGGATCACTTGAGGTCAGGAGTTCAAGACAAGCCTGGACAACATAGTGAAACCCCGTCTCTACTAAAAATACAAAAATTAGCTGGGTGCAGTGGCACATGCTTGTAATCGCAGCTACTCGGGAGGCTGAGATGGGAACATCACTGGAACCCAAGAGGCGGAGGTTGCAGTGAGCCGAGATTGTGCCACTGCACTCCAGCCTGGGCAACAGAGAGAGACTCCATCTCAAAAAAAAAAAAATCATAATCAGAGTTTATTTAGTTTATTTTTTTAGTACAGGTTGGATATTTCTAGTCTGAAATTCCAAATCTGAAATGCTCAAAAATTTGAAACTTTTTGAGTGACCACATGATGCCACAAGTGGAAGTCACGCCTGACTTCATGTGACTGGTTGCAGTCAAAATGCAGCCACAGGACCCATGATTTCTTCAGCTTCTCCAAGGGACAAAAGGCCCTTCCACTCCTCTTCGGATGCTATCTATGTTTTCCTCGCATGCCCAGATTTCCCCATGCGAGCACACTAACAAAGTGTAATAAAATGGCATGTGTTCAGGCACCAACCACGGGTTCCCCACGATGCCCCACATGGGGCCAAGAGCTGCGTGCATTACTCAGTGTGGTCTTTTGCTTATTTCCTGCTCTGTGGTGTAAAGATATTGTTGAAAATGTCAAAAAGACCTGCAGATACCCCTATGAGTAACACTGATGAGAAAAAGGAAGCATTTATGTAGTAGTGATGATGAAGATGACATTGTCAACACTGCAGAAAAAGTGCCTGTCGATGGCATGGTGAAAAGGTGCAATGGGCTTATTTAAGGACTAGAGCAGTGTGCAGCCATAACACAAGAAATCATGTCAGTTTATAAAATCAAAGAGAGAGTTCCAAGACAAAAAAAAAATTCTTAATGAGGCAGGTGACTCTGGAGGAAATATTTTTTAAAAGCCATCTAGCAGGCTGGGTACAGTGGCTCATGCCTGTAATCCCAGCACTTTGGGTGGCTGAGGAGGGCAGATTACCTGAGGTCAGGAGTTTGAGACCAGCCTGACCAACACGGTGAAATCCCATCTCTACTAAAATTACAGAAATTAGCTGGGCGTTGTGGCAGGTGCCTATAATCTCAGCTGCTCAGGAGGCTGAGGCAAGACAATCGCTTGAATCCAGGAGGCGGAGGTAGCAGTGAGCCAAGATGGTGTCACTGCACTCTAGCCTGGGCAACAGAGCAAGACGCCGTCTCAAAATAATAATAATAATAAAACCCTTCTAGCAGAATGTCTCCTCATCCCTAGAGGCCCCTCTTTTTGGTCCCTCAACTGCTTCTGATGTTGCTTCTTGTCTCAAAAAATAAAATACAGGGTACAGTAGCCTTTTAATCAAAACATAGCATTGCAGATGGAGACAGAAAGCGTGCTCTTATTTGTTGCTGTTAACAGCTGACACAGGTATCTCATGTTGTGCTGCTTGGCTACCCTGAACACTTTTTTTAAAAAACTGTATTAATGATATGTCCTATTTTTACTGTTAAGTATTTAAGTGTGAATAAGTATATGAACATGATTGCTTATCAGAAGCATATAAATTTAGAGTCAGGAATGATGGTGAGGTCACACAACCGCAGATTGTCCACATGGGTGGCTGAGATAGTGACGCCTTTTCTTTCTGATGGTTCAGTGTACACAAACTTTGCTTCATGCCCAAAATTATTAAAAATGTGGTATAAAATTACCCTCAGGCTATGTATATAAGGTATTATGAAACAACCATGAATTTTGTGTTTAGACTTGGGTCTCATCTCTAAGAAATGTCATTCTGTCTATGCAAATCTTCTAAAATCCAAAATACGAAACACTTCTGGTCCCAAGCACTTTGGTTAAGGGATACTCAAACTGTAATAACCCCATGAGTGCCTCTTTGGGAGCAATTGTGTTACACTAATATATAATTCATCGTCACGTTTCCCCTTAATTCAGCCTTAGAAAAATCATTAGGTGACTTACAGCTTTATGGTTGAAAACCATGATCTTCATTTAAAAGCTCTTTCTTGAGCAACCTTTTTTCAGTAAAATGACTTTGGGATTACTTGTCCTCCATCCTGCCTAAACCTTCTTTCCTGGGAGAAAAGAGGATGAGTAATACACATTCCACTCCTTCTCTGGAAGTGCCTTTCGTATGTAATAGCAGAGCAGTCTTCTTCCACGGTACTATTTTGGGGGACCTATTGCTTTTATCTCAACAAAACTGACAGCTGTTTTTGTCAAACTGACACCAGCAGCCAATGCCTAGGGGAAGCCGGGCGCTATATTTTCATTTTTCTTCTCTCTCGTGTTTGATTTTCTTGTTCATTTCTGACATTCTCTCATCTACAAAACCAAAATGAATTGTAATATAGTTGCAATGAACATGGCCTTGTCATTGTCTGTGGAGGGATGGCCTTTGGTAACTGATCTCATGACCAATATTAAGCTGTGAGCTCTCTTTTCCGAATTTTTACATTATCCTCTTACAACCACCTCCCTCAACACACACACACACACACACACACACACACACACACACTCTCTCTCTCACAGTCCCCACCCAGATGTTATCATGTTCATTTCCCCTATTTCGTTTTGGGGGCAAATATCCTACTCTTAGTGAACAGTTCATTTAGACACATACTCCTTGACATTTTTCGAGGAAAACAAAGTGCTCTCAGGGAGTATTTGATCTCTTTCCGCTAAGATAAACGCCCCTCACGTTGTTCACTTTCTTTCATCATGTTTATCGGGGGTAACTTTCTAGTCCCTGATGGGATTCCAGAGAGGATCGTATTCTCCCGGTGCAACATGTTTTGTTGTTTTGAAGCTCTGAATTTGTTCTGCTCATAGGATTTCAAGGAGAGATGCCAGCTGTTCCTTTCCTTAGCATTTCCATTGTAATCTCTCTGGTGTATCATTAAGGAGTTCTGTGTAGAGGAGAAAATATTTATGAAGCTGTTTTACTGGCTCATTATTCAAAGGGAGTTGGAACCAGAGTCAAAGTGTCACCCCAATCTAGAAAAGCTAATATTGCTTGCTGTCTATACTTTTGTATCCACCCGTCATATGCTTACCCCAGGCTGTGCTTATTCAGCTCTTATTCTGTGTTACTCCTGAATTAGTCTGTAGCTTTGAGACAGTACGGACCACCCATCTTTGTTTGTCTTACAGCTACCAAAGCATCTGTAGCCTAGTAGGTGCTTAGTCAACATTTCTCAAATTAAATTTAGTTATAGTAGAGCTCTATCATACATGGCTAGCCTCTCCTCTAATGCTGACATCTATGGGACTTAAGAGTTTGTGATCCTTCCTCCTCTAGTTTCATTTATTTTCTTACTGTGTGTATTCTCTTTTGATTTAATAAACTCTAATGTCCCTAATGGGCTATGTACTAGATTAATGATTTTTTTTTAATTTAATTTTTTTGAGATGGAGTCTCACTCTGTCACCCAGGCTTGAGTGCTGTGGCGTGATCTTGGCTCACTGCAACCTCCGCCTCCCAGGTTCAAATGGATTCTCCTGCCTCAGCCTCCTGAGCAGCTGGGATTACAGGCAGGTGTTACCGCACCTGGCTAATTTTTGTAATTTTAGTAGAGACGGGGTTTCACCATGTTGGACAAGCTGGTCTTAAACTCCTGACCTCAGGTGATCTGCCTATCCCGGCCTCCCAAAGTGCTGGGATTACAGGCATGAGCCACTGTGCCCAGTCAATGATGATGTTTAAATGAAGTTCTCCTGAGATTCATGACCATCTGAGTTTGTTGTCCTTCAGTTACCACAGAGACAATATGCCCAAGTCTAAAACCTACACCTCCTGTCGCATTTCCTCTGATGGTGAACCACTGTACTGTCTTCCCTGGGGCCATCCTTCTTTTCTGTTCTCCACGTGTTTGTACAGTAGACATTCATTGAACATTGTAAAAATACCAAAAAAGATGCAGAGATCATAAGACATATTGTCCCTGTCTAGAAAGTGCTGCCGTCAATTATGGAACATATGTTCACACAGCTCATACTGTAATATAAAATACAAGGCATTGCTGACCATTATGACATTTCAAAATCAGTTACCAGTATCTAGACCTTCTTATATCCTATTTCCCGCAAATGCATACATCTTAAGTAAACTAATTTGGATGTATTCACATGCATTACGAAGGAAGGGTTTATTAGAGTTTATATATGGCCATTACTAAAGTTTCCTTTGCTTTACCTTGTATTCTTTCTTCTTCCTTATTTTAGGATAGTAGTGGTACATTGTACTGTATCAGGCTTATTATCAGAGCGTCATCTTCAGCATGTTCCCTGCCTTAACTCTGCATGAGTCACCAGGTCCTATTAATTTGGTTCTTTCTCCTTAATATCCCTTCATTTCAATCCTTTCTAAGCATTATTAATATCATTCTTTGCTAACATATTTAACCAAGTTCTTTCTCTGCCTTCATTGTGGACCCATCCATGAAGTGCCAGTCTACACTACTGCCAGAGGCAATTTCTAAAACCGAGATCAACTTTTGTCATTCTTCTTGTTGAAATAATTCAGTGGTTCCCCATGATGTTCAGAAGCTGGACTAGGTCCTATATGATCTGACTCCTGCCCTCTCTTCCAGCCTCTTATTTCGCCATTTGCTTCCTTGCCTCCCTTTCTCCTCGCCATCTGTATAGTTAAGAGTGCGAACGCTAGGGTCAAATTATCTGGGTTCAAATCCTGGCTCTGCCACTTACTAGCTATGTAACTTTGGGAAAGTCACTTAGGTCCTCCTTCTTATCTGTAAAATGGGAGAACTAGTAGTTCCTATTTTATATAGTTATTGGGAAGAGTCAATGTGTTAAATGCTTACAACACGGCCTGGCCCATAGCAAATAATTAATACAGACACTTCTCCACTTATGATGGGGTTACATCCCAATAAACCCATTATAAGTTGAAAATATTATAAGTCAAAAATGCACTTAGGCCTGGTGCAGTGGCTGACTTCTGTAATCCCAGCATTTCAGGAGGCCAAGGCAGGAGGACTGTTTGAGCCCAGGAGTTTGAGACCAGCCTGGGGAACGTAGGGAGACCCCATTTCTACAAAAATCACAAAATTAGCAGGATATGGTGGTACACGCCTATAGTCCCAGATACTTGGGAGGGGCTGAAGCAGGAGGATCATTTGCACCTGGGAGGTCAAGGCTGCAGTGAGCTGCGATGGTGCCACTGCACTCCAGCCTGGGCAACAGAATGAATACCCTGTCTCAAAAAAAAAATGCATTTAATACAACTAACCTACAGAACATCATAGCTTACCTCCCTAGCCTACCTTAAACGTGCTCAGAACATTTACATTAGCCGACAGCTGGGCAAAATCACCTGGCAAAAAGGAACACTGTCAAATCTCAGTTGTCTACATTCATGATGGTGTGCCAACTGGGAGATGTGGCTCTCTGTGGCTTCCCAGCATTGTGAGAGAGGATCCCACCGCATGTCATTAGCCTGGAAAAAAGATCACAATTCAAAATTCAAAGCACAATTATTACTGAACGTATATCACTTTCACACCATCATAAAGTCAAACCTTCATAAGTCTGGGACCATCTGTATATATTTCTGTGCGTGTGTTGCTGTTATTGCTGTTGTTATTCATTTATTGGCTTTGTGTCTTTCTTTTTGCATATGCTGTTTCATATGCCTGGAATCACCCACTTCTCCTTTTCACCTGGCTGACCCCACTCATCTTTTGAACTTCCGTTTAGGTGTCAGCCCCTTGAGGGAGCCTTCACTCCCCCTTCCCACTCCAGGCTGGATCAGTCGCCTATGTGCTCCTGTAGCACCGGCGCACACCCACATCATAACATTCTTCACACCAGATAAGGGGTATTGACATTGTGATTTTGAACACTGTTTAGATCCATGATAATTAATAATTTGCAATAACACAAAATGATTATTTTATAATGATTGTATGAATATATGATTACAGTATTAGTCCATTCTCAGGCTACTAATAAAGACATACCCGAGACTGTGTAATTTATAAAGGAAAGAGGTTTAATTGACTCACAGTTCAGCATGGCTGGGGAGGCCTCAGGAAACTTACAATCATGAGTGGAAGGGGAAGCAAACATATCCTTCTTCACATGGCGGCAGCAAGGAGAAGTGCCAAGCAAAAGGGAAAAAATTCCCTTATAAAACCATCAGATCTCTTGAGAACTCACTCACTATCATGAGAACAGCATGAGGGTAACCACCCCTATGATTCAATTACCTCCCACCAGTTCCCTCCCACAATACATGGGGATGATGGGAACTACAATTCAAGATGAGATTTGGGTGGGGACACAGCCAAACCATATCAATTCTATTATTTTTTAGATGATTATATCAAATAATCTTGATTCTTGGTATTAAATAAGGCAAGGCATGAGTTTGGGGAATCACATTAGCTCAGGATGTATCCATCCCAGAAGTAAAGTTCTACTGCACTTTAATTTTCTGTTTATTTGTATGCTTCAGATATTAAATTCTGGGGTCCTGAATGGGGTGAGAGCTCTTTTATCTGTATCCCTAGTGCCTTACATCTGCCAGAGATTCAGTTAATATTTGTTGAAAAGATGAATGTGTATTTTTAATTTAATACAGAAAATTTTTTTTTTTCAAAAATCTGGCTTTGCCCCTGAGCCATGGTTTGTGGTGCTGACCCTCTTCCCAGGAAAATACACGCATGGCTTATTTCAGAAGGTTTAAGGTACAGACCTTGCCCTAGAAGATGGCCTCCTGTTTAGTCAAAGAGAAGAGAAGAAGAAATGTGTTTCTTTCAATACTAAATATGACTGATTTAATAAAAAGTCTCAATTGGAATTCAACTCCTTTTAGATATATACGACCCCATTCTATCTTTGCCCAGTAACTTCTTGGAGAAGGTGATATGATTCATGCACTTTAGACAGAGGCAAATTTGGATACTAATTTAGGAAAAAGAAGCAAAATCAGTCATATTTGTAGGTGTTTTGGGTGCCTGATTTGGGCGTATAGACAAGCCTCCTGCCCAGGTAGCACACATATGCCTCCTACTTCTACACTAGCTACAATTCCTCTTCTCATTGGTACTCTTACTGATGGGGGCGTTGAAGACTTTGCCTTTGGTGGCTTATCTGAGGGGTCTAACACATTTAGGCACAAATGCCTGAAGGAAAGGCGCATAGACAACCACATTGTCTGATGACAGTCGACTGCCCAGGTCAGAGCCTGGCAGGGTAAGTCCGAATAGAGAATCTTTAGCTTTACCCTGTCATAGGGACTCAGTTAGCAAACATCATCTCTCTTATAATTAAGGTAGGCTCTAAAATTGCATGAGGAAAGATAAGATGCTTTGGTAGCTCTTTCAAAATGCTTCTTAAACGCACTTCTAAAAAGTTAGCTTCTGTGGCTCTCAATGGCACAGATCATGTGCCTACATATGAGTGAGATGTAGCTGGGGTTAAAATCTATAGGCAAGTTCTGAAGACTAGAGAGAAGTTTTCCAAAGCACATCCAGATCATTGATTCTTAAATAGGGGCCAGGACTAGGGTTGGGCTGGT
The DNA here is from genome assembly GCF_000001405.40 of Homo sapiens. Taxonomy (NCBI): domain Eukaryota; kingdom Metazoa; phylum Chordata; class Mammalia; order Primates; family Hominidae; genus Homo; species Homo sapiens. The sequence goes on from NW_018654717.1 coordinate 6,185,436, forward strand.
GTAGGGGAATGTTGGGGGAAGGCACACGCATCTCTGAGTAGAAAACCCACACGCACCCTGCCATCGTGAGAATCACTGGGTGTAATAAGAAGTACAGTTTGTGGCAGTGTGGTGAACACACAAGTGATAAGGAAACTAGGAAAAATGGTTGCAGGCTGGGACTTAGATTATGGTCCATTCACCCCACTTGCAGACAAGCAATTAGGGTCCAAGGTGTTATAGGATGGGCTTTTCCTATCATATCAGGCATCTCTCGAGATCTCATTGTATATCACAAGACCTCTATATTACAAAGTGGTTTTTGGTGCATTATTTTTTTAATAACCAAAAGCCTTTTGATGGGTTTCATGACAAACTCTTATGAAGAAGAAAAATGTGAACAATGATGAATAACTACGAGTACTTATCAAAGTGACAAGAAAGTAGCTAGTAATATGGAAAATATTGAGCAGTCCAATTGTACTGGAATGATTTAGTACAATTTAGTAATATTGTCTTAGGTAGTATTTATTTAATTAAGCCCCTGGAATCAGAGATGACTCTCAATGTTAGCAATTTTCCCAGGAACAAGATGAAATCATTCAATTTAATTTTAGGAGAAAGTATTGTATGTTTTATAGAAAGCTTAGGAATTGATTTATTGGCCTATTGATTTGAACTGCTCTTATAATTCTGGCACACTCCACATATTAACAATTCTTTCTAATCCCTACTTGGCTGGGTAATTTATGCATAGGTCAGGAAGTCAGCCTGGGCTGTAGCTGGCTCCATATACATACCATGTGAAATGACATTTAGTATTTGTTTTCTTCCTGATAGGGCCTGTGCTTCCTTCAGAGACTCACACAAGAGGTTTATCATGAGAAGGACCGCACTATTTCATTTCACTCCTACAAGTTTTCATTTACGTTACACATTGAGAAAGTTATGAGAAGCAACTGTCACTCTCTGGAGGTGGAGACTGCCGTGATTCACAAAGACAAGAGGTAATTTTCCTGTAATCACAGGATGACTCAGGTTAGTAGCTTTCAGCGCTTCTGCAACTCACATACCATGAGGTGTTTTTAGCAATGTGCATATTTAGTGAACCTAATTCTTCCCAATCCCTATAATTTTAAATTTATGACAATGTGATATAAAGTAAGTTGGAATTTATTTTTGCATGAGGTGGAAAACAGTATTTGAAAGTAGTTGTACAGGGTATGTAAAAATTATAAGAACATATTTAGCATTTTTAGAAAGCAAAATACTTTTGTAGGACTTAAACATATTTTTAAATGAGATTTTTATCACACAAAAGTTTACAATATCATTTGTACTTGGAAATGATATATAGTTGTTAAGTGTGAAGTTGCATGTATTAAAAAGTAAAATGAAAAAGCTATGCATTTTGTAATTAGGTCTTTTTTATAATGTAAGTTGTCTTTTAACTGTTCGGACCAACTTGCATTTTCACTTTAGAATTGTAGTTTAAGTGTGTCTTTGAAATTTAAAGCAGAATTTTATGCTCTCTCTTTTTTAATTCTGTGTCTTCTGTGGCATTTATAATAGGAGAGCCATTTCCAATATTTATATTTCTTTTTAGTTATGAAAAAGTGACCATCGTATGCCTAGATTGTACCTATAATACAGACCTGGCTGGGCGCATTGGCTCATGCCTGTAATTCCAGCACTTTGGGAGGCCGAGGCAGGTGGATCACCTGAGGTCCGGAGTTCAAGACCAGCCTGGCCAACATGGTGACCCCGTCTCTACTAAAAATGCACAACTTAGCCAGGCGTGGTGGTGGGCGCCTGTAATCCCAACTACTCGGGAGGCTGGGTTAGGAGAATTGCTTGAACCCAGGAGGTGGAGGTTGCAGCAAGCCGAGATTGCGCCACTGCACTCCAGGCTGGGCAACAAGAGCAAGACTCTGTCTCAAAAACAACAACAACAACAGACCTCTGGGGCAGCAAATCAGAAAACACAAAATAAAACTGGAAAAGCTCAGTCTTGCTTTCCTCCAAGTGCCCATTGACTCACAGCTGGCTCTTTAGGATTTATAACCAAAGAGTCAAGGACCAGCTTGTACAGAGTAAAGTATTGTTGTTTTGCAGAGGGAGCTAAGAAACAGCTCCTTGATTCATTGGATCTACAATTAATTATTGAGTGATGCTCTGTGTTCTGCACTATCCTAGGCTCTATGATGTACAGATGAGACATAGATAGAGATATATAAAAACATCACATTTCCATCTCTGCCGTCCAAAAACTTATAATCTATTTGGGAACATATACAGAGTTGAGAGTTCATGACAGTATCCGGAAAAATGTCCTAAGAGTGATAGAGATAATAAATTTGCAGTGTATAGAAGTCCTGGGGCCGGGCACAGTGGCTCACACCTGTAATTCTAGCTCTTTGGGAGGCCTGGGTAGACAGTGCAGTGGTTCACCATCAGAGGAAATGTGATAGGAGGTGTAGGTTCTAGACTTGGGCATATTGTCTCTGTGGTATCTGAAGGACAACAAACTTAGATGGTCATGAAGCTCAGGAGAACTTCATTTAAACAGCATCATTGACTGGGCACAGTGGCTCATGCTTGCAATCCCAGCATTTTGAGAGGCCGGGTTAGGCAGATCACCTGAGCTCAGGAGTTTGAGACCAGCCTGGGCAACATGGTGAAAACCCATCTCTACTAAAATACAAAAAAAGAAAAAAAAAAGCCAGGTGTGACGGCATGCACCTGTGGTCTTGTGGTCCCAGCTACTCAGGAGGCTGAGGCAGGAGAATTGCTTGAATCTGGGAGGCAGAGGTTGCAGTGAGCAGAGATCGTGCCACTACACTCCAGCCTAGGAGACAGAGCAAGACTCCATCTCCAAAAAGTAAAAACTAAAAATAAGTCCTGGAATGGATGATTTTTATCTGTAGTTACCCATAAATCCTTTATGCAGGAGGAAGAAACTGTGCTAGACTTTGCAGACCAGTAGATTTTGGCAGGAGGAAGTGATAGGAGAGCATTGCCGGTGAGAGAGAATAGACTGCTGGCTTCAGCAAAGACCTGAATAAGGTCCTGAGCAAGTCCCTCTCGGCAAAAAGTGAGTAGATTTGTGTGGATACAGCTGAGAGTCTGAGGTACTGTCGTTGCACGATATAAGACTGCAAAGTGGACTGGACCAGGTCAGGGAGGGTTTTCGTGACAGACTGAGGAGTGCAGGTGCTATCCCGTAGGCAGCAGAGGTCCCCTGAAGGGCTTTCAAGAAGGAGTGAATATTATCCAATGAGGTTGTATAGAAAAATTAACCCTGCACTGCCATGAAATAGAGATTCTAACCAACTTTCCTTGAATTCATAGAAGGAAAATCATGAATTGTAGCCAGCAAACCAGGAATGGCACATGTGCTATGTGGTTTACGCAGGTACCTTTTACTGTAAGAATGTATTGTGTCTCCAGCCAAGTGGACATTAACAGAGAAGGTTGTGTTGCCAACTCCCATCTTTATGAATATATTAGAGGGGATAGATGTGGGGGGTGCAGAGACAGCAAGAGGAACAGACAGACCAGTTAGACTAGCTGAGATACTAGGGGATGGCAGTACAAACAGAAAGACAGAAAGGGGGCAAAGGTGCCAGCACTGTGACAACTTTGATCTTCTAGGCTGGCATTCCAATAGCACATTGCTATCTCAGCAGATTCTTTTGCTCCAGTCAGAGTCCCTTCATCCATTTGTGATGAGTCCTGTTGGCAACCCTAGTGGCCATGGTACATCTCTTTCACTGTGGCCCCCACTGGGGTACATGCTGTGATTGTGAAGAAGCATTCAAGTTTGTAATACTTTAGTCCTTTGGCTATACATGTCAAAATCAACTAAAGCAAGAAGGAGGATTTGTTGGGAGTGCCTAAGTAGCTGGCACAATAAAAGGAACTGCTGCAAACTAAACCTCGGGAAAGTTACAACTTGGGATGAGGCATGAGGATCTTTTCTTCAGGGCTGAGCCATCAGCAGTTCTGCTCCAACCTCTTGTCAATTTCCTGGGCGAGGGAGAATAACTGTCCGAGACTGGATCATGTGCCCACCCCACTGCCACCGTCAATGTGCCTGGCAGGCCCCAGTGACACTTGGAGTCTGAGAGAGGTGCAGTTCCCCAAAGGAACAGAGGATAAACAGAAGCTTTTAAAAGTATTTTAATCTCTAAAACGTCTGCGACTGCAAATAGTGGTCATATGTGTGTGCATGGTCTCAGGCTTGGGAACGGATCAGGTATTCCCCAGAATCTTAGATCTCCAAAATTACTTTTCACTGCTACCTCTGATGGACCCTCTGCTCTTTCAAACTAATGTTTTGAAAAAAATAAAACTTTTTTATTTTTTAAGAAGATACTGATATTGACTAGAAGGTATTGACTAGGCAATACCTTCATGCCTGCATGCCTCTAGCTGCATGGATTAAGTGTCTTTTCTCTTTCTCCCTTTCCTTTCTTCCCTTCGGTAGCGCTCAGCTCTTCAAACACATCAAGTGCCCGGAGGTGACTTAATTTATGCGTCTTAGCTATGTTGGAATTCTCAAGTTTGCTACTTTCCCTGAAAAGCAGGCTAAGAGGACCTTAAAAGCAGAGTGGCTTGTCCACCTTTGGGGAACCCTTGAATTGATTCTTCTTGCAAGTGCAATTTAAACGACAAGAAACGAACATTTTCTTTTTTTTTATTTGAGACGGAGTTTCGCTCCTGTTGCCCCGGCTGGAGTGCAGTGGCACGATCTCAGCTCACTGCAACCTCCGCCTTTCGGGTTCAAGCAATTCTCCTGCCTCAGCCTCCTGAGTACCTAGGATTATAGGCATGCACCACCATGCCCGGCTAATGTTTGTATTTTTAGTAGAGACGGGGTTTCTCCATGTTGGTCAGGCTGGTCTCGAACTCTCGACCTCAGGTGATCCACTCGCCTCGGCCTCCCAAAGTGCTGGAATTACAGGCGTGAGCCCCCGCGCCTGGCTGAAAAGAACATTTTCAAATCTTGCCTACGCTTCCAGGCTGAGTTCCAAGGCGCAGCTCCCGACTTCTCATGCATTCGTTTGAAGATGTGTCAGTTTACACACACAGAGGGCTCACTGAAAATTTCCCTTTTTAATAATTTCCTAATACTGTGGAAATGAACATAATAAACTGCAACACAATACAACTCTAGACTTTCTAGAGCAAGAATTGTTAACCTTTGGCATTATTTTGGGTTTTAGTTTCTTAACACAAAGCTTCAAGCAAGTTTCAGCTGCAGTTAGAAGCAGTCAAAATGTAATTTCCATTAGTGATAAATGTGTAAAAAGTTAAATGAGCAATTGATATTTGATTATATAAATCTAGTTTGAGTGCTAATTGGAGTAGATATAAACAAATTTATACAAAGTTATATATTTTTTACCTTTTCTTCTCTCTGTTCTTTATACATATTAAGTCATAGCTCTTAGCTCTTTGTCTGCTTTCCTTATTCTCCATTTCTGGCTTTCTTTGCACTAACATATATGAACCGCATGATAATCACTCAATACATATATTAATTGCCCGTTTCTTCTCCTTGCACTTCCCCTGGTTTCTTTCTTCTTTTCCTTGTCATTCTGTCTTGATCCTTTTCTTGATTTTTATAAAGAAAACTTTACTGATACATATGTTTGTCTTCTTTGTGTTGTTTTTGTTTTGGGTTTGGTTTTTTGGGAGGGAACACTGATTCATCTATTAGTTGTGTGTGTTTCGGGAGATTAACCATCCAGATACCAATTAGACCCAAGTCATTGTTGTCTTAGGTTCTAAGGCTTTTAAATATTATAACATTTTTCAGAAAGATTTTATTCTCTGCAGACTAAAAAGCTCAGCAGATTTTTCCAATAACTGCACATATAAAGAGCCACATAAACAGTAGACTAAATATCACAGATGATCCACATGAGAGTAATAAATGAGGACACTAGTTTGTCCATACATTTTTCATAAGGTACTGAAATAACTGAAAATTGTCTTAACGAGTAACAGTAACCATGAAACAGCAAGATAATTAGAGAATGAAGGTAAGCAGCAATAGCAACCACCTGCTGCTACAAGCTGAGGATCATGTAGCCTCCTTCCTGGACCTTTACACAATTTATGTTCCCATCTATTTATTGAGATCAGTAATCCTCATACATTATTATAGTTGTGCTACTTGGAAGCTGTGGCTGGCACAATTCATCCTTAATTTCACTTTGAGTTATTGAGTAAAGCTATTCAATGTGTAATAAGATCACAAATATAAGGTAGGTAAAATGAATTTCCTTCCTCTCATCATACTGATGAGTCACTTACCTGGTGCCCTAACTGAAACAACTTCTTTACTGGGAGCAAATGGACTCTATTCTTGGCTGGTTACTGGATAATCTGGCATTAGACATTATCTCATTTAAGTTACTTATTTCTTCAGTTAGATTTCTTCTGAGGCAAAACTCTCTCAGCACTTTCTGTATATACTATGACATAATCTTATTGAATGGGGATACTGCTTTGACATTTCACCTGATCTTTGAACCCAGTGATCTCCAATTTCTAGCTGCCCAGAAGGCACTGACTGGATGGCATTCATCCCTCATGGGAATGGCAGAACACAGATGAGAGAGGATACTCTGCTCAGTTTTAAGTTCTAACATGGTTTAAAGTACATAACAAGGCAACTGCCTCAAAGCAAAAGGGGGTTTTAATTGAAATATACATGGACCAAAGTGCATATATCATAAATGTACAAATAAATGAATGAATTTTTCATAACCTGAGCGCCCTCATGTAACCCGAGCCCAGATCAAGAAACAGAACATTATCAGCACCCCAGGACCACCTCCCAACCCCCAGTGCTCCCTGCCAGCTGCTACCCCAGGCAGCCTCTATCCCACTTCTAATGGCCCACATTTGTTTTATCTGTTTTTGTACCTTCTTTATTTTATTTTATTTTATTTTATTTTATTTTATTTTATTTTATTTTATTTTATTTTTTATTTTCTTTGATCTATCTATGGGCTCATGTTTTTGTACTTTCCATAAACGGAATCCAACAGTGTGTATTCTTTTGTGGACTTCCCTTTTAATATGATATTTGTGGAAGGTATATCATTTGGATGTTTGTCCCCTCCAAATCTCATGTTAAAATGTGACCCCCAATGTTGGAGGTGGGGACTATTGGGATGTGTTCGGGTTATGGTGGTGGATCCCTCAGGAATGGCTTGGCATCCTCCTTATGGTAATGGGTGACTTCTTGCTCTATCAGTTCACATGAGAGCTGGGGTGGTTTAAAGGAGCCTGGCATCTCCTCCCCTCTCTCTTGCTCCCTCTCTGACCTTGTGACACACGTGCTCCTCAGTCACCTTCCACCATGAGTAACAGCTTCCTGAGGCCTCACCAGGATCCAAGCAGATGCTGGTGCCATGCTTGTACAGCCTGTAGAACCATGAACCAAACAAACTGCTTGTCCTTATAAATTACCCAGGCTCAGGAGTTCCTTTACAGCAACACGAAATGGACTAATATAGGGACTGATCCATATTGTTGCATATGGTTGCAAACTTTCATGCTACCCTGGTAGCATTTCATTCTATGAATATACCACAATTTATTTGATCATTTTACTGATGATGGTCACATGTGCAGTTTCCAGATTTGTGCTACTTCGAAGAGTGCTTCTTTGGATATTCTAGCATATGTCTTTTGGTGAATATGGGTGTCCATTTCTTTCGGATATATGTATATACTTTTAAGAGTGGGGTTGCTGGGCCATAGGCTATGCATATGTGTAGCTTTAGTTGTTGCTGTCAGGCGGTTTTCCAAACAGATTGAAACAATTCACATTTCTTCCAGTGGTGTATTAGAACTCACCGATTCCATGTTTTCACCAACACTAGATATTCTTTGCGTTTTTCATTTTACCCATTCTTTTGTATAGGTGGTGGGATCCCATTGTGGCTTAAATTTGCGGTTCCCTGATACTAGTGAAGTTAAGCCCCTTTGTGTGTGTTTCCTGCCCGTCTCCTGACCATTATGAAGTGTCTGTTAAAGTCTCTCGCCCATTTTTCAATTGTGTTGTCTTCTATTACTCTGTGATTTGTAAGAATTGTTTATATTCTGGATACTACTCAATTGTCATCTGTATGTACTACGAATACTTCTTCACACTCTGGGTTGAATTTTCCTTCTCTTCATGGTGTCTTCATTTTAATATAGTCTACTTTATTTTTCCTCTTATGGTTAGCACTTTATATGACCCTTTGTAAGAAATTTTAACTTACTCCAAGGTCATGAGGATGTTCTGTATTTTCCTCTAAAAGCTTTATTGTTCTGTATGATAGAAAGAGGTTTTAATTCATAAATGTATGTCAGTATTTGGAGACAGAACTGTTCTAAAGCCACGTGTGTTTTCCATAGAGCTAAAACATAGAGGACTCACTACAGGCAAAAGTGTGGTACAGAAAGAAACTCAAGATAGAGGTAATAGAAGTTCCCATCACAAACAAATGAGAAATCCCTTCTGATGACAGGGCTAAGTGCTTACAGCCTATTACCCTGGCCTCTGTGCTAACTTCTTAGGAGGAGCAGGTATAAAAAGCACCGTCTTGAGGACATTTAGTTATAGCACCTCCTCCCTGGTGACAAGGAGCCACTCTTGGGGACAAAACAAAGCCTTCTTTCTCAGAGTTCACTAGATTTCTGTGGGTCAAGTACAGAGTGTCATCTCCTTGATGAGACAGTAGAAAAACCTTTTCCCTGGAAGCCTTTTCAGTTCCTCAGAATATTTTTACTATTTGCCTCTGGGTGTGAATATGTGCATAGCTTTCCAGTGATCATTAAGAAGCTGGAAAAACTTGGGAAAAAACCTTTTTACTTTTATTTGTCAACACATCAAATACTCAGAGTTGCCTTTGAAATTGTGGCTGTTGGATATATATGTTAATGTCCACCTCTCTATCCCTGTTTCTTTACCCAGAAACATGGCATTAAGAAAGATTGTTCAGGGGCTGGGCGCAGTGGCTCACGCCTGTAATCCTAGCACTTTGGTAGGCCAAGGCAGGTGGATCATGAGGTCAGATGTTCAAGACCAGCCTAACCAACAGGGTGAAACCCCGTCTCTAGTAAAAATACAAAAATTAGCCAGGCATGGTGGTACGTGCCTATAATTCCAGGTACTCAGGAGGCTGAGGCAGGAGAATCGCTTGAACCTGGGAGGCGGAGGTTGCAGTGAGCCAAGATCATGCCATCGCACTCCAGCCTGGGTGACAGAGGGAGATTCCATCTCAAAAAAAAAAAAAAAAAGAAAAGAAAAAAAAAAAGAAAGATTGTTCAGGGTGGGAGAAGATGGGAGGGGTGATTTATTGGGGGAAGGATATGGTCATTATCTTGAGTGTCTTGATGGTTTCACACATACATACACGCATACGCACACACATATGTATGTAAAAACATCAAATTATATACTTTAAATATATGCAGTTTGTTATATGTCAATTATACCTAAATAAAACTGTTAAAATATGATTTAAAAATTTAAAAGAAATATTGTTGAATTGGCTAGAGTTCCATCATTCATGAATTCACTAAACGTATTTAGACCTATTACATTTAGGGCCAGTGCTAGATATTATGGGCTAACCAAAGATGTGTATGAAATCTTGTTTCTTATTTAGAAGTTCAGAATCTAGTAGAAATACTTAAGCCATTATAATACTTTACAGCACATGACATATTTCAAGTGCTGTGGAATTAGGGAGTGTAGAGGTTATATTTCTTTGAGAAGGTGGAGAAGACTGTAGGTAGAAGTTGCCACTTGGCTCACAATATTAAGTTCAAAAAAGTAGGATGCAAAACTGTCCGGTTTTCTCTCAATTTTATTATAATATATCTCTACGAGAAAGAAAACTTTTAATCTTTATGAAGAAAAAAGGGGGAACTTATATGGTAACAAGTTGTCATCTAATAAAAACTGATGTATACTTTTCACTTTTTCATGATCTAGATATTCTACAGTTCATATGATGAACTGAGCTTTTTATTCCTTTTGGTGGGTGGGATTAGAATACCCATGATATCTCTCCATCAAGAGTTCTGAGGGACCCAGGCTGATGCCTCCAGGACAAGGAACATTTCATTGCAGTGATAAGGGATAGGGAACTTGGAAAGCAACACAGTGGGGTAATCCTGATCTTTTCAGATGACGTTTATGCCATAGCAAGTCACTTAGGGTTTATCTGAATTCAAGTAGGTAGAAAAATGTTAGCCTAATCACATGTCCAGGGAAGGAAAACTAAACATTTGTGACTTCTCAGTAGAACCCTGTTGCTAGTAGCAGGAATTGCCAATGTCCTTCTCTTTGTTTTTCTACCCTTTGGAAACATGCCAGGCCACTAACTCTCCTGTTAGTTTTCTGTCACTTTCTGTCCTCTCTTCCATCCTCCAAGAAATAAATGCTGGAAATAGGCAGAGTTTGTGGGGCAAGGGAAGGAACAAAGATGATTCAATGTCTGGGATCTCCTCTTCTGTGCCTACATCAACTTCCCCCAGCAAAGTTAGTTGTATCTTTGTCTACTCAGTCTCATTTATGTTTTTGTCATCACATTTACGATTTCTTTTGATTGCTAGCATTCAATTTTGGGGGTTTGTTTTAAGGTTACCTCGTAAGCTTTACAAGTTGCTTGAAAAGTAGCAATAAAGGTAAGATATTACAACACTATGTGTCAGCATCCTTGCACGCTAGTTATTTAAAGTGTAAAATAATCATTTCAAAATGTTAATTAAAAAAGCAGTTTCCCTGCCTTGGGAAAGGTGTGGTTGTAAGAAACAGAAGTGAGTTCAAGTGAAGAATATTTCAGGGCTAGAACAGGGTATGGATTTGAGATTCAAGGTTAGGAAATGAAGTACCTCAGGACGCAAGGCTGGTACTGTAAAATGAACAGGTTTCTTGGAGATGAGTGACCCTGAGCCCCTATCTAGAGCCTACATAGGGACTAGAACTAGAATATCATCTACTAGACTTCCCCAATCTTTCTGCCTTTCCCCCCACCATGTTATGAAGCATCACGGATTCTCATCTTGTTTTTCTTTCCCTACAGCTACATTTATTTTGCAGAAAAATATTCTTTTGCTTCATCCATATGTGCATGGCTAAAAATGGACTCCCTAACACAGACTCCAAGTGATCACAACCAACCACTTGTGGTCATCTGACTATTCAGGTCTTTTAGTTCAAATTCTCAAGACTGGGTCAGTCTCACCCATGGACTGGTTCCCTGTAGATCTGGTTTTCAACCTGGGTCCACTCAGTGAGGCGGGGATCCCTGGAAAGAGGAGGCACAAGGCTCAGAAGCAGGTTCTCTTGGATCGACAGTGATGAGCAACTCTGATGCGCATCCTTCTGACTTCCTAGTTAAAACGTTTACCGTCTCATACTTTTAGTCTTTTTATAAACCATCTTAGAAGTTATGATTTGTAGATAACATACTTCACTAAAACTACATGAATGAAAAAGGATGATCAGGAAAAATGCTTTGTTTTGGGGACATTCTTAAATTGGAAAACACTAAATTAACATTTCCACAGTGTCTTCTACAGAATATTATTTCCTAAAAAGACAAGAGGTGTTTAAAGACAGAAAGAGTATTATAGACCCAATAATTCTGAGAAAAAAGCGAGATTTTTGAAACATCAACCGGGACTCTTTTCTCCAAGATTTTTCAAAACTCATAGTGTGCTGGTGTGCATTTTGAATCTCAAAGGAGGGACACAATGTGAGGCTTTAAGTACTGACTTTTTATGTGGATTATTTTATGGGTCTGGAATTTGACAGCACACAGATTAGGAATCCTGGCTAATCCAAACCCTTTATCTCTCGCTTCATCTGGAAACCCGTGCTCTTGTTTTAGTACTAGTCTTATTAGCTTAGTCACACTTTCAAACTCACAAGGAATTTGCTTATATAAATAAAATTCATGTGGAAACTATTATAGGAAATTTAAATCCGCAGCATTTAAAATTTAAATCTGCAGTGTTTATAAAGTTAACTGTAAAATATCAGAAAAACAAAATAGATTTATATTACTTATACACTTAAAAATAACTATCTTTTAGGTTACCCGATGGTAGTAGAGGCCATAGGAAACTTAGGGGAAGATCTTGGGGGTGCTGTTCAGATACTACAAATTCTGAGCTTGAAATTGAAGTCATTTTTAAATTGCAATTTGCAAGGAACCCAGTTTATGTCGGTTACCACTTAACATTTCCAAGTGCAACAAAGAAAAACTTGCTTGTTCTAGTGTTCTCTAAAACGTATTGCTTGATTGATTCCTTGAGAAAGGGGAAACGTAAATAGACTAAAATCTACTGAGATTTTGATTTAAATGAAAAGCACACAGTGTTTCTGTTTTTCTCTTGTGTGGGCAGTTATAGCCAGCCATATGTTTACTTCGTAAATTTCAGTTGAAGGTGCAACATAAGCTGTTTCAATTTGGGTGGAAGTTTAGTCAGACCTCACAAATTAGATTTATACTCAGTTAGGAGTTTGCTAGGATTTTTTGCAGGGGCTGTGGGTAGGTTCATACTGATTAAAGACAACCTATTACGTTTTAAGAGTAAATCCTGAATATCTGTTCCTTGAAACGGAAGGAATGATGGAATTATATTATCATCATTCGGTGATACTTGTAGTAATAATTGGGGCAAGAATCATTGGTAGATGCTAAAACTGGTGGGTGAGCAAATAAGAAACAATATTTGCATAGTCTCAAAGTCTCTCTCCATACAGGGAAGACACCGTCTTACCCAAGTACTTCCCACTTCCCAGGATAGGGGTAGAGGTGCGGGGACAGAGGCTGTCCAGGGACAGTATCTTCTCTCCAGTTACACTCCCATCTGCCAGTTTGCAGGTGTAGTGTCCCCTCCCTTCCCCAGCTCCTCAGGGTGATCACTCCCTCTGCTAACCAAAGCCAATACTACCCTCTGTACTCAGAGCCAGATTCCATTCTCATTATGTGTATTTATTTGATCATTTGCTGGGGGTCTGCTGTGTCCTAAGTGCTGGGGACTCAGTATTAAATAAGACAACTCCTTGTTCTCCAGAGTCTTCCAGCAGACTCTGCCAGAGAAAAATATCTTATCTAAATTCAACAATTACAGGACTATGTGATCCCTGTAGAGGTATGCATGGGATGCAATAGCTGATAGCCATCAGTAGGGCCAAATGAGTTCTTAAATGATTGAAAATACTTTCATACTGATGGGTAAAAGCCACAACCCGAGTCCCTGGCCACTTCCCTGGGATACCAGTCACTCACATGCCAAAATAGAATAGAATAATTACAGGGTTAAGCCCAAAACGGGACCTGCTCTTGTGCTTTTCTTACTCCTTCCCTGTTGCCCTTATCCTGCCTGGAAGGTCAGGGAAGTCTTCCTGGAGGAGATGATGCCTTTTCCAAGAATGACTAGAATTTAGCCAGGTAAAGCATAGCATATGTTCAGGCCCCTGGATGAGAGGGAATGTGCCACCGCTGAGAAACAGTGGGTCATTGGGTATTATGGCTAATGCTGAGGAAAGATGGTGAGAAATAACCCTTAAGAGGTCTGGTGAGGCCAGATCGGAAAGAGCCTTATGTGCCCGCCTAAGCCAGCTGAACCCAATGGGACAAGCTATAAAATGCCTCTGAAGAAGTTGAAGGTAAGAACTGAGGGGGATAGTGTGGAGCAAGATGGCTAAATGGAAGGCTCCACTGATGGTGTGTCCCCACTCCGCCACCCTCCCCACAAGGACCAGAGTTAACACACAAAAAAAGCACCTACATAAGAACCAAAAATCAGGAGAGCGCTCACAGTGCCTGGTTTTGACTTCATATCACTAAAGGAAGCACAGAAGAGGGTGAGCAAGACAGTCTTGATATGCCCATGCCATCCCTCCTCCAACTCCCTGGCAGCAGCCATGTGCATGCAGAGAGAATCTGTGCTTAGGGGAGGGAGAATGCTGCGTTTGTGAAACACCGTATCGAACTCAGTGCTGCCCTGTCACAGTAGAAAGCAAAGCCATGTGGCTGAACTCAGCTGACAGCTGCCCACAGAGGGAGCATTTAAACCAGCCCTAGCCAGAGGGGAATTGCTGGTCCCAGCAGTCTGAACTTGAGTTCCGGCAGGCCTCACCACTGTAGGCTAAAGGGCTCTGGGGTACTAAATACACTTGAAAGGCAGTGTAGGCCCCAAGGACTGCAGCTCCTAGGTGAGTCCTCCTGCTGAACTGGCCTCAGAGCCCGTGGACTAGGTGGGGAGGAGGGAACGCCACTACTGAGACACCAGCTAGGGCTGCTAAGGGAGTGCTTGCACCACCCCGCTCCCAACCCAGGCTGCACAGCTCCTGGCTCCAAAAGAGCCCTTCCTTCTGCTTGAGGAGAGGAGAGGGAAGAATAAAGAGGATTTTGTCTTGTATTTTGGATACCAGTTCAGCTGCGGTAGGATAGGGCCCAGGCAGAGTCCTGAGGCCGTCTGTTCAGGCCCTACCCCCCAGATGATATTTCTAGACACACCCTGGGCCAGAAGGCAACCTGCTGTCTTGAAGGGAAGGACCTAGTCCTGTCAGGACCCATCACCTTCTGACTAAAGAGCCCTTTGGCCCTGAATAACCAGCGGTGATACCCAAGTAATACGCTGTGGGCCTTGGGTGAGACTCTGAGTCTTGCTGGCTCCAGATGCGACTTAGCACATTCCCATCTGTGGTGGCTATGGGGCAACACTCCTGCTTAAGAAAAGTGGAGGGACAAGGAAAGGGGACTTTGCCTTGCACATTAGGTACCAGCTCGGCCACAGTGGGGAAGGGGTCTTTGGAAAGGGGAGGGAAGAGTGGGAAGGGCTGCATCTCATGGCTTGAGTGCCAGCTCAGCCACAGTACACTAGAACACCAAGTAGACTTCTAAGGTTTTTGACTGCAGTCCCTGGCTCCCAGACAGCACCTCTAGACCTGCCCACGGCCTGGGGGAACTTGCTACAGAGGTTACACTGAGCCGAGATCATGCCACTGCACTCCAGCCTGGGCGATACAGCGAGACTGCATCTCAAAAAAAAAAAAAAAGAAAAAGAAAAGAAAAGAAATCCTGTCATTTGCAATAACATGGATGGATCTGGAGGTCATTATGTTAGCTGAAATCAGTCAGGCACAGAAAGACAGGCTTCATATGTTCTCACTTATTTGTGGCAGCTAAAAATTAAAATAATTGAACTCATGGTTATAGAGAGTAGAAGGATGGTTACGAGAGGCTGCAAAGCGTAGCGGGGAGGTGGGAGGGAAGTGGAGATTGTTAATGGGTACAAAAAACAGAATAAGACCTAGTATTTGCTAGGACAACAGGGTGACTATAGTAAAAAAAAATTTATTTGTACATTTTTAAATGACTAAAAGAGTATATTGGATTGTTTGTAACATAAAGGATAAGTGCTCGAGGTGATGAACACCCCATTCTCCCTCATGTGATTATTACGCCTTGCATGCCTGTATCAAAACATCTCATGTACTCCGTAAATATATACACCTACTATGTACCCACAAAAATTAAAAATAAATAAATAAGAAGCAACACAACCAGTCCTATATTTTACAAAAATAATTATGACGTAATTGAAATTGGGAAAAGCATTGAATGGCAAAAGAACCGTTTTGCCAGCTGTTGAAGTAATTCAGTAAAGAAATGGGCACCTATACTAAAATAAAAGCAGTACTGATACAGAGACATGGCTGGAACCCAAACACTAAAAAGGGAGAATTAATAGCGCTTTGCTATTGGGTTGAAATGGTGAGCTACCTGTTATGAAATTTTGAAATCTATTTAGCATCAGATACAATGGTCTTATCCAAAGTAAACCATTTGGTAAGAATTTTGGCTATGCTTCCAAAATTAAGAATTCATCTTGTACAGGAACTTATTACACAATAATTAGCTCTTTCTCAAAATTGTTTTCCTTAACATGGCAGGTAAAAACCATGCATTTGCTAGTCTTTTGGCTACTATGGCGAGGTTATAGTGAAGGTATTGTTCTTTGCAGCTTATAAGAAAGTGTGCAAACAGCATGAGTTTGCAGTTGTAGGCTCCAGATTTTAGGAAATCTGCATCCTCCTTCAGCCATCTATGGTGCATAGGCTGACCTGCATGCCTTGGGTTGGTCCTGTTTTCTCCAGGATGGATCATGAAGCCGCCCAGCTGGAGAAGCAGCATGTGCACAATGTGTACGAGAGCACAGCCCCTTACTTCAGCGACCTGCAGAGCAAAGCCTGGCCTCGTGTCCGCCAGTTCCTGCAAGAGCAGAAGCCAGGCAGCCTCATCGCTGACATAGGTAACCAGGCAGCCTCATCGCTGACATAGGTAACCAGGCAGCCTCATCGCTGACATAGGTAACCAGGCAGCCTCATCGCTGACATAGGTAACCAGGCAGCCTCATTGCTGTCATAGGTAACCCAGCACTGGGCCGTGTAGCATGAAATACCTTCCATTGAGCCTTTGCTTTTCACATTGATTTTTCATTTTTGTTCTAATAGGAATCCTGAAATTGCACCCTTGGCATGCCAGTACCTAGAATATTCATTTTACAGCAGAAACTCGAGACAGTCAAGTCAGCAGCAAGTAAAAAACTTTCTCAAACTTTTATTTTATTTTTATTCTTTTGAGATGGAGTTTCACTCTTGTCAACCAGATTGGAGTGCAGTGGTGCAATCTCAGCTTGCTGCAAACTCCGCCTCCCAGGTTCAACTGATTCTCCTGCCTCAGACTCCCAAATAGCTATGATTACAGGCACCCGCCACCACGCCCAGCTAATTTTTGTATTTTTAGTAGAAACGGGGTTTTGCCATGTTGGCCAGACTGGTCTCAAACTCCTGACCTCAGATGATCCATCTGTCTCGGCTTCCCAAAGTGCTGGGATTACAGGCTTGAGCCACCGTGCCTGGCCTCAAACTTTACCTTTAGACAGTGGCTCTTCAGGGCCTTTGTGTACATCCTCCACCAAAACGGACCTGACATTGATTGACTAAATCAGGATGGAAATGATGGCTTGTGAAACTAACCGTTGTAAATTTAAAGATATTCACATTTGCCAAATGTGTTCTCCTCTGGTGGCTCACTTTGAGTGGCTCACATGCCTTCTATAGAATTGTGGGATTATGGAAGAGGTCCAGTAATATCTTATGAATCTCATGGGTCCTTTCCTTTAATTATTCTATAGGTGTTTCATTATAGGAGCGCATCTTTAATTAGACAGTATTTTAATAATAACTTATTTGTCTGGAGGACGTTGGTTCAGTATCTTCGTAAATCAAGAACTGGTAAACCACAGCTTAGTAGATCTAGGACTAAGACTTAAAATGTGGTTGGAATCTCACTCAAGGCCTACCCACCTAAAACTGCGTTCTAGCAATTGCATGCTGACTGCACCTATGAGTCGTAAGTCTGTAGTTGCAAAGTGTGTCTAGTTTGATATTCTTTCTAAATGCTGGTAAGAGAAACAGACATACCAGAACTTGTGGCTTGCTGAAGATGGTATGAGTAATGTGGAATCTGGGGAAGGGGTGCATGTCACATGGAAATTGGGAGTCTTTGAAAAATATCTCTATCCTGTAAATTAAAAAATAATAAATCTAGTTTCGGAGTGTGCAGTGAGTTTGGAGCTCTTACCACGTATAATCTAAGTAAGCCACGTACCAGGATCTTAAAATCAGTGGGGGAAAGGAACTATTCAGTAAATGGCTTTGGGATAACGACATATATAATCAGAGAGTTACTTTCTCACACCTTACATCAAAATAAATTCCAAATGAAGCAAAGATTTAAGTATAAGAAAATGAGCTCATTAAAGGACTAAATGACTAGATTGTTATTTAAAATATTCTCAGAGGCAAAATGCCTATATATGATACACATACAAAAAGAAATCGTAAAAGAATATACAGTTGATTGCCATTATTCACAGTACTTACATTTCATATATGTATCATAAACATTGAATTGGCAAATACTGAATCATTGTTTTTAGGGGAAATGTTGGATTAGGCTCCTGTAAGCTTCAGGTCACAACATTTTTGTCAATTTACCAATGTATAAGCTTGTTGCATATGTGTTTCTGTTTAAAGACACCTTCTTTACTATATATCATTATTTCATAAACATTGGGCTCACGGCCAGCACACTATAACTCTTTCGTGAACAAAGCTTATCTAACACATATATTTTGTCCATCAGAGACATCCCAGCCTTCTTATGTTCAGGAACACTAGACGGCATTTCAGCCCCAGGCTTAGGCCATTTGAAAGAGCAAAATCACCAGTAAAAACTGTACAAATGGAGAAATTGTGGCCCTAAATAGATTATGGAAAGGACACTTGATTACGGTATGGGAGCTGAAAAAAGGAGGCTGGGTATGTGGGTCTCAGATGACTCAAATATTTTGCTGCACTGTGAGTATTTAAGTCTAATAATGACAATGCAAGGCTGTAGTATTGACGTTGGGGTTACAAATAAATTTCAGCAGGTAGATTAACTGCAAATATGGAAGCTGTAATTTATGAGGATTAACTATATTGACAGATAACTTTGACCCTATAAAAATGGAAAAGTTCCACAAGACAAAAATCTAGACAGACATACAATTCAAGTCAAAAGACCAAAATCAAACTAAGTAAAAATATCTGCAACACATGTCATAGAAATCTAGATAATTTTTTTTTCTTTTTTGAGACGGAGTCTTGCTCTGTTGCCCAGGCTGGAGTGCAGGGGCGCCATCTCGGCTCACTGCAAGCTCCGCCTCCCGGGTTCACGCCATTCTCCTGCCTCAGCCTCCCTAGTAGCTGGGACTACAGTTGCCCGCCACCACGCCCAGCTAATTTTTTGTATTTTTAGTAGAGACGGAGTTTCACCGTGTTAGCCAGGATGGTGTCGATCTCCTGACTTTGTGATCCACCGACCTTCGCCTCCCAAAGTGCTGGGATTACAGGCGTGAGCCACCGCGCCCGGCCGGTAATTTTTTTAATCTACTAAGCATTCTTCAACATCACTGTAAAAAAAGGACCAGCATCCTGTCATTTGCGACAACACGGAGGAACCTGGAAGATATTATGCTAGGTGAAATCAGCCAGGCACAGAAAGACAAATACCCAGTGATCTCACTTATACATGGGATCTAAAACAGTTGGACTCATAGAAGGAGAGATTAAAATGGTGGTTACCTGGGGCTGGGGTGTCGAAGCGGGTGGGGTAGGTGTAGGAAATGGTAAGACGTTGGTTAAAAGGCTCAGAGTATCAAACAGAAGGAATTAAATTCAAAGGAAAAAAAAAGGGAAAACTATCAACAAGTCACAAGAAAAATAGGGAAAGGATGTGAACAAATGGTTCAAAATGTGTAAAAGTATTTTAATAGGTAACCCACTGATACGGTTCGGCAACAAAGTACAAAAGAATGCTTAGTGTAAAATCTTCTCCCATCCCAGTCCCTGGCGCCAAGCAACCCACACCAGAGGCCTCTGACGCTGTTAGCTTCTTGTATGATCTTTTTGAGATGTTTTATGTAAAAATAAGCGTATTTGTGCCTGTGAGAGTGTGATGGGTAATTTCCCTTTTTTGGTTACACTAATGGTAGTATACTATAAAAACAATTATAATTATACACCTAGGTTTTGTTATACTTTTAATATATTGAGGAAATCATTCCATATTTATATTTATTATAGAGCTACCCAGTATTAAAACCTGCCTAGCATTCTATGCTAATAGTGCCATATTAACATTTAATACATGTTGTTTGCTGTATTTTGCCGCTACAAATTACACTACAGATAGGCCAGGCGCGGTATCTCACACGTGTAATCCTAGCACTTTGGGAGGTGCGGCGGGCAGATCTTTTAGCTCAGGAGTTCGAGACCAGCCTGGAAAACATGGTGAAACCCCATCTCTACAAAAAATACAACAACAGTAAAAATAATTAGCTAAGCATGATACACGTGCCTGTAGTCTCAGCTACTTGGGAGGCTGAGGTAGGAGGACAGATTGAGTCTGGGAGGCAGAGGTTGCAGTGAGCCGAGATGGTGCCACTGCATTCTAGCCTGGGTGGCATAGTGAGACCCTATCTGAAAAAAAAAAAAAAAGTCTCACAAATAATATTCTTTAAATACCTCTGTGCAAATCAACAACTACATCTATAGTAAATATCTTTTTGCCAATTTGTATCTTTTGAATTTTGTACTATATACATTTTTTAAACTATTCAATAAATAGGGTCATATTTTCATTGCAAAATGAAAGATGCATTTTAATGAAATTGAAGTTAAAGAAGAAAGAAATGAAAAAGAAAGAAGTTCAAAGGGATGAGGAGAAGAAAAGACAGATGGTAATATGACTGTCCTCTAAAGGAAATGGTTTCTGTTGCTAGGTTTTTCCACTTAGCTAAAGTCATCAGCTGTTTGATGAATAGACAATAGTTTGGATTAAAAAATATTTAAAATTCTTTTATTGTTCACATTCAAGATTTAAACATGAAGGCCATTAGAAATGAATAGGGGCAAATCAAGAGTTCTAGGGCACTGGAAGCATGTCAGGAGAAAAGACCTCTGTTTCCTTCTTATTACAAAATGCTCTCTGAACAGGCCCTCCTCATTCTAAAGATGTATGAGTCTGATTTTATTAATATCATTGAAGTAACTTTCCCTTTCATTTCTCCTAAAGTATCCCTCGAGCCAATGAAAAAGCAAATGAATTGCAAGGTTATTTTTCTTAAAATAGGACCATCGTCTTTTGAAATACACAGGATTTTAATTTTAAAATACTTTGTGAATTATATTTTCCCCATGATTGCCTTCAAACAGAGGGTACTTTTTCTCATAATCATTATTGGGAACAGTGTGGCTACGAGATCAAAGAAATAATATCATAGAAATAATATGTCACATTTACGTAGAAATAATAATCCTGGAATTGTTTTCTTTTTCTTTTTTGAGACAAAATCTAACTCTGTCATCACCTAGGCTGGAGTGAGGTGATGCTACCCCAGCTCACTGCAACCTCCACCTCCTGAATTTAAGTGATTTTTTTCTGCCTCAGCCTCCTGAGTAACTGGGATTACAGGTACCTGCCACCACACCCAGCTAATTTTTGTATTTTTAGTAGAGAGGGGTTTCATCATGTTGGCCAGACTGGTCTCGAACTCCTGCCCTCAAGTGATCCGCCCACCACAGCCTCCCAAAGTGCTAGGATTATAGGCATGAGCCACCGCGCCAGACCCCAAATTTTATTTTTTATTCATATATTCTCCACTGTCTCAGCTGGCATTAATGAATCTTAAGTTTGCTTTTACTGTATCATAATTTTGAAAGTGCCTAGTAAGGAGGGGTTATTAGTGTCCTGATGTATTTCAGAAGCAGCAAACTAATCATCTTTGAATAGTGGTAGATATCTTTTCAGGTAGAAAAATTTCATCAGTAATGCCAATAAGTACAAATATAGGCTCTAATGATTTCTTTTAATATTTCTGGAAAGTAATTAGATTATATATCTGTGATAGAATATAATACTAAGTATTAGACTGTAGAAGGCTTTGTTTCAAGGTGGTTTATTCATTCATGTTACTACCTACCTCAATCATAACATCAGTAAGACCTCAATGATCTAAATATTTGGGCTTTGTAAATCCTGAATTACTTAGGTCTCTGCTACTGGAAAGTGAATATCAAAAATTGTCTATTTAAGAAAAAAAGTAGTTTTTATAATCTGAGTCGTATACTGGACCCATAGAGATCATTTTAAATGTAGCAATGAATAGAGATTGGATAAAAACAATGTTAAAAATTCTTTTCTAATTCAAGTTCAAATTTTAAAAATTTGAAAGGCATGTTTTAGTGTATAAATAATAGAAAAGTTGTTGACAGTTGTTTGTTTTGCAGTCAGCAAGTGGTAAGAATCTTTGGAGAGACAACAGGAGAATAAAAGCCGAAACATGCGTATATACAAAATGAAATATGAATGTGAGCTTAGAGGCTACACGTGGTCTCTCGGATACTAGAACTATCTTTCTTGCCTTGGACCAGCTAACGTGCCTTGGTTGCGCCAGTGTACTGAGCCCTGTGGACATCACCTCATTAAATATTCAATAAATGTTATTTTTTTCCTATTGCCTTTCTCTCTTCTATATGAGAATCTGTAAGTATTCGCCGAAGGCTTTTCTTTTGCTTTTGTGAATACCTTCACACCATGTTGTATTCTGTCTTGGTTAGTTAAAAAAAAAAAAAAAAGTTGGCCAGGCACAGTGGCTTGCACCTGTAATCCCAGCACTTTGGGAGGCCGAGGCAGGCGGATCACCTGAGGTTGGGAGTTCGAGACCAACCTGACCAACATGGAGAAACCCGTCTCTACTAAAAATACAAAATTATCCGGTCATGGTGGCACGCGCCTATGATCCCACCTACTCGGGAGGCTAAGGCAAGAGAATTGCTTGAACCCGTGAGGCAGAGGTTGCAGTGAACCGAGATTGCGCCACTGCACTCCAGCCTGGGTGACTGAGGGAGACTCTGTCTCAAAATAAATAAATAAATAAAAGGTTAATTATATTTCTTGTTATGAGACAAATGAAGTATTTCACATTTTCCATTGAGGATAGCATGTAACGCAGGTTTTTCTCTTATAGGTTGTGGGACTGGAAAATATCTTAAAGTGAACAGCCAGGTACATACCGTGGGCTGTGACTACTGTGGGCCACTGGTAGAGATTGCCCGGAATAGAGGATGTGAAGCCATGGTATGTGACAACCTTAATCTCCCCTTTAGGGATGAGGGCTTCGATGCCATCATCTCCATAGGAGGTAAGGCAGCCAGATCACACATTCACCCTTTGCCATGAGAATAATTGACCCGGTTTAGTCCGTTCTCATGAGTCAACATCCGTTCTGTGTAGAAATGTCAATGTAATTTATTTTATCTAATTTAAAAAAATTGTTTCAACTACTTGACTGATTTGACTTAACTCCAAAATGTATTTATGGCACATATGATTGTTTTAACTATTTAAACCTTCAACTTGGTATTGCAGTTTTTTTATGATTCATTCCAATTTCTTTTGAGTAAGAAAGGATTAGAGGAATCTTACTCATTGAAAATAGCACTTCATTATATTTAAATGAAGCCAGATTAATCCAAAGCAAAGTAGATTTTTAGAAGTTATATTACCATTTTTTAGGCCAAAATAGTGGCCTTTGTTAACAGAGAATTCTAGGGCTAACAAACCAAATGTCACCTGGACCAATCTGCCACTCACTGGTACTCAAGTTCATGGAGAAGGTAGGTCCCATCTGGTCTTGGATTGCATTGTTTTTATAATGCCACTCTGCTCATTTGCTGCCAGAGATCGTTCATGAGTCTAGGGAATGTGTTTCTCATATCCTCCCAACAAGTGTGACCAGAAAACACACATGCCAAAAAATGGGGGGAAAAAATCCATGCCTGAAATACATGCAGGTAAGGAATACATGACATCTGCCATATTTAAATATGCAGGGAAACTTGATATTTAATGGAATCCTATGACAAGGTTTTTTTTGTTTGTTTGTTTTGCAATGGAAAAATATTTTGCAAGGCAAATTACTTGTCCCAATACACTCTTAAAAATCAACCTATTTGGCCGGGTGCAGCGGCTCATGCCTGTAATCCCAACCCTTTGGGAGGCCGAAGTGGGTGTATCAGGAGGTCAGGAGATCGAGACCAGCCTGGCCAACATGTGAAACCCCATCTCTACTAAAAATACAAAAATTAGCCGGGCATGGTACAAGCGCCTGTAGTCCCAGCTACTCAGGAGGCTGAGGCAGGAGAATCGCTTGAACCTGGAAGGCGGAGGGTGCAGTGAGCTGAGATCACGCCACTGCACTCCAGCCTGGATGACAAGAGTGAGACTCATCTCAAAAAAATAAAAAAAATAAAAACTATTTGATTAATAAGTTTTATCCAAGAAAGATGATCTTTTATAAAATGGAGTTATTCATAACAAAATTGCAGAATAAGATGATTTGCTCTTTTCCTAAAATAGATGAAAGATTGATTTATCCAACATTAGGTGGGGACTATTTCTTCGTATGCTGAGGGGAGGCAGACCTGGAAGCCATAACCTTGGAACTAGTAAGGACTGGCAAGAGATGGTTGCTATGGAAACTTGCTCTCTGATAGTCTCATTTGCAGTTGAAACTGTTAGATCCATTTTGGTTGTAAGCATTAAGAGGATTGTCTTAGCCTTTGCAGCCTGCTATAGCAAAATACCATAGACTTCGCTTAAACAACAGACATTTATTTCTCACCGTTCTGGAGGCTGGACATCTGAGATCAGGGTGCCAGCAGGGTAAGGTTCTGGTAGGGACCCTCCTACCAGGTTGCAGATGGCTTAATTCTTGCTGCATCATCACGTGAAATGCGGCAGGAGACTGGAAGAAGAAGGGGAGAATGAGAGAGATAGAGCAAGCTCTCTGGTCTCTTCTTATAAATAGGCCATTAAGCCCATAATGGGGGCCCCACTCTCACAACTTCATCTAAACCTCCTAAAGTTCTGCCTCCTAATACTTTCATACTGGGGGTTAGGGCTTCGACATATTGGTCTCAGAGGCCACAAACATTCAGTCTATAACCCGGAGAAAACCTTTTTGAATTAAGCAACACTATACAATGCTTTGAATCTTTAGTGGAAAAAGGTTTTGGCTTGGTCATTCCACTTAACTAGAAATTGGAGAAAGGTCAAAGAAATGGGCCGGGCGCGGTGACTCAGGCCTGTAATCCTAGCACTTTGGGAGGCCAAGGTGGGTGGATCACAAGGTCAGGAGTTCAAGACCAGCCTGGCCAAGAAGGTGAAACCCCGTCTCTACTAAAAATGCAAAAATTAGCCGGGCATGGTGGTGAGCACTTGTAATCCCACTACTTGGGAAGCTGAGGCAGGGAATTG
Organism: Homo sapiens; assembly: GCF_000001405.40. NCBI lineage: Eukaryota > Metazoa > Chordata > Mammalia > Primates > Hominidae > Homo > Homo sapiens. The sequence continues at coordinate 6,210,383 of NW_018654717.1, forward strand.
CTTGAACCCAGAAGGAAGAGGTTGCAGTGAGCCAAGATCATGCCACTGCACTCCAGCCTAAGCAACAGAGTGAGACTCCATCTGAAATAAATAAATAAATAAATAAATAAATAAATAAATAAATAAAATAAAAAGTCAAAGAAATCTGTGGACTGCTTGGTCTTCTTTTGTCTACACTCATTTTATTTTTTATTTTTTTAACTAAACCTTCAAATTGTTATTGGATTTTTTTAATGATTCAAGAATTTTTTATTTTTATTTTTTATTTTTCGAAGCAATGTTTTTTTAGATGTCTTGTTACATCTTGATATTTTATCATTTGTTGTCATTTAACTTTTCAAGTGTACATGTCTCGCCTCCCTAACCTTCAGCATTTAGAATCCGCAGGTTTAGCGTAAAGTGAGACCAATTTTTTTATTGGTCTCACTCTTATCACCCTGGTTGGAGTGCAATGGCAGCCTCTACCTCCTGGTCTCAGGTTATCCTCCTGCCTCAGCCTCCCAAGTAGCTGGGACTACAAGCACACATCACCATGCCTGGCTAATTTTTTCTAATTTTTTTTGTAGAGATGGGGTTGCCATATTGTCCAGGCTGGTCCTGAAGTCCAGGGCTCAACCAGTCCACCTGCCTTGGCCTCCCAAAGTGTTGTGATTACAGGCATGAACTACCACGCCCAGGCTAAATTCCTTGTAGTCTGCAAGGCCACCTATATCCAGACCATTCCACTGAGACACTGGTGAAGGAAGGGGATATAGACCACCTTTCCTATGCTTGGGAAACACTCCATGCTTATCTGGCTAAGTCCTCTATTTTCAGTTTACATCTCATGCCTTGCCCTCAGAGAAAATGGAGCACACCTAGTTACCATCTTCGAATTAAAAATGCTTCCTTGAGTGGAAAACAGCACGCGTTTTTATGATCTGTAACTACGAATTAATGTGATGTGGTTATTTTCAGTTCGAGTTCACATTTAGGACTATATTATGGTAGCCAGGCATGGTGACGGGCACCTGAATTCCCAGCTACTTTGGGAGGCTGGGGTGAGAGGATCCTTTGAGTTCAGGAGTTTGAGTCCAGCCTGGGCAACCTAATGAGAACTTGTCCCTAAAAATCATATGGGTATATATATATGATATATATATATATACATATAACATAAATATAAGGGACCCTGTACCTGAAAATCATATATATAAACATATATAAATATAAATGTGAAATATATATTTATATATATAAAATATAAATGTGAAATATATATTATATATAAAATATAAATGTGAAATATATATTTATATATATAAATATATTTGTGTGTTTATATAACTAGATGAGGCATAAGAGAGATAGTCTATTGAAATTTCTCTTATATGACATATATAAGGACCTATATTATGAGAAATATATATAAATATATAAATATAAATAATATATATAAAAGGAAGTATACTATGAGAAATTTCAATAGACTGTCTCTCTTATGTCCCTATATATTTACTTCTCTATTTAAAGTTCTTATGTTGGCACTTCCTGCTTAACAGGAAGAAATATATAAGTATATATATATTTGCTTTTCCACATCTTTTAATAATAATGTGAGCTTAGCATCATACCTGGTTATGCCTTCATTTTATTGGCATATTAGAAAAAGAAATATTGTTGTACTTACTTTTGGAATAGTCTGATAAACATCCTAGGGAAAAGTGGTGGCACATTAACATAGGAGCAATCAACAATGCCCTTCAGGCTAGTGCTTCTCAACTGGGGGTTACGTTGCTCCTTCCCCCTTTCCCCAGAGGACATGAGCAATGTCTGGAGACATTTTTAATTGTCACAACTGGATATGTTTATGTACGTACGTGTAATATCATCTAGTATGTGGGCCCCCACAATAAAGAATTATACACTTTGGGAGACTGAGGCAGGCGGATCACAAGGTCAGGAGTTTGAGACCAGCCTGGCCAATATGGTGAAACCCCATCTGTACTAAAAATAGAAACTTGGCCGGGCATAGTAGTGCATGCCTGTAATCTCAGCTACTCAGGAGGCTGAGGTAGAAGAATTGCTTGAACCCAGGAGGCAGAGGTTGCAGTGAACCAGGTTCACTGCACTCCAGGCTGCACTCCAGCCTGGGCGACAGAGCAAGACTGCGTCTCAAAAAAACCCCGAATTATCTAGCCCAAAATGTCAATAGTACTGATGTTTAAAAAAAATCTGCTTTATGCTAAACCTGCAGATTCTGAATGCTGAAGTTTAGAGAGGCGAGGCATGTACACTTGAAAAGTTAAATGTCAACAAATGATGAAATATCAAGATGTAACAAGACATTCAAGGAGATCATGTGTAACTTCTCATCTGAATCTGGAATCCAGTAATTGAATTCAACCTACCTACTGTCTGGGCTCTCAGCAGGAAAATACTGCTTTAGGATGCATATATTGAGTACTACTTTTGCCTTTAGGTTGTGATTATGATTTTTTAAACAAAAGGGACTTTAAAAAATTCAACATAGTTTCCAGACATTGATATTTCGGATAAATATATTCTCACTTCCCATTTTAGATACATTTACAATGTTTCTTAATAGAACATGTATGTGTATGCATGTCTAATACATTTAATATGTAATGAAGTAATCATTTGTAGGCTTTTTTTTTTTTTTTTTTTGAGACAGTGTCTTACTCTGTCACCCAGGTTGGAGTACAGTGGCATGATCTTGACTCACTTCAACCTCTGCCTCCTGGGCTCTAGAGATTCTCTCACATCAGTTTCCTGAGTAACTTGGACCATAGACACACACCACCACGCCCAGCTAATTTTTTTTATTTTTTATTTTTTTGGTAGAGATGGGGTTTCACTATGTTGCCCAGGCTGGTCTTGAACTCCTGAGCTCAAGTGATCCGCCCACCTCAGCCCCTCAAAGTGCTGGAATTACAGGTGTGAGGCACCATCCGTGGCCAGCTATTTTTTTCTTAAGAACATTTGGCTTAAAGGCTGTTACTTATTACACTTTAAGTATAAATATAAAACATAATATGAACGACTGATATTCCTGGGTGAAATTATGCTGTTACATCTGATAAGAAAGGAATGGTCACTTAAGCATTAATAAATGAATAAATAAGGACTTTCTTAAAAAAAAAAAAAAAAAAACTTGGCCAGGCGTGGTGGTTCATGCCTGCAATCCCAGCACTTTGGGAGGCTGAGGCAGGAGGATGGCTTGAGCCCAGGAGTTCGATACCAGCCTGGGCAACATGGCAAAACTCCATCTCTACAAAAAATACAAAAATTAGCTGGGTGTGGTGATATATACCTGTGGTCCCAGCTACTCAGGAGGCTGAGAGAGGAGAATCACCTGAACTCAGAAGGCAGAGGCTGCAGCAAGCTGAGATGGAGCCACTACATCCTGGGTGACAGAGCAAGACCCTGTCTCAAAAAAAAAAAAAAACGACAACAAAGAAAAAAACTTACTTTGAAGTCCAATCAAATTCTGAATGTTGATGTATGAGTCTACTGAAAAGAGACCATTTTATTAAAATAGTCCTGTTTTAAAGGTTTTTTTGTCTTATACCACCCCCCAAAAAATAGTCAATTATCATTATCTACAGTAGTTATGTTCTATAAAGTCTCTGTGAACACTGAATTAATAAATTCAGTGGAATATAGAATCCCAAGAGGCATACAGCGGTTTCTGTGAGCCTCTGATCACAACATTTTTGTCAGCTGAACAACATATTGTCTTGTTTTATGTGTGTTTCTGTTTAAAGACAGTTTATTTCATTTTAAACTCATACCAACAGCACTGCAACTCATGCCTGAACGAAGTTATCTAACTCGTATTTTCTCCATAAGGTGCATCACAGTCTTCCAAGGCTTAGAAACACTAAATAATACCTCAACACTATGTTTGGAGGCGATTTCAAATAGCAAAATCACCAACAAGAAGCACAAACATGCAGAAAATGTGGCACAAAATAGATCACAAAAAGAACCCTTGATTACAGTATTAGAGTTGAAATAAGAAGAAAGAACATTACTTTGTTTCATCTCAGCTGGGAATATGTGCACTGAGAGGCTCAAGTTGCCCATCTGCATTCGTCAGTGAATGACCATGAAAGTCTGGAGTATTGATTTGGGGGATTACAATTTGGGGAGTATTGATTTGGGGGCGATTTGTTATCAAGTGGGCAAATTCGCAAATACAGAATCCATGAATAATGAAGATGGATTGTATTTAGAAAATACACCCATAGAAGACGCTCTAAAGTGAATTAGGTGCAAGTTATGGGAGATACATACATATGGGAGATACATTTATATGTGTGTGTATATATAGATACATATATTTGAGACAGCGTCTCACTCTGTTGGCCAGACTGGACTGCAGTGGCATGATCATGGCCCACTGCAAACTCGACCTCCCTGGCTCAAATGATCTTCCCACTTCAGCCTCCTGAGTAGCTGGAACTACAGGCACACACCAATGCACCCAGTTAATTTTTTTATATTTTTTGTAGAGATGGGGTTTTGCCATGTTGCCCAGGCTGGTCTCAAACTCCTGGCCTCAAGAGTTCCGCCCACCTCAGCCTCCCAAAGTGCTGGGATTACTGGCATGAGCCACTGCACACAGCACGGGAGATATTAATGGCCCTTAGTAACCGTGGATAAATGTGAGCATTAGCAGTGGATTGAGTCTTTCTCAGTCCTGACTGCTATACCTCCTTAGCTTAGTAATCAGGACTCTACTTCTAGAAAGGTATGCTTTCAAATGAGCCATATTAAAGGACTCTTCTTTTCGGGAGTGGGTGGCAGCAGTCTGAGGCCAGGAGGGTAGAGTGATTGTTTAAAGATCACAAAACTAGTTACCGAAAGTTCTAGCAGAATGAAATACACTGGTGTGTTGTTCTTCAAACCCATTTCACCCTCACACCTCTGGCTTTCTTACATTACTGCATGGTAGAGATACCAAGGTTTGTGTGATGTTGATAGGAATGAAAACTTGATTGCTAACGATACAAAATGTATCTGTTGAGTGATATTTCTTTACTAGTTTGATCTGTACACAACCCCATTTTTGATATTTAATATGCCTCTGTGGAAGGTAAACTACAAAGATTAGTTTGCCTAAAATCACCACTAACAGTTGGATTATTTTGACCCTTAGAGCAACCCTCTCAGGCTCTGTCTCTGCCCTCACAGCTCATATCAAAACAAGAATCTTCCAATTTTGCTTGAGATTAATTTCCTCACTGATATATTGGTGCATCTATGTAGGGAAAAATAATTTGAAGTTTTCTCTTGACACAGTACTGTGATTATACTCCCTCAAGAACTAACAGACTAGCACTTTTATTGGCAGATAAAATTATGCCTAATAACACACTTATGACTTGATAAAGGCAGTCTTACTTGAAGCTCATTTCGACTTTGCAGGAATTGGAAGTAAAATGATGAAGTATACATTGATTTTTTAAATAGACACAACTATTTTATATCTTATTATAAGCAACCAATTGGACTTGGGGTGAGCTGCTGATCTTTGCATTATCTAGACAGAGAAACAATCTTTAACATATTTCTGTACTTCTCAGCTATTACTTTAGAAGTACAAATTGTTCATTAAAACAATGAATTACCTCATAGAATTCAAAGGGAACATTTAATATCTCTTTCAAATTTTAGTAATTCACATTGACCATCCTTCTGGTTAAAAAAAATCCATAGTATTTTGGAACTGGAAGAGACTTTATGGATTTATGGACTCTAGACTTCTTCTTATAGAGGAAGAAACTTAAAATCTGTAGAACTTAAATATCTTGCCCAAGATCAGCCATCTAATATTAAAAGTACAGGAGCCAAAGCTAAAATTTATGTTTCTCCTAAAATCAGTCCTGTGTTATTTCTGTCATCATCGTTGCCATGGAGGAAATAAGAAGGTTTCATTAGATGTCAAAATTTCATCCTTGTTATATGGTAAACACCAGTGTATACGTGTGTGGGTTTATGTGTGTGCATACACACTGAGATCTAGTTTTGTCTTTTTCAGTCATACATCATTTTTCTACAAAACAAAGAAGAATCAGAGCAATAAAAGAAATGGCCAGGGTCTTAGTTCCCGGAGGCCAACTGATGATTTACGTTTGGGCAATGGAACAAAAGAACCGTCGCTTTGAGAAGCAAGACGTGCTTGTTCCATGGAACAGGGCCCTGTGTTCCCAGCTCTTCTCAGAGTCCAGCCAGTCTGGGAGGAAGAGGCAGTGTGGATACCCAGAAAGAGGCCATCCCTACCATCCTCCTTGCTCTGAGTGTAGCTGTTCTGTTTGTTTTAAAGAGCAGGGTGGTTCAAAACGGTCCCACAGTGTGGGCTATGAACCTGCTATGGCAAGAACCTGTTTTGCAAATATTTCTAAGGAAGGCGAGGAAGAATATGGATTTTACAGCACATTAGGAAAATCGTTTCGTTCCTGGTTTTTCTCCAGATCTTTGGATGAATCGACTCTGAGGAAGCAAATTGAAAGAGTAAGACCCTTGAAAAACACAGAAGTTTGGGCCAGTAGCACTGTAACAGTCCAGCCTTCCAGACACTCTAGTCTAGACTTTGATCACCAAGAGCCATTTTCAACAAAAGAGCAAAGTTTAGATGAGGAAGTGTTTGTGGAATCTTCTTCTGGAAAACACTTGGAGTGGCTGAGAGCACCAGGCACTCTGAAACATTTAAATGGAGACCATCAAGGGGAAATGAGGAGAAATGGAGGGGGAAATTTTCTGGATAGCACTAATACTGGTGTGAATTGTGTGGATGCAGGCAACATAGAAGATGATAATCCTTCTGCTAGTAAAATATTGAGAAGGATTTCTGCAGTCGATTCCACAGATTTCAACCCAGATGATACAATGTCTGTCGAAGATCCACAGACTGATGTTTTGGACTCCACAGCCTTTATGCGCTACTACCATGTGTTTCGAGAAGGGGAGCTCTGCAGTCTGCTCAAGGAGAATGTGTCAGAGCTCCGTATCCTGAGTTCTGGGAATGATCATGGTAACTGGTGTATCATTGCAGAGAAAAAGGGAGGTTGTGATTGATTGGATCCTTTTAGACAACTCCTCCAAAAGATGAACCACATTCTTTTCTCTTGGTTTGATATGGTTACCTGAATTTGCATTCAGTGTTATTTGTTAATCCATTTACGCTTTGGTCTGCAGAGACTATTAATTATTTGGTTGTTTTTGTTTTCATGTTTGAATAAGCACAGATTCTGGCATTGAAAGCACTTGACAAAGGGTATTTGTGCTTAAATGTTAATATAAAAGATCTGAAGAAGCAACAGAAAGTACCCTTCAGTACACCTCAGACTTTTTTTTAACCCCAGAGAGATAAAATACATGTATAGTGTTTTTCAGTATTACACATTGATTTAAAAAGATTATGCTGTTAAATAATCTTTTAAAACGGTATTTTTATAAAGTGAGGGGATAATTTCTGGTTCTCAGGTTATAACTGAGAGCAGTGTGCAAGATAATAGGTAAATTTGATCCATTGCACAGATATACTTTGAACCATGTGATGAGTTATCTTGTTGCCAAGGCCTTGCTTCTACTTAAAGTTTTCAGAAAACTGAGTGACAGTGGAGAGAACCAAGAAGTTTTACAAGGACTTTACTAAATTATAAGCAAACTTGCTTCAAAATAAGTTGACATGTGATAATAAGGTTTTCAATGTAGCCCAGGAGGTTTTTAAAGGCACTGTTAGGCTGAGCATGGTGGCTCATGCCTGTAATCCCAGCACTTTGGGAGGCCAAGGCAGAAGCATCACTTGAACCCAGGAGTTCAAGAATAGCCTGGGCAACATAGCAAGACCCCATCTCTATAAAAATTAGCAAGATGTGGTGGTGCATGCCTGTCATCCAAGCTACTCAAGAGACTGAGGCAGGAGGATCACGTGAGCCCAGGAATTCAAGGCTGCAGTGAACTATGATTGCATCACTGCACTGCAGCCTGGGCAACATAGCAAGACTCTGTCTCAAAATAATAATAATAATAATAATAAAGGCATTGTTAGCTTGTAAGGAGTGGAGTATGTAGGTAGTAGGAGTTATATGCAAGTACCCAAGTGGTATTCTTCCAATCTTATTAGAAGCATGAATATTCAAGATTGATATTACTATTGCTTATTAGCAAGATTGTTATCAATCATGCTTATTAGAAGGATGAATATCCAAGACCAAGATTGACTAATGATGAGTCTGCATCAAGAACTAGGCATTTCTTCTGAGTTGACGGACTCTTTAGGAAAGGAGAATCTAAGTGAAGCACTGATTTTAGCTCTGAGAACAAACAAATTAAGGTACAGCATAGTTAGCCTTGGTAGAGGTATGACTTGGATTTGCTGTATCCTTTAAAATAGTATCTGGGCATTTATTTTATTGAAGGTGACTACATTTTATTAGTTATATTAGGAATTTAGGTAGAATCAACTTCTACTGATTACAGGTTGAATTTCTGTCACTTTGTAGAGAAACGAATAGACTGGACACTGTGTGGTCACTGTTTAGATTTGCCCATGGGTCTGTTTAAATCTATGTCATGGATCCTGAGACACAAATATAATTAAGACAGGTCTAGAGACAGGAGAAGCAGAAATAAGTTGACCCAGGAGTACAGTCTCAAGTAGTTCATTAATGAGAAAATTGACATCTGACAAGAGTCTTTTTACTTTATGCTGGATGAAAATCCAAATCTTGTTTTATTTTTTCCACTAAAAGTGACTAAAATAATAACGAATTTCATTTGTTCTTGGGTTCTTTTTTCCTTTAATGATTGTGCTATAACTTAAAATAATGATGTTACCTTTGAACAAACTTAAAGAAATATTTTTAAAGCGTATCTGAAAACGATTGATGTTTATAACTCTCTTTTGGCTTCAAAATAAGATTGTGTTATCACCATTTTGGTAGATGAGGTTGTCTGGTGAAAATGATGCATATGAGTTGTACTGTTCAGTGTACATCCTGCAGTAGTGGATGATTGAAAACATATATAAGTGGAGTATAAATTAAAAATTAATTTGGTTTCTTCTATTTCTTTTTTTTTTTTTTTTTTTTTTTGAGACAGAGTCTCGCTCTGTCGCCCAGGCTGGAGTGCACTGGCGCGATCTCGGCTCACTGTAAGCTCCGCCCTCCGGGTTCACGCCATCCTCCTGCCTCAGCCTCCCAAGTAGCTGGGACTACTGGCACCCACCACGACGCCCGGCTGTTTTTTTGTATTTTTAGGAGAGACGGGGTTTCACCGTGTTAGCCAGGATGGTCTCGATCTCCTGACGTCGTGATCCACCCGCCTCGGCCCCCCACAGTGCTGGGATTACAGGCGTGAGCCACCGAGCCCGGCCTGTTCCTTTTATTTCTTAATTCAGGACACTAAACCATGACTGCAAGGGATTTCCTTGGTAAAAAGAAAAGATTCTCAGAGTCAAAATGTTCTTACAACTCGGGCTTGACGGCCTTTGAATTATGAATGGATTGTTCCTCTCTCTGAAGCCTATTGTCACATGGGTTTTTAATCCTGGCCTTGCTGCTAGAAATCTGTGCTTGAAGTCCTCTCTTTCTGCTGGTAGCCTACCAGTTAAAAGTCAAGACTTGGTGGAACTCAGTTTACCAGACTCTTTAGCCTTTGAGCTAAACTGTCTGAGCAACCTCTTAGATGTGCACACACCACTTTGTATGAAAGGGTTCTCTAGAACGGTTCTTTGGAGAGAAATATTTTCATGTACGTTTGACAGGGGTGTAAATAAAGCATGCTGACTAATAAGTCTTTTACTCTTCATCTAATGAACATAAGAATCTATGCATCCAGATATTATTTTGTATACAAATATTTAATTTGGTGATTGATAATCTCTCTTTGGGGTAGTCACATGGAAAGCTCTTTTAAATTTAACTTCCGCCTTTGGATTTTTTTTAAAAAGCCATTGAAGAGCAAAACTAATGTAAACGTCTTGATCATTTAAAAAGCTTGCTTGTCCTCGAAAGGAAACACAGGTCATCAGTGAGTATAAACGTAGACAGTTGATTTGTGAATGCTGTCGGCCTCAACTTGCTTGATGATAGATTCTACTGACCTAGCTGGAGTAATCTGATCACTTACTTCCTTATTAATACTAGATCACACAGTATCTTTCTTATTCCTTCTTCTTTACTTACTGGCATCAGCACAGAGTCCCACTATCTGAAATAGAAGGGAGAGTTTGGGGGTTTATTGGAGGAGTCTTAAAAACTTGGTTGGCAGCTGGGTACGATGACTCACACCTGTACTCCCAGCACTTCAGGAAGCTGAGGTGGGTGGATCAGCTGAGGTCAGGAGTTTGAGACCAGCCTGACCAACATGGTGAAACCCCGTCTTTATTAAATACAAAAAATTAGCCAGGTTGGTGGCGCATGCCTGTAATCCCAGCTACTTGGGAGGCTGAGGCAGGAGAATCGCTTGAACCTGGGAGGCGGAGGTTGCAGTGAGCCGAGATTGTGCCATTGCACTCCAACCTGGGCAACAAGAGTGAAACTCCATCTCCAACAAAACAAAACTTTGCTGGCTTCCTGATGCCTCACTGTCTATTTGAGGAATTCCACAGAATCTTCAAAGGATTTGGGGGAAAGCGCATTAACATGGACAAAGGATGGAATCAAAATAATGTTATAGTGAGAATCATTCAAGCACCTATTTAAATTTTTTCCAATTGCCAGTATAGTGATGATATGACACCAGCATATCAAAGTAACTAACAAACTAGCTACACAAACGTCTTGGAGTTTGGTTTCGTTCTCTTTTCTCATCATAGATCTCCGTGCAGAATAGTGCTAATTCTTATTTCTCGTTTGCCTTTCTATTTCCTTCCAAATTCTACATGCCAGTAATTCCTCTGTCTTTTAAGTGACCATCAATTCAATAGGCAAAAATTTGGAGTAATCCAGAGAAAAAACCATCCAAATATAAACCAGCTAGGAACATGAATGCCCCTGATTATTAATGGCCAAAAAAAAAGCACTGGTGGATTTTAAATTAAATTAATACATATATACGAGTTTGGAGGAGAACAGAAGTTCTAACTCAGTACTTGAACTTGGTGGGGGAGGGCACAGGTTAAATATGAGCTGTGAGCCCCCAGTTTTGGAGGAAGGAGGAAATGGGAACCAACCACCAGACAAGCAGCTGCAGTCTAAGAAAAACAAATTAGGGCAGGCCTCAGCATCTCTTTCCTATTACATAGAAAATCTGAAATGAGAATAGCTGTGAACTTTTCTAAATATGCAACATTCAACTATCGCAAGGACAAAAAACCAAACACCGCATGTTCTCACTCATAGGTGGGAATTGAACAATGAGAACACATGGACACAGGAAGGGGAACATCACACACTGGGACCTGTTGTGACCCCGCTGAGGGAGTTCCTCTTGCCCTCTACCCCCGGGGCTTGTATATAGATTATAAATATATAAGGGGGAAAGGGGTGGGGGGGAGGGGTTGTGCGGCTGGGGCCTCACTTCCCCTCCTTCCCCTTCTCCTGGTCCCCTGTCCCAGGGGCTGTTTGTTAAAAAAGAGTAATAAAGGATTTTTGTTTTTAAAAAAAGCAACGTTCATTAATTTATATGCAGTCCTCACCACAGCCCTCCAAGATAAGTACACTTATTGTTCCCATTTTGCAGATGAGGAAAACTGAGGCAGAAAGAAATTAAATTGCTTAAGGTTACACACATAGTAGGTATCACACATTTAGTTAGAGGCAGAGCTGGGATTCAAACCCAGGTCTGGCTCCTAGTCTCTGCTCTTAACCACAACACCATATACTCCCACCCCTGGGCCCAGCTCATGTGCTTGGCGGAGTATTAGAGCCTTTCAAGGTAAGTGTGATTATCCCCTTTCCAAATGAGCTTTGGAAAAGTTTAAGCAAAGATTACACAGCTAGACAATAATTCAATAGTAGTCTCTTACATATTTTCCCTTTTATCTTTTTTTCATTTGTGAATCTGTTTCGATTTGATTTGAATTAAAAAATAGTTCTTGGTTGCAAAATATTCTGGGACCACTTTTCTCCAACTCTTCAACCTTTCAACAATTATATTATTGTTTTCCCATTTTATAAGTAAGGCAACTGAGGACTATTCAGATATTTCATTCACTCCATTTGTTTACTAAGCCCTGCTGTGTGCTGGATACACAGTCTGCTGTGTGCTGGATACATATGATACAAGGTAATGACTATCTGGCATCTTGAAGGTACCCAGAATATTAGAATTAACTGACCCACAGGTGCCAAGCTGAAACATTCTTCGTATTCCCTGTGTGCCTATTACCAAGTTATATTGTTTAGTTTGAGGAAAACAACAAACAACCCTCCCTTAGAGAATCATGATGCATATTAGCATATTTAAGGAGTACCCTAAAGCTTGGACTTAATCTAGCTTACCCTAGACGTATTAACATCCTATAGCGCACGTGTTCTGTGGGATATATTTCAGAAAATAATATGTCTTACAGAATAAATGCAGACTCCTTTGGATGGCATTCAGGCCCTTCATAAACTAACTCTGAATTATTTTTCAGTCTCATTTCCTGCAGTTGCACCCGATTTTTTCTGTTCTGCAATCTGCTATTTTAGACAAAGCTTTCATAAGAAATTACATAATGACAAGTAATTCCCACATTCCCTAGATATATACTTGGATTTCAAATGCCATAATTGTAATCTTTCTCCAAAGAAAAATGCACGATACAGGCTTCATTCCATCAAGAGGCATATGAGGTAAGCGTTATTATACACCCGTCCAGCAGATGGGAAAACCACGGAAGTGGGAGGGAATCAAGAAGCATTAACAGACCCTCCACCAACCGTAATGCTTAACTCCTCTTGTTCCAATCTTAACTCAAAATTATGATTATTTTGATTATTTAATGATTGTTTTGATAGTATAAACTCCATATCTGCAACCTCAGTTATCTACAACACTGAAGTGCAAACATTTAAAAAGATCTCTCACCAAACAAGGATTGAAATTGTATTGCAAATGAAAGAGCTCAGCATGAGAGCACAATCAGAAACTGAAGAGAGTTGATCAAAGAGAAGATTCTAGCTGAATTGTTCTATTTTTAATTCCCCAGGGATCCTACGGTCTATGACACATTAACAGGGGTGTGAATCATTTCAGTTACATCACATACTCTGTCCTCTTGCGGTGCGGGTCTTCCCCAGTTGATTATACACAGATAATCAATGACTTTATTTGGGAGGGATTGGAGCTATAGAATAATCTATCTTACCAATCTGATGGACCATTTGTAAGAGCTGTTTGTCAAATTGGATCTTCATTTGACAAATAAATACTAGAGCTGCAGAAAGTAAAGTTTACTCCAACCCAATTAATCATTAATACATCCACAGGAAAAATACATTTTCTCCACATGGAATATTGATTTTTCTATGAATATTACCTCCACATTGAAAAACGAGTGAGTCACTGCAGTTAAGCCAGTGTACCTTGATGTTGAATTCCCTGAAGAAGGTACAATTATATTTACATTCCCTTAGCAAGAATTTGGCTAAGTGATAAGCACTTTTCTCTTTTCTTTTCTTTTTTTTTTTTTTTTTTTGAGACAGTGTCTCACTCTGTCACCCAGGCTGGAGGGCAGTAGTGCAGTCTCAGCTCATTGCAACCTCTGCCTCCCAGGTTTAAGCAATTCTCGTGCCTCAGCCTCCTGAATAGCTGGGATTACAGGAACATGCCACCACTCCTGGCTAATTTTTGTATTTTTTTTTAAGTAAAGACAAACTTTCACCATGTTGGCCAGGCTGGTCTTGAACTCCTGACCTCTTACGAGCTAATCATACCACTTCTAACTAGATTTTCTATTAATGTACAAGGAGGGACTCCACTACTAAAGTTTGTTTTACTTCTCTGGTTATTTACACAAAACGCTGGCAATACATTAAGGCTCACTAATGTGGACCTAAGTGAGTTTCTGAGAGGCTTTGAATATGTATGTGCAAACTGTCCTATTTTCTTTATATGCTCTCTTAAATATGTATGTCTGTAAATATATATATAACACACATATATATATATTCCTAGACATCTAGTGTTTGCTGTCATTAGTGACCAAGAAAAAGTAGTTCTTTTGTGCACGCGTGAATACATCAAATTAGCAATTACCATAGAAATGTATTTCATTGAATAAATAGCTTTTGTTTGTTTGTTTGTTTGTTTGTTTCAGGGAAATTTAGAACAATTATTAGATGTTATTGTGCCTCTTCTCGTGTTGATACGTGTATTTGGGTCAAAAGTGCAAAAACTTTTTTCTACAATGTACAGTTATTTTGACTTTTCCCAGGGGAAGCTAGCAATAGTTTTAAAAGCACAAAGTGATGTAAAATATTTTGACTTTTATAATAATGCGAAGTAGTTTTATTTGCATTAATCAATAATGTTCAGGATCTTTTTGTAGTAAGTATATTTTAAATGGTGTAATTTGTGTGTTTATGATATGTATTCAATTATTTAAGTTAAGTATCAGTGTATTTTTAAAAAGTGTTCCCAGGTGAACAAAAGTTTGCTTTTCTTCACCATTCTGTACAGGACAAGCATTATTCAGTTCACATAGTCAGCTCTCACTACACTTCAACAGAACGGGGCAAGTTCGTATTTGAATTCTGTTATATTTATCTAAGGGAAGCAAAATTAACCTTTTAATAATAGATTATCTTTAATGGTTATTAAAAGAATGTTATTGACCAAAAAGACATATTTTGAGATTAATAAAGATGTATTAGATTATCCAAAAGTGGATGTGTGCAAATGTGGTCCTAATCTAGAAATGATGTCATTTTTGTATGTTGCTTGGGAGGTAGGGAAGTTTGTTCTCTTTCCTGACCTGCTCCATCTGCAGCTTGTCAGCTCATTACCAGCATGGGGGTGTGAAGCAAGGGAGGATTTGTGCCCACCCTGCTGTGGCTCTCATGCCACTCAGAGGGGATGCAATCTTGCAGCAGATGGTGCCCTGGCATGGGGCAGCTTGACGGCTCCTCACCTGTGATGGAAGAAGATACTCCATCTCCCCGAGCATCAGATTGGCCCTCAGGTGGCTGCTTGAAAGACAAAAATGATGACAAATAAAATACACTCTGTGCTGACCTTTTGACAAGAATCAGTGAGACCTCAGTCCTGTGCTTCGTACTCTGCCAGAAACCTCCCAGTTTAAAAACATTGCTAATTATTGTCTTTAGAAGCCATCCCTTCTTCCATCTT
The DNA here is from genome assembly GCF_000001405.40 of Homo sapiens. Classification (NCBI taxonomy): domain Eukaryota; kingdom Metazoa; phylum Chordata; class Mammalia; order Primates; family Hominidae; genus Homo; species Homo sapiens. Next base: position 6,225,671 of record NW_018654717.1, read on the forward strand.
CATGCTCCTTTTCTATTTTTGAAATATCTAAGCATAAATTTAGCTTTAAAATGATATACTTAACAGATGTATAGTGGGTTTTACAGTTTTCTCAATGGGTGAAATCAGAAGGAAAGTGTCAACGTCAGAACACTTCACTCCCCACCCCATCCCGGATGCAGGGCACAGAAGATAATCCCCGTGCAAGTGCACGTGTGTGCAAGGAAAAGCAGCAGATGCTTGGGATACCAGAAACCTTGGGAGCCACTGACTCCGAGAAGGAGTGACTTGCAAAGCCAAGAACCAGATCCATATGCTTCTTTCTGCATTCCTCCACACACACCTGTGTTTGCATTCCTCCAGGTAGCTGTCCTATGCATCCATCCAGATCTTTGTCACACTGCAGCCCACTCAGGTCCCATCGTCAAAGAAATGCCCCGATCCCACAGCTCCATGTTGATCTTCTCCTCCTTCACCATACGCCCTTTGCATTTAGGGTGTTTTACAGCACTACTCCTTTTACACCTTTACAATTTAGCAATTAAAAAACCATTCTGCATCATCCACAATTTTTCCCTTATGTGTGTACCAATTTTTTGTTAAGAGAGACAGTTGACTAAGGCCATTCCAGCTCCGGTCACTTTTCCACCTACCACAGTCATCCCTCCACCACCTGGGATCCACCTCTGTAGATTCAAGCAATATTTGAAAAAAGGAGATTATGTCTGGGCTAACACGTACAGACATTTTCTCTTGTCATTATTCCTTAAACAATAGAGTACAACAACCATTTACACTGTGTGATGTATTATAAGGAACCTGAAAATGATATAATGTATAAGGGAGGATGTCTGTCAGTAATATGCAAATGCTATGCATCATTTTCATTTCAGGGACTTGAGCATCCATGGATTTGGTATCCGAGGGCGTCCTGGAACCAACCCCCCACGGATATTGAGGGACCACAGTATTTTTATCCTCCATGTCACCCCATCCCTGACCTCCAGAAACAAACAATCATTTGCCATTTTAAAGGACCTACACTAAATGAGCAACAGAAGAGCTCTCCCACCCACCACCGACTCCATGCCTGTTTTCAGCATTGTAGGGAGGAAGAGTCCCGGCCCTGGCTGATGGCTCTCAGCTCCTGGGATCAGGTGGCAATGGAGGGTCATGTCTCGGCTTCATTGACTTCTTGCATCGTAAGGCTCCTCTTATGAGACAACCTTTCCTCTCAGGCCCTTAGGTCCAAGTCCCCTCTCTCAGCCTTCTCTGAGACCTCAGGTGTGAAGAATATGTTTTTATTTATTTGCTGGATTTTTGTTTGAATACTGATGAAAACTAATCATGTGGGCTTGGTCCTCAGGATTAATCGTCCAAGTGTAAAAACGGAAACCACCACTGAACGATATCTGACCATCAGCTACAAGTTTTTCTTTCTCTTGCAAAGAAACAGCTCATAATGACTGAAAATGAAGGGCATGGTAAGCTGAGATAGAGATATCCCTTGCTTCCCAACACCCCACCCCTGAAAAATCAGGGAAGGCAGGCCTCTGTTAGAGCTGTTTTGCTCCAGAAGAGAACTCACAGCCACTTTGAAGTGAACGCCATCCATCTTTGAGAGGCCAGAGCCCTCAAAGTGTTTGCCCAGGGAGGATGCTGCATTGAGGGGAGGGTGGGAACAGCCCCACTAGCCAGCAACTGTTTGCAGCAGTGAACTTGAGCCCCCCAGACACTGCCCAGGAGTGGAAGAAACCTGACTTGGAATAGCCCCAGATGTGGCGCCGAGCCTGAGCACTGGCCTGCCTGTCTGGGAAGCTTGGCGAAGATTCCTGTGTTCAATGCTTGGCATGGAGTGAGTGGAGCTGCCACCTTCAAACTGCATGGGGGGTCACTTCCACAGACCTGGTTCTTGCTGCTTGGGAGATCACTGTCCCCACCCCAGAGGCAACTAAAAGTTTCTCGTTAAAAGAAATGTAGTTGGACCCCAAAGTTCCATGAAATAGGATGACTCCAGGAGAAGTTGATTGTTAGGGGGTCTAACTCAACCCTATACTCCTTTGTTTGGCTAAGAAGGGAACTTCAGTGTGATGGATAAAGTCACCTGCACACCTCACACAGGAAGAACTCTCCTGCTTCAGGGGGTAAGAAGCTGTCCTGAAGTAACCCTCACCCAGGCCATCTTGTGAGCTCTTGGCCCTCAAAGGAGGCGATCTGTGAAGAACTAAAGTTTTTCACTAACATATCATCTTGGGACTCAAACTATGTAACCAGCCCGAGAAAGGAACAGAAAACACAGAAGAGAAAGAGCTTGCTTCCCTATCGTTTTAAAGACTTCAATTTTAAAAACTGCCATTTCTTTGCATTTTTTGTTCAACAATTTCTGAACAATTCCTACAGGCAAGGGACTTTCCAGGTGCTGTTGGAGATTTTATGGGAAAAAAATTCAGTGTCTGATCTTGGAGAATTTAAAATTGGCAGGACAGATAAGATGGGCACAGTTCTCTCTTTCTAGAATATTATCCCACTCCTCAGTTGGCCTGACTCTCTTTCTAGAATATTATTCCACTCCTCAGTTGGCCTGACTTAATCATGCTTCCATCTCAGCTTCGATGTGCCTTTCCGAGGTAAGCCTTTGTGGCCCCTGACCCTAATACAGAAGAGACACTAATTTATTTTCCTGCTCTGTGGTCCCAGAGTTATGTGAATTTCCTTTTGAAATTCATCATGCATATTTATTTATTTATTTATTTATTTATTTATTTAAGCATATTTCTCTATCAGAGTATACCTGTCACCATGGCAGGGATTTGTCTGCCTCTTTCTCTTTCACTGAAGTACCCACAGTACCCGGCATAGTGCTGGCGCTGTTCAGGGTGCCCGGTAAACTTGTGTGAATGAATTTTTACCTGGCTCTGAAAGAGGGTGCTCAGAAGTAGCAGTGAACGCTGGGACCCTGGGAAAGGAAGACGGTTATCGTAAAGGAGGTGACACAAGGCTGGACCTCACAAGATGAAATCTCAGTAGGGCAGGAGGGCAGGGAATTTGGACAATGAGAAGAAGCGAAGCTCAGAATAAATTAAGTAAATTGATGATGATGATGACAATGACAGCACCATTTATCATGTAGTCACTTTATGCCAGGAACTCTCATATTCGTAGCATCGTTTATTTATTACACCAACCATGAGGGGTAGGTACCACCGAGCCCCATCTGCTGATAGGAAAACCAGGGTTCATAGAGATAAGTTCCTTGCCACAGTCCTATGGATGGAAAGTAAAGACACTGAGCTTTGCATTTGGACTTAGACCTAGAGTTGTTCAAACCCTAGTTCTGCTCACTCCACGGAAAAGTGGGTTTTCTGAGGGCAGTACAAGTAGAGGAAAGTGGAGAAGCGGATTGCAGTTTGATTCTTAGGGGCCAAGAATGCCACCGGGGGATTTAGACTTCAACCTAATCACACGTATTTATTTCTTCAAAGGCTAGCGAGCCTTTGAACGTTTTTGAGCCCATGCGTTGGAAAAATTCCTCCGGAAAAGAGAGAAGGTGAGGGAGGGGAGGGCAGGGTCTGAGAGTTGAGGAGTCTGCAGCAGGAGGTTGGGAGACACAGTACGGAGCTAGGACAGCAGGTCTAGAAATGAAACTAGGACACGTCCAGACCTCAGGTGGAATTAACTAGAATCTGGTTAGAGAGCCAGAAAGAACAAAGAGAAAAAATACCTCCCAAGTTCCCACCTGGCTGCCCAGGAGGCTGTCATGTGCTTAACAAATAAAGCATGCCCTTTAACAAACACAGGAGCGGGGAGGTGTCTGCAGGGAGGCCTACAGACAAAACGTGGAACGAGGCTGCCCTCTTCTGGAGAATAAAAGCCGGAAGCTGAATCAAAGTCCTCATCTGCCCAGGACAATATATTATTATTATTATTATTATTATTTTCAGAGACAGGGTCTTGCTGTGTTGCCCAGGCTGGCATGCAATGATGAAATCATAGCTCACTGTAACATCGATCTCCTGGGCTCAAGCGATCCTCCTGCCTCAGCCTCCTGAGTAGTTGGGACTACATGTGTGTGCCACTGCACCCAGCTATTTTGTTTGTTTGTAGAGAGGAGTTCTCACAAGGTCACCTAGGCTGGTCTCAAAGTCCTGGCTTCAAGCGATGCTCCCAACTTGGCCTCCCAAAGTGCTGGGATTACAGGTGTAAGCCATCACACCCGGCCATCAGCACGTTTAACTATATATCCTTTTATATATTTAAATATATATCTTGTATATATACATATACCTCCATACAGGACCGACTGATGCTGAGTTGATACTAACTAGTCAACTAACAAACAACTGGTAACTAACAACCAGGTAGGAATTCGGACAAATCTGGTTGTTTGGGGAGAACAAGCGTCTGTCAAACAAGTTGTTACATTTTCTAATGCATCCTATTTCAGACTCAGAAGCAGTTTATATTTTACACAGTCTCTCTCTCTGTAATTCCTACAGACTTATCAAGCACAGGAGAAAACCTAGGTAAAAAATAGATAATAAAACACTCAAGAATATCTCAAATAAAAAAAAGTGTTATAATATCAAATGTTGTTGCAGATGTGGAACAAGATGTGGAAAAACTTGAAACTCCACTAATAGGAGATATCGCAAAGCCTGACAGCAAGGACAGAGAGAGGGAGACAGAGCTGAGCTAAAAGTCCAAAGTAAGACAGTACGCCAAGACCCAGCAATTCCACTGCCAGTGTAGACCACATAAAAAGAGTTCTATGTTACCAAAAGATATGTACATGTATATTCCTAGCAGTACTTTTCATTATAGCCCAAACCTGGAAATTGTCGAATTATCCATCAATAGTAGAATGGACAAGTGTATTTATATAAGTGTATTCATATAACTTAATATAATACAGCTATGGGAATTTACTGCTACTCTGAACAGCAAACGTACATGTCACAAGCATAACTTAAGTGAAAGAAGCCAAACCAAAAATCACATATATCATTCCATTCACAAATTTCAAAAACTGGCAAAATTTTTGTATGGCGATGGAAGGCAGAATACCAGCTCCTCAGGATATGGGCTGGGTAATGTTCTGCTCCCAAATCTAATTGTGGATACGGGGTGGGGGTCACTGTGTGGATACATCATTGTGTCACTGTGTGAATTCAGGAGTACAGACTTTGATATGTGAGCTTTTGTGTTTGTATAATATATATTATATATATATATATATATATATATATATATTTTTTTTTTTTTTTTTAAGAGATGGGGTCTTGCTCTGTCTCCCAGGCTGTAATGCAGCCCAGAACTCCTAGGCTCAAGGGATTCTCCCACCAAAGCCTTCTGAGTAGCTGGAGTAGGTGGGACTATAGGCATACACCACCAAACCTGGTAGTATATTCAACTTTAAATAAGTGAAGTGGCTGGGTGCGGTGGCTCATACTTGTAATCCCAGGACTTTGAAAGGCTGAGGCTGGAGGATTGCTTGAAGCGAAGAGTTCAAGACCAGTCTGGGTAACATAGTGAGACTCCATCTCTAAAAGATTTTTTTTAAATAAAATGTACTTAAAATTTAGCAAAGAATTCACTTGCAAGGGCTAAGTTGAAAAGACAGGAGTAAAAGGGTAATAGACAATTTAGAATATATGGATATATGTCGTTTGATACTTTAATATATATTATTGTTTTTTAATTATTTAATAGTCCATGAAACGATTAAATTCCATGAAGATAAGAACTGCACCTCATTCATCTTTATAGCCTCTGGATGCCCAGTGTACATGATAAAGTAGCTATTCAGAAAATATGTATTTAAAAAAATTTTCAACGTTCTGTTTATAGCACAGTTCTCTAAACTAAATATAGTGACTGAATAAGTAAATTTCTACAATAACAAATTAGACAATAAAGACAAAAGGCATTTCTGGGCTTATATTGGACAAAATAGCAGCAAGAATAGAGGCAAATTACTCTGTTTCTGTTACCTTAGGATGAAAAGAATTTGCTTGGATTTATCCAAAATCTTTTTTCTCATCCAAATGTGAAAATATAATGAGGTAAATTTTCAGCAATGACATTGTATTAGTCCATTTTCATGCTGCTGATAGAGGCATACCCAAGACATGACCATTTACAAAAAAAAAAAGAGGTTTAATGGACTCACAGTTCTACATGCCTGGGGAGGCCTCACAATCATGACGGTAGGTGAAAGGCACGTCTCACATGGCAGCAGACAAGAGAAGAGAATGAGAACAAAGTGAAAGGGGTTTCTCTTTATAAAACCATCAGATCTTGTGAGACTTATCCACTACCATGAGAACAGTATGGGGGAAACCACCCTATGATTGAATTATCTCCCACTGGGCCCCTCCCACAACATGAAGGAATTATGGGAGCTACCATTCAAGGTGAGATTTGGGTGGGGCCACAGTTAAACCATATCAGACATATTATCTATTGCAACATAACAAATTACCCCCCAAACTTAGGGCTTAAAACCACATACATTTTTTTTTTCTTCAGTTTCTGAGACTTAGGGATCTGGAAGTGACTTAGCGGGGGTTTCTGACTCGGGGTCTCCCAAGATGTTGGCTGGGGCTGCAGTCATCTGAAGGCTTGACTGGGCCTGGAAGATCCACTCTTCAAAAGGGTCACTCACATGGCTGTGGGCTGGAGGCCTACTCACAACTCTCCCCAGAGCAGATCACCCAAGAGAAAGAGTAAGCCGGCAGACACCATCACTTTTATGTCCTACTCTCTGACATCACACACAATCACTTCTACATTCTATCACTACAAACGAGTCACTAAGACCAGCCCAAATTGAGGTGGAGGGGAATTAGGTACCATCTTTTGAAAGGAATGTTAAATAATCTGTGGACGTATTTTAAATCATCACAGTCCACCACCTGGCCACAAATTATTTCTATTTCTCCTACATGTGAAATACTCTCATTCCTCTCAACTCCTCCCAAAAGTCTCAAACTTGTACAAGATGTCCAGGTTTGAAGTCCAGGATGTAATTATTTAAATCAGATCCCAATACAGAGAAGTCTTCTCAGGTGTAGTTCTGCAGTTTTTTTTTTTGTTTGTTTGTTTTTTTTTTTTTTGAGTTGAGACAGTGTCTCACTCTGTAGCCCAGGCTGGAGTGCAGTGGTGCAATCTCAGCTTACTTGTAGCCTTGACCCCTGGACTCAAGCAATCCTCCTGCTTCAGCCTCCCAAGTAGCTGGGACTACAGACACACACCACAATGACTGGCTAATTTAAAAAATTTTTTTTTGTGGTGATGGGGTTTCACCATGTTTCCCAGGTTGTTCTCAAACTTTTGGGCTCAAGCAGTCATCCTGCCTCGGCCTATTAAAGTGTTGGGATTATAGGCATAAGCCACCTTGCCTGACCGGGTGTAGTTCTTTAAGAATCCATCTTCAAGTAGAGTTCCTCTCTGTCTGAAGTCTTGCGGACTAAAAAGACAAGTTATCTGCAATGTCTATCAATTATCTATCAACGTGTAACTAACTACCCCGAAAACTCTGTGGTTTAAAACAACATTTATCTCAGTTTCTGTGGGTCAGGAGTTTGGTGGTTTTGCTGGGTGTGTCTGACTCAGTGTTATTTCACAGTGTTGGAGTCAATGTGGGATGCAGTCATCTGAAGGCCTGATTGGGGCTGGAGGATCTGCTTCTAAAAATCCCTCACCAGCATGGTTGTTGGCTGGTGGTCTCTGATCCTTACCATGTGGACCTCTCCCTGGATTGCTTAAATCTTCTCACAACACACAGTTGGTTTCCTCCAGAGGAAGTGATCCAAGAGGAAGCCAGCAACATGGAAGCCATGATGTAATTTATGACCTAACTTTGTCACATGGCTTCACCTCTGCTGTGTTCTATTGGTTACTCAGAACAACCCTGATATGATACAATAGAGGACTAGGCAAGAGCGTCAATCCAGGAATTTAGGGCTCACGGGCACCACCTTGGAGACAAGCTAGCATACTCGTAAAGCTAGAAGCTGAACCCAGGAGCACCAACAGAAGCTGTAGATTCTGGTGATGTCTCAAACACTTTTCCTGTGATCTTGATACAGTAACAAAATTTCTGGGTACCCTGAAAATGGAAATAATAAGTTTCTACCAGATGAATGATTAGTTGATGATGATCACTTTGAAGTAAGATGAGCCTGGCCATGTAAATCCAGCAACGTGTTCTTGGAAAAAATCACTGCCCTTCTCTAGGCCTTGGTTGCCTCAGCTTCAAAAAGTGTATAGTAATAGCTGCTTTGGGCCAGGCGCAGTGGCTCACGCCTGAATCCCGGCACTTTGGGAGGCCGAGGTGGGCAGATCACAAGGTCAGGAGTTCTAGACCAGCCTGGCCAATATGGTGAAACCCCATCTCTACTAAAAATACAAAAATTTGCCAGGCGTGATGGCGTGCACCTGTAGTCCCAGCTACTCAGGAGGCTGAGGCATAAGAATCACTTGAACCCAGGAGGCAGAAGTTGCCATGAGCTGAGATTGTGCCACTGCACTCCAGCCTGGGCGACAGAGTGAGACTCTGTCTTAAAAATAATAATAATAATAGCTGCTTTGGTCAGTTCTTATAGGGGTTCAAGATTACATATGTAAGATACCTAGCAATTATTAAGCAATTGATAAATGGTAACTATTTTAAAGAATATTGCATATAGGCTGGGCGCGGTGGCTCATGCCTATAATCCCAGCATTTTGGGAGGCAGAGAAGGGCAGATCATGAGGTCAGGAGATCGAGACCATCCTGGCTAACATGGTGAAACCCCATCTCTACTAAAAACACAAAAAATTAGCCAATCATGGTGGCACGCACCTGTAGTCCCAGCTACTTGGGAGGCTGAGGCAGGAGAATGGTGTGAACCCAGGAGGCGGAGCTTGCAGTCAGCCAAGATCCCGCCACTGCACTCCAGCCTGGGCGACAGTGCAAGACTCCATCTCAAAAAAAAAAAAAAAAAAAAAAAGACTATTGCATGTTTTGTGATATTGCATGGTAACCATCTGAGTTGATAGATGTATTTCAGTTTTTGGAAAGAAATATTTAAATTAGTAAAAGGGTAAACCTTTCTCATTTAATACCTGGCATACCATATTTCATAAAACTAAGAAAATAGAAAAAAAATCCATTGCCCTACAACTCTAATGTAATGTCATCACCGCCTTTCCTTCCAGCCTTCTTCTCCATGCATTTCCCATAACTGAAGTCAGAGTGTATATAAAAGTTTGCTTTTTGCTTCTTTCTCTTTACATCTTAATATAGAAATGTCTTACAAAGTTTGACACAGACACTTGCCCCAGTGTGTCATGCTCAGAGCAATGACCCACGGGTTCTAATGGGAGGTGAGCATTGGAGAAGGAAGGGAAATTCCATAGGTCAGTAAGGCTGCATCAGGATCAGCTGAAGTTCTGACAGCAGATCTCACGGAGAGAATCAAAGGCTAACTAGGGGAAACAGTAGGAGTCACTAAGAGATTCCGGAAGTTGTGTAGGGATGAAAGTTGCTTAACTACTGTCTGACTCAGTTCATCTTCTATACATCAAAGATGTTACATGCCCCTACCTTTATAGGGCTGCTGGGAGGATTCATCAAGTTTCTGCATGTAAAGTTCCAGGCACAAAGTAAAGATGTTGCTATTAAAATGGTAAGATGTGGCTGGGCGCGGTGGCTCATGCCTGTAATCCCAGCACTTTGGGAAGCCGAGGCGGGTGGATCACGAGGTCAGGAGTTCAAGATAAGCCTGGCTAAGATGGTGACACCCCATCTCTACTAAAAAGACAAAATTAGCCAGGCGTGGTGGCGGGCGCTACTCGGGAGGCTGGGGCAGGAGGGTTGTGTGAGCCCGGGAGGCAGAGGTTGCGGTGAGCTGAGATAATGCCACTGCACTCCAGCCTGGGCAACAGAGTGAGACTCTGTCTCAAAAAACAAAAAACAAAACCAAAAAATGGTAAGATGCAATGCATCCGGGTCTAGGATTTTCTCAAGCGTTTAGCAGCCTAGGAATTCTCAGTAGACTTCTGAAACATATAATTTATGCCCTAAAATTTTGATGACTAATATCTATGATATAGTAAAGCCTGTCTGGATATCAAGTCAGTGTGGGTTTGATCATTTATTTCAACCATTGGAAACAAACCCCAATGCCTCCAGAAGCCAGGTGGGTGACCTAAGGGTGGGATGGCAGGAGGGGTGTACCACCTAGAGAGCACAAGCCCTCCTCAAAAGAGAATCTGTTACTGACTTCGTTATTGCCCTATGTAAGTGTGGACCAGGCTTGCTGTTTGACATCTACAGTGCATTATTTCAACATTCATCAGGTTTAATGCACTATGCCACATAAGCGAGGTGATGCTACTAGGATATTTTTTGGAAATTTACACACACACAAGTCTGCTAAAATAGTTAGGTCTAAGGATTCCTAGCTCTGGGAGAAGGGTTACATTTTCTGCCTTATCTCCAGCTATTGGGGTTATTTGAATTATTTAACCTTGACCTGTTGTATTAGTCCATTCCCACACTACTAATAAAGACATACCTGAGACTGGGTAATTTATAAAGGAAAAAGGTTTAATTGACTCACAGTTCTGCATGGCTGGGGAGGCCTCAGGAAACTTACAATTATGATGGAAGGGGAAGCAAACACATCCTTCTTCACGTGGCAGCAGCAAGGAGAAGAATGAAAGCTGAGAGAACAGGAAAGCCCCTTATAAAACCACCAGATCTCATGAGAACTCACTATCATGAGAATAGCATGGGGTTAACCACCCCCATGGTTCAACTACTTCCCACCGGGTCCCTCCCGATTCACATGGGGATTATGAGAACTACAATTTAAGATGAAATTTAGGTGGGGACACAGCCAAACCATATCACCTGTATTTAATTTATATAATAAAATACATTTAATCTATAAATTATGTTAAAAGTACACATTGAAACCTGAAAGGTTTCAAGAAGTCCTATACTAGAGCAAAGAAACCCATTTAACAGTAATCAGCCCCTTGTTTCTCATAATATTTCACTCAAAATCTTTATTTTCCATATAAAATGTATGAACACCTTACGGAGCACTCTTTGGGAAAGGATGCCCAACTTTTAAAAGGAAGACCCAAACAAACCGGTCAACAGAAACAGAGTGCTGCTGTGGTGCCATGCCCGAGACACCTGCCAATAGTCCTCTGCCACTCGCCATCCTTGCATCAGCATCTGGGACATGGTAATTACACTCGACGGCCTGTCACTCCACCTCTCCTCATTCCTCAGCTCACAGAAAAGAGATCTGTGAAACACCAGCTCTGGTCTCGGCAAATATTTGTTTCCCCCTGGCTCCCTGGAAAATGCATTTTTAAAACTGTTCCTACAATTGCAGTATGGCAGCTGCTTTATCAGTGTGTGAAGACAGAACAATGATGTGGCTTAGATACTTGACATTTTGTATTGTTGGAAAGTGGCAAATTGCACTGAGCTGTAAATGCACTGTAAGTGGTGTTGTGTTGAATTATAAAGACAATTAGCACATTTCTTCCTTGTTTCTCGTTTATCTTTTCGTTTGTAAACATGGAAAGCAGAGTGCGATAAGCTTTACACCCCTTATCTGTAAAATGAGCTCAGTGATACTTATCTTGCAGAGTTTTGTAAACCAGAATTTTAAAAATGTTAAACTACCTAAGAGAATACAAAACACATAGCAGCATCCAATAAATGACAATTTTTACTATTTCTTCCACACCTCCTGTTAACATTAAACTCTTGGAGGGTGGAAGAAAGCATGGACATAAAGCACATACAGTCACTAGAGGAAATCAGAATACTGCAATGTTTGAGGTTCTTTGAAAGTTTTTAAAGCGTTTTAAGGGTCCTTAGACATGATCTTTTACAGATGAGAACAAGATGAAGTGAGATTGATAAAAATTAATCAATTTGCCCATGTTTTGCACAGGAGCATAAATTACCAGCAGACAACATCTGGATTCCATACTAAGAACACAAACATCTCACTACAGAGTTACAAACTGAACATGCCTCATGCCTAAAGTGCACACACCTATCAATCTTAGCTTTGCATGGTCCCAAAGACTCTGTAACTTTCACAGATTTGCATGTTTAATAACAAATTTGAATTTTGGGACTACTAAGTCATCTGCTGCAAATGTCACCAGTCCGTTGTTTAAGTTTCTGCGTGTATTTCACTCAACAGGTTTTCTTCATTAAGCACGGTGTTGTCTGTCCATCAGGCAGCAAAGCATCAGCGCATCCTACCACCAGATGGCACTAGACCCACTTGTGGAGGCTCTGGGGGCGCCATCAGCGTGGGACTAGAAGCTGATGAAAAACGAGAAGTTTCATTTCCCGGTTCCATTTAAACGTTCATACTGGGCCATAAAAGCAGATGAATTAGATATGCCATTATCCTGCATATATACATTTATATTTTATTGTATATATATATAAATATATATATATATATATATATAGAGAGAGAGAGAGAGAGAGAGAGAGAGAGAGAGAGAGACGGAGTCTCACTCCGTCACCCAGGCTGGAGTGCACTGGCAGGATCTCAACTCACTGCAACCTCTGCCTCCAGGTTCAATCGATTCTCCTGCCTCAGCCTCCTGAGTGGCTGGGATTACAGGAGCGTGCCACCACACGCGGCTAAATTTTGTATTTTTAGTAGAGACGGGGTTTTACTTTGGTCAGGCTAGTCTCGAACTCCTGACCTTGTGATCCGCCCGCCTTGGCCTCCCAAAGTGCTGGGATTGCATGCGTGAGCCACCGCGCGTAGCCTATCCTGCATATTTAAAGTTAATTGTGTTTAATAAAAATAGAGCAGAGATAGAGAAGTGATTGCCAGCCCAGCAGCTCTGAGCTATCTCATATAAGGCTTAGTAGGGAATCCTGACCCACACTCCAATCTCCAAGCTCTAGACATCTCACCAACAAAACAGGAAGCCAACACATTCTGGATCTTCTTTCCAAGATAAAGTCGACCATTCGTAATATTTTTTTCAGAGACAACGGAAGCTGAAAAATAAGAGCTGAGAAAGGAAGAACTTTTCTATAAGAACTTAAATCCAAAAGGCTATGGGATAGTAATGGAAAGTGGAGGAGAACAAAAAAGGCCTGGAAAGTAAAACCAGGAGGAAAAACAAACGTTTTAGAACAGCCAAGTGTGGGGAGTTGGAAAGTGAAGCTTTGAGTAGAAACCAGAGTTACAAAATTTCAGAGCTGAAAGCGGCCTTATAAGGAAGCAGAATTGGGCCCAAGGCCTAAATATTTGCCAAAAACCACGCAGGCAATTAGTGGCAGACAAGAGAGGACCTTCATTTTTGCTAAACAGGGCTCTTTCCACTGAAACATGTGGCCCTCTCAATATCTAACTAAAAACCTTTCACAAAATCCAAGTAAACACAGAGAAACATCCTCTCTTCTGTCTCCACTGCTTTCTCTGTCCACACGTGCACATGTACACACACAGCCACCATTATAACAATACAGGAAATTGAAGGAAGCCATCTGAAACTTCAACGTCGGGCACAGCCGCCACAGATAACATATCAAATGCAAGGCTGGAAATCAGCACTGTTCACATTCACACAGGAAGCCCGACTCAAGCTGTTTGACCGTATTTAGTAATCAGTTCCATACTCACAAAAGAATGCCAGAACAAAAACAGACGGAAAAGAAAAAAAAAATAAATCCAACCATCCTTTTCCTTTGGAGGAGGACTTATACCACGAAGTTTAAAGAGAGGCCCAGCTGGTTTATAGAATTCTGCAGGAAATTTGGGGACCTCTGTAATGCCATTGTCTTCACTGGCCCAGGCAAGTAGCCGTACCAAGGCAGTTATGGGGATATTCAAACAAATCAAAGCCATATTTTACCTCAATTGTGCTTATACTTTAGGTGAAAGTATTCTGGACCTAAATATTTCTAATAATCATCAGATGCATCCTGATCTCATGGGAAGTGCTGAGAAAACCTATGGGGCTATTATCCACTTACTAGCTCTGTAAACTTGGGCAACTTAACTGTTCTGAGCCTCTTCCTTCTTCTATAAAAATGAGATTGATTACTATTGCCTTCCAGAATAGTTCTGAGGTGAAAATGAGAGTCAAGTTCTGTGCTCGCTTCAGCAGCACATACACTAAAATTGGAACGATACAGAGAAGATCAGCATGGCCCCTGTGCAAGAATGACATGCAAATTCATGAAGCGTTCCATATTTTTTTCTTAATAAAGCCTCTTTTCTACATATGAAAAAAAAAAGAGAGTCAATGTTCTATGGCACGAAGACACACCAGTAAATATCAGCCATTTCTTTCAGATATAGATAGATAGATAGATAGATAGATAGATAGATAGATAGATTTTTTTTTCCTGAGACAGGGTCTCCTTCTGTCACCCTGGCTGGAATGCAGTGGCAGAATCATGGCTCACAGGAGCCTCAGTCTCCCTGGGCTCAGGTGGTCCTCCCACCTCAGCCTCCCAAGTAGCTGGGACTACAGGCACGCCACCACACATGGCTAATTTTTGTATTTTTTGTAGAGATGAGGTTTCACCATGTTGCCCAGGCTGATCTTGAACCCCTGGAGTCGAACAATCCATCTGTCTCGGTCTCCCAAAGTGTTGGGATTACAGGCATGAGCCGCCGCGCCCGGCCCCATTTAATTGTTCTATTTTGTTTAATTTGGGCGGACTTGGGCCTCAAAGAGAAAAGTGAGAAGAAAATGCCTCATTTACAGTGGAGCCACTGGTGAGTTCTCTTAGACCTAATCTACATCTGAGGTTCTCAAATATTTTGGTCTCAGAACCCACCTACTTTCTTAAAAATTGAGGATTCCAAATGGCTTTTTAAGTCTGGGTTATTGATATTTACTATATTCACAAATAATACTCAGGGTTGGGCGTGGTAGCTCACGCCTGTAACCCCAGCACTATGGGAAGCCGAGGTGGGCAGATCACTTGAGGTCAGGAGTTCGAGACCAGCCTGGCCAACATGGAGAAACTCTATCTCTACTAAAACTAAAAAAATTAGCTGGGCATGGTGGTACACGTTTGTAATCCCACCTAGTTGGGAGGCTGAGGCAGGAGAATCGCTTAAACCTGGGAGGTGAGGTTGCAGTGAGCTGACATCATGCCACCACACTCTAGCCTGGGTGACAGTGAGACTCCACCTCAAAATAAAATAAATAAAATAACAATACTGAGAAAGTCTTAAATTATTTATTCATATAAAAGTAAAAGTAATGTATTACATGTTAATATAAATAACACAGTTTATGAAAAATGTATTTTCCAAAACAAAACAAAAATGTAGTGAGGAGAGTGATGTCATTTACAGTTTACAGATCTCTTTAATGTTTAGCTTAATAGAAAACAGCTGGATTCTCATATCCACTCTGCTTCTACACTCAGCCTGTTGTAATAACTTGTTTTAGTGGAAGTTCGTGAAGACAAATCAACCTCTGTGTATGGGAGAAATATTTTAATAGCTTTTTCAGGTATTGGTGCTTACGGTGTGATACTGTACCTAAGTTCAGTAAGTACTAGTTTCTTAGAAGTTAATTTCAGGATGGAATCTGCAACCTTAACAATGGAGTTTTCTGCAACCTTAACAATGGAGTTTTTCCTCTGTTATAGGAAATACATTGACTTATTTTGCACTTTGAATACATTTTATATCTGCATGATTTTGTAACATTTGGAAGATATTGGTTCACTGAGTTATACAGATCTTCCAATTTCAGTATATTTTATTATACAACATTAAAATATTTTTAACAATATTACCACCAATCTCATCAGAACAGTCTCTATAAGGAAGCTGTCAAGCTCACTGGGATAGACCTAAGTTTTCTATAGTTCTTATTTTCTCTTAGTTCAAATTTTACCTTTGGCACCAAATACTCTGTTATTTTACTTGAGGTGACAATCTCACTTTATTCATTTTTGAGGAAGCATTTATGAAATATTTAAGTCTAAAATAACCATAGTTTGTCTTACTTAATTTAAAGTAAAAGCAGTGTTCCATGAAAAAAAAAAAAAGTTTAGGTTAACTCACAGTTCAATTACCAAGTGTTTTTTTTCTCAAGAAAACTAATATACAAACTTCACTGTTCAGCAGAACTGCTTTTGTGCCTTTCCCGTGTGGTCACACACAATATTAAATGGGTATGAACATAAAGGTCAAGGCTTAATGAAATTAATTAGTACTGGTGTATCAAGGACATTCGTAAGTGAAACTGCCATTCATTTTACTATAAGTATGTGGTAATAATTTGGTGCCACGCTAAAATGACAGCAGTTTTACCCCTTTTTGCTTTGTAAAATATATATGTTTTTATTTTTTTGGTGCTCTACATGCTCAGAAAACTATATTAATGAACTACAGAAATGACCCCTGAAAGTACAGTCTTTGCTTTTGTGCCATCAGTGGAAATGTAAAGATAGTGAAAAAGGCAAATAGTATCCTAATATTATTATAAAAGTAGTTTTGACCTTACAAACTCCCTGGAATGGCCTCAGGGATACCACCCCACAGTCGTCCGAGGCACACTTTGAGAACCACTGCTCTCAGCTCCTTTTTATACCTTTGCACGTCTGTTTCATCAGCTCTGCAGCTCCTGGTGGCCTCTGTCCACTCTAAGTTCCCCTACTGCAGCATTCAGTAGGGTTGTATTTCTTTAAGTTCTCTGATTTAAAATTTACTATATCCTGGCAGGGTGTGGTGGCTCACGCCTATAATCCGAGCACTTTGGAAGGCAGAGGTGGGAGGATTGCATGAGCTCAGGAGTTAGAGACCAGCCTGGGAAACATAGCAAGACCCTGTCTCTACAAAATAGAAACAAAAATGAGAATTAACCGGGCATGGTAGTGTGAGACTGTAATCCCAGCTACTCTGGTGGGTGAGATGGGAGGATCACCTGAGTCCGGGAGATGGAGGCTGCAGTGAGCCATGAATGCGCCACTGCATTCCAGTCTAGGTGACAGACTGAGATCTTGTCTCAAAAATAAATAAATGAACAAAAAATAAAATAGAATGTACTATATCCTCTATTCACAAAAACAAAAAAATTTATTGAGTACCTAATATGTGCCAAAGACTGTTCAAAGCATTGAAAATACAGAAGTCAACGAGATAAGCACGGTCACTGGTCTTGTGGACTTTCTATTCTAGAGGGAGAAAATAGACAGTAAACTTGTAAGTGAATTAACATACAAGGTAATTGGTAACTTCCAACAATGTTAAGTGCTGTGATAACCATACAAACAAACCGATGCCACTGAGCATGACGGGATGAGCCAGTAGCCAGGCGGCCCCAACCCAATAGGTGTCACGTTTGTGTATCCGGCCGTGCATAACAGTACATCATAAGTGGGATGACTGAAGATTCCAGTGAGAATCTGTCTACCATAGAATTGCAATAGCCCTGGAAAGCTGGGGAAGAGGAAGAGGACAAAAAGCAAGGTTGCTTGTATTTGAAAGGGGTGCTCCTGGCCAGGGGCAGTGGCTCATACCTGTAATCCCAGCACTTTGGGAGGCTGAGGCGGGCGAATCACTTGAGGTCAGGAGTTTGAGGCCAGCCTGGCCAACATGGTGAAATCCTGTCTCTACTAAAAATACAAAAATTAGCCAGGCGTGGTGGTAGGTGCCTGCAATCCCAGCTACTCAGGAGGCTGAGGCAGAAGAATCGCTTGAACCCAAGAGGCAGATGTTGCACTGAGCCGAGATAGTGTCACTGCACTCCAGCCTGGGAGACAGTGTGAGAGATTCCATCTCAAAAAAAAAGAAAAGAAAAGAAAAAAGAAAGGGCTCTGGGTAGAATGAAGCCTGGCCAGTCTCCCAGGGGGAAGAGCAAGTTACTGGGAGGAAATCACTTAAGAAAAGCTGAGTCCAGGACAAGAAGCCACTCTGTCCTGCTGGGGGCCAACGTGGGATGCTGATGCTCCTAGCTGCTACTTGTTCTGCCTGAGGATGGTGGCAGAAGGGGGCAAGGATGGAACTGGGTTGTTTGTAATGTGAAGTTTCCATTATCCTGATGGAAATACCCAACTTCACTGACACTCAGGAGCTGGCTATTATTCCTGCTTTGGGGCATTCCAGAGCTGCTTCTAGGACATACTAATATTTTTCATCTGTACCAGTATTCACCTAACCTGGGTATCTAGGGCAAAACCAGACATAAGACAGTAAAAAATAGGCTGGGCATGGTGGCTCATGCCTGTAATCCCAGCACTTTGGGAGACCAAGACAGGAAGACCGCTTAAGGCCAGGAGTTTGAGACCAGCCTGGGAAACATAGTGAGACCCCATCTCTATTAAAAACATTTTTTAAATTAGCCAGATAAGGCCAGGCGCAGTGGCTCACGCCTGTAATCCCAGCACTTTGGGAGGCCGAGGTGGGCAGATCACTTGAGGTCAGGAGTCAGGACCAGCTTGGTCAACATGGTGAATGAAACCCTGTCTCTAAAAAAAATAAATAAAAATAAAAATAAAAATTAGCCAAGCCTGGTGGCACATACCTGTAGTCTCAGCTACTCAGGAGGCTGATGCAGGAGAATTGCTTGAATCTAGGAGGTGGAGGTTGCAGTGAGGTGAGACTGCGCCACTGTACTCCAGCCTGGGTGACAGAGCGAGACTTCATATCAAAAAATAAAATAAAATAAATAAAAATTAGCCAGGTGTGGGCCAGGCGTGGTGGCTCACACCTGTAATCCCAGCAGTTTGGGAGGCCGAGGAGGGCGGATCACGAGGTCAGGAGATCCAGACCATCCTGGCTAACAAGGTGAAACCCCATCTCTACTAAAAATACAAAAAATTAGCTGGGTGTGGTGGCGGGCGCCTGTAATCCTAGCTACTCGGGAGGCTGAGGCAGGAGAATGGCGTGAATCCGGGAGGCGGAGCTTGCAGTGAGCCGAGATTGCGCCACTGCACTCCAGCCTGGGCGACAGAGAGACTCCATCTCAAAAAAAAAAAAAAGAAAAATTAGCCAGGTGTGGTGGCTAATTTGAAAAGCACTTTGCCATTGAGGAAATAAATATGATGCTACTCACTCGAGAAAGTTTCCCTGGAATTAATTCCTTCCTTGTTTTCCTCTCTCCTTTATCCCAGCAAGATGCTGCTGTTGTTCATGCTGAAGGAATGTGTCTTCTGCAGTAGGGCGGCATCTCCCGGGCAAGCTTCTGGTGTTTTTCTGTGATGCAGCTGCTCTCTCCAGTCCTGGGACATGGGCTATGAGCCTTTCACTCCGCCTTTCCCTGTGATCTTTTCTCTGGGAGTTAATGCTCTTCTCCATGCTTCACTGAGGAGCCACGATCTGGTTTCATGGATTTCACCCTTTTCTCATAAGTATGAATTATTGTAACCCCAACAGAGGCACATTTGATCCCTTTCACAGGTCATTTCTCTCTTAGCCACTTCGTGTTTTCCAGAAGACATGTCCTGGAGTGGCTGCAGGTCTCTGTGCAGAACTGCACTGTAGACAGATCATGTGCACCCTACTTCAAACGTGGAAAAATCTCCCTGCTACAGAAATGCGCACCCAAAGGCATCCATTCAATCCCCTCCATCAATTAGTTAATGACATACTCCCCCTTCTCATTAAATCAGAAAATTCTTGAAGGCAAGCCCATTGTTTCGTCTCGTATCCCTACAGTCCCAGCCTTTGGAGAAGGTTGATGCTTATGTTGCAAGAACATTAGAAAATTTGCTTAGAAAGACTACTGCACAGTAGTGTTATTTGTTTGTTTGTTTGTTTGTTTTAATTTTTATTTTTAGAGACGGGCTCACTCTGTGACCCAGGTTGGAGTGCAGTGGCATGACCACAGCTCACTACATCTCAACCTCCTGGGCTCAAGTGATCCTCCTGCCTCAGCCTCCCAAATAGCTGGGACTACAGGCATGTACCACCACCCCTGGATAATTTGGCTCTGGTGTCCAGGTTGGGACTCAAGCAATCCTCCTGCATCAGCCTCCCAAAGTCCTGAGATTATAGGCAAAAGCCGCTACAGTCAGCCTCTGTGGTCTTCATGTTGTCCCCAGAGAGAGTTGTGAGTGGGTGATAAGGGTGGTGGGAGAATGGATTTTTCTCTAATCTCTATTTCAAGAGCAATAGTACTTCTCTTCTAACCACCCCTCCCCCAGTCACATAATTTATTATATGGTCCCATTTTAGCCTGGCTTCTAAAGTGTTTAAAGCCAAATTTATAATCCCCGCATAGCAGCTGTGGGATCTCATCACAAGTATCTTGGGAATAAAAGCCTGAAGGGCTTCATCATATTTTTCCCAGCTTCAATATCTTTTTGTCCTGTCTTCCACACCTTCATCATTGTTGTTTTGTCTTCGCTCTTCAACTTTTACATGTATCTTGGATACATTTTGTCTCCTAAAAACAGATTCTCTCATAAACTTTAACAGTTGGTCCTGCATCTCTATCACAGGAACATTTTTCACCTTAAAAAAGAAATTACAGGAATCATCTCAAGCCTTCACTTTGGACTCTGGGGAATATCACAAGGGAACAACACAGTTGAATCAGAAAAATGCAAATCAGAATCGCAAGAGAGCCTCTAGGTTTTCACAGCTGCCTAACCTAGTTCTAACACCACCAGCATGCGCTCTAAATAATGCATGAGGAATCAGCCTTGCCAGTCTGCTGATTGAATTAGTATGGTGGCGGGTGGTAGCTAAGGGTGGGGGCACTAGCAGGAAATTACAGAGAAGATAAGGAAAGCAGAATAGTTTTCCTTTGTTCATTCTTCAAAAAGCCCTCTACTCTACAGTAAACGCACGTACCACAAAGTAAAGCTAGGAAAACGAGGGTGCATTCTAGCTGGTGGCTTTATCTGATTCATCCTAAATTCTAGCTTTGTGTCCCAGGTTTTCAATTCCTACTTCCAGTTCTCTTTGCTTTCTGCAAATGTGATTCACCTCTTAGCTACTTGAAACAGAGCTTGCTTTTTGGCTCATCGAGTCTTCTCAACCCCGTAGTTTGAGCATCTCCTTTTATCCTTAGAGAACCCTGTTAAGCCACTGGCTCCATCACCCATGGCTGAACCAGGAGCTAGTGGTCATGATGGAAGAGGGAAAGAGGACTGCAATCAGGAAGATGTAATCAAAAAGCTGTTCTTGTTTAAAGGCAACATGAAGTGAACTCAAAGAAAGTTGTGTGTGTGTCCCAAACCTTAATTGTTCAAATATTTTCCTTCAATGTTTCCTTTTTATTTTGTTTGGTTTCTTAAAATGGAGCTCATGGAGAAGGGAATAAGAGCTGAAATCCTAACCAATATATAATTTCCATTATGTAATATCAGCTCATTTTTTAAGACAAAAAATTTATCATGTTTCGTAGCCATCCACACAGGATCTCCATGGAAGAGACTAAGCACTGATAATATTAGACAGAAAAATGCTGAGATTGCACATTTCAGCTATTTTTCTTTGGCTCTACACAGGCAAAGAACGCATCCAGAGGGCTTTACTGAGAACATTCACTGCACCGACATTGTTTACTAAAGGAAGCTGACTGTAGCAGTTGCTGGTGAGGAAGAGGATACTTTCCTCAGCTTAATTCCCAGAATACAGAGTGTGAGTGTGTGGGAGAAATCCAAGTGAACTTGACGAACACATGGCATTCACACTGTGAGGACAACAGATGGGACGTGTCAGCAATAAACTGCCTAAGTTTGGTGAGGCTATTTCCTAAGAGGAGCAGTGTGGCACAGTGGGAAGAATAGTAAATTCAAAGGGTTTAATTTTGGTTTTGGCTTATGGTGCTTTGAAATTGTCACACCAGAAGCCGAATGTGTCAGGAAAACCGCTCATTCCCAAGCAATGTTATGAATTACATGGCTGTGAACCAAACAATTGCTCTGGTTTAGAGTCTGGTAAGTGGACGTTGAACCCGTCAAAAGGCCTGAAGGCCAGGTCTGAATCACTTGTACTTCCCACGTGGCCCTTTCTACGGTGATTAGTGAAGCCTCCCCACATAAAGAGAGCTAATGAAAGAGATTTATTCGGAAGAATCTGCTCATGCGATTGTGGAGGTTGGCAAGTCCAAAATCTGCAAGGCAGGCCAGCAGAATGGAAATTCCAGAAGAAGCCGCTATCGCAGTCTTGAGTCTGAATGCAGCCTGGAGGCAGAATGCCTTCCTCTTTAGGGGAGCTCAGTTATTTTTCTTACAGCCCTCAAATGATTGAACGAGGCCCACACAGATTATAAAGGGTAATCTGTTTTATTCAAAGCCTACTGGCTTATATGTTAATCATATCTTTTAAAATATCTTTACAGCAACATCTAGACTGATGTTTGACCAAACTACTGGGTGCTATAACCTGGCCACGTTGACACATAAAATTAACCATCACACATAATTAAGTGCTCAAGAAATTGATGTGATTTGATATCCCAAGACAGACATATTTCTGAGACACTATTTCTTCAGCTGAACAATGTAGAGATTAGACTTTATTATTCTAACTCTGACAGTCAAAGGGCAAAATTTAAGTCCTGAGAATATGAGAGACACTGCAACTTCTGGTCTCCTCAGATGAGTTGAAGAGGTTCCTTTTTTAAACAGATTTTCTTAAAATAGTGGTAAAATATGCATAACGTATAATGTAACATTTTAACCATACAGTTCAGTGACATTAAGTACATTTCCATTGTTGTGCAACCATCACCACAATCTACCTCCAGAACTTTTTCAACAACCCAAGCCAAACCAACTCTGAAATCATTAAACAGTAACTCTCCATCCTCCCTTTCCCTTAGCTTTGGCAACGACCATTCTACTTTCTGACTCTATGAATTTGACTACTAGGTAGCTCATATAAGAAAAATCATACAATATCTGTCATTTTGCATCCTGCATATTTCATTTAACGTAATGCCTTCAAGATTCATCTATGTTGCTGCATGTGTCCGAATTTCACTCATTTCTAAGCCTCAATAATATATCATTGTATCTACATACCACTTTTTTTGTTCATTCATCTGTCAGTGGACACTTGAGTTGTTGTAAATTTAGAATAATTCAATTCAATTCAATTCAATTCAATTCAATTCAATTCAATTCAATTCAATTGGGTTGTTTGGTTACTGAGAATAAAGACATTATAAATATGAGTATACAAATATCTGTTGGAGTCTCTGCTTTCAGTTCTTTGGAGTATATGACCAGAAGTACAACTGCTGGATTATATGGTAACTCTATGTTTAATTTTTTGAGAAACCACCATACTGTTTTCCACAATGGCTGCAACACTTTACATTACCATCAGCAGTACACAAGGGTTCTGATTTCTCCACATCCTCACTAATACTTGTTTCTTTTTTTTTTTTTTAGTTTTTTAGAATGGCCATCCTAATGAGTGTGAAGTTGCATCTCATTGTGGTTTTGATTTGCATTACCTAATAATTAGTTATGTTAAGCGTCTTTTCTTGTGTTTATCACCTATTTGAATATCTTCTTTGGAGGAATGTCTCTGTGTCCTTTGCTTACTTTTAAAGGAATCTTTGAATATTATTTTTATCTTCGGGAATGTCTCTATAAAATATTTTAGCCAGTCCACGTATACTGAATGCCAATAATTTCTACAATAAAAATGCATTTCTAGCAAATCAAACCTACAATGGGATACTACCTCACACCCATTAGGACGGCTACTATCAAAAACCGGAAAATAACAATTGTTGGTGATGATGGGGAGAAACAGGAACCCTTGTACACTTTTTTTTTTTTTTTTTTTGAGACAGAGTCTTGCTCTGTCACCCAGGCTGGAGTGCAGTGGCGCTATCTCGGCTCACTGCAAGCTCCGCCTCTCGGGTTTGAGCCATTCTCCTGCCTCAGCCTCCCGTGTAGCTGGGACTACAGGCACCTGCCACCACAGCCGGCTAATTTTTTGTATTGTTTTAGTAGAGATGGGGTTTCACCATGTTAGCCAGGATGGTCTTGATCTCCTGACCTCGTGATCCACCCACCTCAGCCTCCCAAAGTGCTGGGATTACAGGTGTGAGCCACCACACCCAGCCCCTTGTGCACTATTGATAGCAATGTAAAACAATGCAGACTTTCTAGAAAACAGGTTGATGGTTACTCAAAAAATTAAAGATAGGCCGTGCATGGTGGCTCACGCCTGTAATCCCAGCACTTTGGGAGGCTGAGGCGGGTGGATCATGAGGTCAAGAGATCGAGACCATCCTGGCCAACATGGTGAAACCCTGTCTTTACTGAAAATACAAAAATTAGCTTGGCGTGATGGCGTGCACCTGTAGTCCCAGTTACTCGGGCAGCTGAGGCAGGAGAATCGCTTGAATCCAGGAAGACAGAGGTTGCAGTGAGCCGCGATTGTGCCACTACACTCCAGCCTGGTGATAGAGCAAGACTCCGTCTTAAAAAAAATATTAAAAACAGAATTAACATACCATCCAGCAATTCCACTTTGGGGTATATATCCAAAGAAACTGAAACAAGAGTCTCAAATAGATATTTGTACACCCCTGTTCATAGAAATATTATTCACAGTAGCTAGAAGGAAGAAACAACCTGAATGTCCATTAATGGATGAATGGATAAACACAATGTGGTATATCCATACAATGGAATATGATTCAGTCTTAAAAAGGAAGGAGCTTCAGACACATGATACAACACGAATGAACCTTGAGGACATTATGCTAAGTAAAATGTGCTAGTCACAAAAAGGCAAATATGGCATAATCCTCTTTATATGAGATAGCTAGTGTAGAGTAACTTACAGAGACAAAAGCAGAATAGTGTTCCCCAGATAATTCGGGAGGAAGAAATGGGGAGTTAGTTTTGCAAGATGAAAAGAGTTCTAGAGACTTGTTGCTCAACAGTCTGAATGTACCTAACACTACTGAACTTTGCCCTTAAAAATGATTAAGATGGGCCCAGTGCAGTGGCTCACGCCTGTAATCCCAGCAGTTTGGGAGGCCGAGGCAGGTGGATCATGAGGTCAGGAGATCGAGACCATCCTGGCTAACACAGTGAAAACCCGTCCCTACTAAAAAATACAAAAAGTTAGCCGGTCGTGGTGGCGGTTGCCTATAGTCCCAGCTACTCGGGAGGCTGAGGCAGGAGAATGGCGTGAACCCGAGAGGGAGAGCTTGCAGTGAGCCGAGGTAGTGCCACTGCACTCCAGCCTGCGCAACAGAGCAAGCCTCCGTCCAAAAAAAAAAAAATGATTAAGATGGTAAATTTGATATTATGTGTATTTTACAATTAAAAATAAAATTAAAAATATTTTATATTTTCATTTTGCTTCATCTAATAATATCAAGTGAACACCTTTTCACATCAATGAACATATTTCTACATTATTATTTTAGTGGATACATAATGTTCTATTTCATTATTGCATAACTTATTCAATGAGATTGCAATTTTTGTAAATTTACATTTTCTACAAAGCTAATATCATGAAGAAGCTGTAATTAACATTGCTGCGAGCTACAGCTTTGCCAACTGTGCAACCATTTCCTTAGAATCAATTCCTAGATGGGAAATGCTAGGTCAAATACGTCCAGAATCTGACCACTTTTTATAATCTACCTTGCGATGCCCCTGCCCCCAAATAGCCACACTGCTCTCCCACTTGCTACCTACAGGCTGATACCCATGGTCATGATGGGTGGCCTTCCCTGACCACCCTTTGCAACTGAAATGCTCTCCTCCCACCCAACACACACTCGCTGTCCCCATCTCTGCTTGTTCTCCACAGCACTGATCATTCTATAATAAGCTACCCCCACTTCTTGTTTATCGTGTTTACTGTCTGTCTTCCTCCTCTCCAGGACGTCAGCTCCATGAGGGTCAGGCTTCCTCTTTCGACTCCATCCCCATCCCCCAGCACTCAAGTATTCTTCAAGCATCCCTTAAACATTCCAACAGTAGGACCCAGTTCCTGTTTTGAAGGAATTCATGATCCACTGGGGGAAACCGAACTCAGACAACAGAGTAAATAATGCTATATTCCAGATATGCACAAGGCGCTGGAGAAAGCATCAAGGAAGCAATGACAGAGGAGGTGACATCTGAGCAGAGCCCTGATGGGTCAATCTGGGAACAGGAGAGAGGCAGTAACCCTACAGGGGCACATTTTGATGTGTGTGGATCATGGGCTGGGGTGGAGGGTGGGCAACGGTTGTGGCCAGATTGTAAATAGTGTTGAGTGTTGAGGGGCATCTGAAAGAGTTTTAGCTTTTTTTTTCATTCTTTTTTTTTTTTTTTTTTTTTTGAGAGAGGCTCTGTCTCTGTCATCCAGGCTGGAATGCAGTGGTGGGATCATAGCTCACTGCAGCCTCAAACTCCTGGAAGAGCCTTAATTTTAACCTGTAACATTCACATTAAATTTCAACCTGTCACAATCAAACTGTCCCCTAGGGCTTCATCACTGCCAGGCCACCTGATGATGGCAAGGTGTACAAGAAGATTAAATTGGGCTCTAATCTCCATTCCAGCACACCCCTGTTTGAGACAGGGCAGCCCAGCATGAGCTGGCTTACACACTGTGCTTCTGATGGGTCCTTCCTTGGAAGGCTGTGCTCAATGGCTGGAATTTTGAAAACCATCTCTGCTGGCAATGAAAGCTGCTGCCTTATAGAATGACCAAGGCCAGCACTTTGGGAGGCTGAGATGGGGGGATGATTTGAAACCAGCAGTTTGAGACCAGCCTGGGCAACATAGAGAGACCTTGTCTCTATAAAATAAACAAACAAAATTAGTCTGGTGTCGTGGCTGGTGCCCATAATCCCAGCTAGTGAGATTGAAGTGGGAGGGTCACTTGATGCCAAGGAGGTCAGGGCTGCAGTGAACCATGATTGCACCCTAAACTCCAGCCTAGGTAACAGAGCAAGAACCTGTCTCAAAATAATAATAATAATTAATAATAATAATAATAATAATAATAATAATAACCAAGTGGAATCTTCTCCTTTCTCCTCGCAGGAGGGCAGGGCCCTTTTACAACCTGTAAAAGTGTGTAGGTTTTCTGGAAAAGATTGAATTGCAGTGGGTATAGAAACCAACCTTGGGCTTTGGGGAGGACTCAAACCTTGTCAAGGCTCGGCAAGAGAGAACACTGCTGCCTTCCACATGATAGCAAGTCACCCTTCCCGGCAGCACACCTGAGATCAGCTCCTGTTGCAATCCCTGTGTCCCAAGAGGTAAAGCAATTCACTAAAAACACACACTCAGTTAGCAGAACAGGTGACGTCAGCTTTCCAACTCTGACGCTTTTGATGGGTTGTTTAAAGTCCTAAAAAACCCACTAAGATGAAAATAGTGGAAGTGAGGCTGAGGTGGGAGGATCATTTGAGCCCAGGAGTTCGAGGTTGCAGTGAGCCATGATCGTGCCACTGCACTCCAACCTGGGCAACAGAGTGAGACGCTGTCTCAAAACAAACAAAAAATGTAGAACTGCAGAAGCAAGGGTACAGAACCTGCAACCTGGGTGGAGGGGTAAGAGGAGAGGGCAGGGAGGGGCATGTGGCAGGGAAGCTCGTGGAGGACTCCTAGACCATTGGATTTTGGCCAAATCTACTTTCTTTTTCTTTTCTTTCTGTTTTTTTTTTTTTTTTTTTTTTTTTGAGACGGAGTCTCGCTCTGTCGCCCAGGCTGGAGTGCAGTGGCGCGATCTCGGCTCACTGCAAGCTCCGCCTCCCGGGTTCACTCAATTCTCCTGCCTCAGCTTCCTGAGTAGCTGGGATTACAGGCGCCCACCACCACGCCCAGCTAATTTTTCTATTTTTAGTAGAGACAGGGTTTCTCCATGTTAGCCAGGATGGTCTCGATCTCCTGACCTTGTGATCCGCCCGCCTCGGCCTCCCAAAGTGCTGGGATTACAGGCGTCAGCCACCGCACCCGGCCTGCCAAATCTATTTTCTAATCTGCAAAACAAGAGAGAAACTATGCTCTCTGGGCACCCTGTTACCTCTCACTGTGACATTTCTTTGTCTTTGAAAAGTGTAACGCATACAAGTGTGCCAGATTCCCATTTTCTATCAATTTCTATAAAGTTGCGACTAAGGTTATGAGAAACCTGGGTCACACCTAGGTAATAAAATGCTGACCTCGGGTGTCATGCAGTCCTCAGGTGGAGCAGAACGACCTGGCCTGGCTTGTGGAGACTCGCGGCTACGTGACTGCCCACTCACGATGCCCCTTGCTGTCCTGGGATGTGCCCCTGCTGGGCTGGATTGGCCCAGCCACTGGGCAGCGCGAGTCCCCCGCCTCCAGCGCCCCACAGGCTCCTAAGAGCCTCGGGTTCCCCATCATAGACAAAGGATTTGGATGAGCCCTCTGAGGTCCCCTCCAGCTCTCAGGTCTGAGGCTATGGCTTTATGAATATTGCATTTCACTCTGCAAAAAAAAATTAATGATACCATGTCTGAAAAGTGCCATGAATTCCTTGGGATAGAGGTGATTAGTTAATTTTGTCACCCACGGTTTCTGTAATCCAATAACATGGCAATACTCAGGCTGGGCTTGGTGGCTCATGCCTGTAGTCCCAGTATTTTGGGAGACGGAGGCAGGCAGATTGCTTGAGCTCAGGAGTTCGAGGCTGCAGTGAGCTATGACTGCACCACTGTACTCTAGCCTGGGCAACATAGTGAGACCCCGTCTCTGCAAAAATTTAAAATCTTAGCTGGGCATAGGCCGGGCGCGGTGGCTCACGCCTGTAATCCCAGCACTTTGGGAGGTTGAGGCAGGTGGATCACTGGGTCAGGAGATCGAGACCATCCTGGCTAACATGGTGAAACCCCGTCTCTACTAAAAAACACAAAAAATTAGCCAGGCGTGGTGGCAGGCGCCTGTACTCCCAGCTACTCGGGAGGCTGAGGCAGGAGAATGGCATGAACCTAGGAGGCGGAGCTTGCAGTGAGCCGAGATCACGCCACTGCACTCCAGCCTGGGCGACAGAGCGAGACTCTGTTTCAAAAAAAGAAGAAAACTTAGCTGGGTACAATGGTACACGTCTGTAGTCCCAGTTATTCGGGAGGCTGAGGCAGGAGGCTTGCTCGAGCCTGGAGGTTGAGGCTGCAGTAAGCCCTGATATTGCACCACTACATTGCAGCCTGGCCCACAGGGCAAGACTCTGTCTAAAAAAAAAAAAAAAAAAAAAATTCCTACATAGTTTACAGATCACTTTAAGTGATCGGATAGGCAGGGATCTGAGCCACTGTTTCAATTTTACAGATGAGGAAATTAGCGTTGTTTCTTATAATATGAATCCTCGTTATTACCGCAAGTAATCCATTTTGAATGAAAACACAAATTGCCAGGAAAAAATGGCTGAGACAATCTCTTCTTGGGCAACTTTCAAGGAATGCTCCCGATCTAACCTTAAACAAAAGGAAAGGGCAAAGCAATGTTATCTTTTAGGTCAGAAAAATAAACAGACTTTTCTGTTTTCTTCCCTCTTTTGTAAGCAGTGACACTTGAGAAGTTTCTCACCAGCAGGTTTCTGCCCAAGCCTGAGAATTATCTGACTGACATGAGCCTAAACAAGAGTGGGGACAATCTGAGGACGCCTCCCTGGTGCTCTAAACAGCATGTTGTGAGCGGATGGAAATGAAGGCTACAGTTTTTAGGGAAAAATCTTCCTGCTCATTTTTCGATGACATTGCATCGTATCCCTGACCCCTGAAAATGTTGAGAAGAGTAGAAAAGGATGAGATTTGTCGGTATCCGCTTGCTTTCCGCATGAGTTGGATGATTTCCAAGGAACCTCAGGGGTCAAATTTCTTAACTGCAAAGGGGTGGGACTGCCGAAGGCGCAATCAGCAGTCCCATCTGCAAAGCCTACTCTTGCTGTGTGGTTTAACCTGCATTATGGCCCTGGGAGATTCACAGGTGTCTTTCTCTGCCTTCTGTAGGAGGCTCAGTAAAGTTGCCTCAAGTCAAACATTTAAGAAGTGATACCTGGCCCTGCAAGGTGCCTCACACCTGTAATCCCAGCACTTTGGAACGCTGAGGTGGGAGGATCACTTGTGGCCGATTCAAGACCAGCCTAGGCAACATAGGGAGAGCCTGTCTCTACCAAAAAAAAAAAAAAAAAAAAAGTTTACACAGATTAGCCAGGTGTGATCAGTTTGTTTAAACTTAAAAAAATTAGGTGCGCATGTAGTCGCAGCTACTCAGAAAGGTGAGGTGGGAGGATTGATCCCTTGAGCCCAGGAGTTTGAGGCTGTAGTGAGCTATGATCGTGTCACTGCACTCCAGCCTGCGTGACAGAATGAGATCCCTGGCTTTCAAAACCAGCGATCTGGAGTCCAACTTCAGTAGTCTTTCCTTCTGTTAAACAGACCCAAACATCATGAATGTTCTTAGGCCCCATCAGAGTGATGACACTGAGGTGGCAGAGACTTCCAGGGTGTATTAATCTGTTTTCACACTGCTATGAAGAAATACTCAAGACTGGGTAATTTATAAGAGAAAGAGGTTTAATTAACTAACAGTTCCGCACTACTAGATAGGCCTCAGGAAACTTACAATCATGGCAGAAGGTGAAGCAGGCACATCTCACATGGTGGCAGGTGAGAGAAAGGGAAGAGCCCCTTATAAAACCATCAGATCACTGGGTGCGGTGGCTGACGCCTGTAATCCCAGCACTTTGGGAGGCCGAGGCGAGTGGATCACAAGGTCAGCAGATCGAGACCATCCCGGCTAACACGGTGAAACCCCATCTCTACTAAAGATATAAGAAATTAGCCGGGCGTGGTGGTGGGTGCCTGTAGTCCCAGCTACTCGGGAGGCTGGGGCAGGAGAGTGGCGTGAACCTGGGAGGTGGAGGTTGCAGTGAGCTGAGATTGCACCACTGCACTCCAGCCTGGGCAGCAGAGCAAGACTCCATCTCAAAAAATAAAATAAAATAAAATAAAATAAAACCATCAGATCTCATGAGAATTCACTCACTGTCATGAGAACAGCATGGGGAAAACCGCACTCATGATCCAATCACCTCACTCAACACATGGGGATTACACTTTGTGATGAGATTTAGGTGGGGAGGCAGAGCCAAACCATATCAGAGGGGAATAAGATTATGGGCCTCCCAAATTGACCATGATCTGGCTCCAAAGTGAGCCAGTGAGATTCATTGAAAACAAGGTTTTACAGCAGGAGCAGACAAACAGAAGCCCATGGGTCAAATCCAGCCCATCACAAGTTCGTGTATGGCCAGTGGGTTTAAACTAGTTTTATATTTTTAAATGGTTGGGGGAAAGCTCAAAAGAAGCACAGTCTTTTGTTACTTATACAAATTATATGAATTTCAAGTTTGAGAGTCCATAAATAACATTTTATTGGAACGTAGGCTCATTGTTTGCATATTGTCTGTGGCTGCTTTGGCACGGCATCTGGGGAACTGAGTACAATCTATTCTTGTTATTGGCAACATTTATGTTACATAAAGTTACCATTAATACTGAATTAGTGAATACTGAACCATTGCTCCTAGGGGAAATATAGGGTTAGTTTGCTGTAGGCCTCCGGTCACATTTTTGTCTACTGATCAATAAGTAATTATATTTTATATGTGCTTCTGTTTAAAGGGACTCTGTTTAATATATAATGCTGGCTTGTGAACATGGAACTCACGGAAACAGCACTAGAACTCAGGCCTGAACGAAGCTCATCCAACACATGGGTTTTCTCCTTGACGCACCTCACAGCTTCTTGTGCTTAGGAACTTTAGGCAGCACCTCAGCACTATACTTGCGAGTCACTGAAATGCAAAATCACTAACCAAAAGCACAAAAGTGCAAAACACATGGGACTAAGTAGATCCTGAACAGGCAACTTATTTACAGTGTGAGAGTTGAAACAAAAAGATAGAACATTGCTCTGTTCAGCATTGGCTGGAAACGTGGGTGTCAGGTGACATATGTTTTTCCAGGAATAAGTGCAAAGGCACCACGAGTATTCATTTTGAGGCTACAAATAAATTTTAGTGAGTAGGTGAATTTGGAAATACAGAATCCACAAATAATGAGGATCGGCTGTAGTTGCAGCAGAGTCTATACAGATCACAAAGTGTAAAGTATATGCCTTGTGCCCCTTAAAAAAAAAAATGTTTGCCAGCCCTTGCTCTCCAGTTTGTTCAACCTTTCCTCCAAGGAGAATGAAACAGGCACTGGAAGTCATGAACAATGTCCGAACCAGAGGGAGCTCATAAGGAAAAGCAAAACAACTTCAATTATGGGGTAGAAACTCAAGTAATTAATGTGGAAAGAATTTTCAAGCTCTAGAGCAAAACCGAGTTTCTGATCTTTGCAGATTTTCTGTTGTTCATTCACAAACATGTATCCAATACCCTCTAACTGGCATGACTCTGTGCTGAGAGTTGTAAGTCATTTAGAGTTACTACTTTAAACTGTAACATTGTTACTTGATCAGTGTTATTGAGAACTGAAGTTGTTTAGAGGAAGGATAGTTGGAAGGAAAGAAGACAAAAATGGATTGGCCAATTTATGACTTGGATCATCAGTCTCTCAAACTGATTATTTTAATTAAAAAAAGTTATTATTTGTGCAAATTTATGGAGTACATGAGAGATTTTGTAACATGTATATAATGTGAAATTTATTATTTTAAACAGGTGTTTTGTTAAACATATTTTAAACAATGAGATGATTTGGCTGTGTCCCCACCCAAATATCTTCTTGAATTGTGTTACAGTTTCCATAATCCCCATGTGTCATGGGAGGGACCTCCATGCTGTTCTTCTAGTAGTGAGTAAGTTCTCAGGAGATCTGATATGGTTTATAAGGGGCTTCCCCCGGGCCCCCTTTCACTCTGCATTTCTCCTTGCTGCTGTCATGTGAAGAAGGACGTGTTTGCTTCCCCATCTACCATGATTGTTAAGTTTCCTGAGGCCTCCCCAGCTATGCTGAACTGTGAGTCAATTAAACCTCTTTCCTTTATAAATCACCCAATCTTGGGTATGTCTTTATTAGCAGCATGAGAACAGACCATTACAAACACGTTTGCTTGTGATGACTTAATTTTCTTTCTTTCTTTTTTTTTTTTTTTTTTGAGACGGAGTCTTGCTCTGTCGCCCAGGCTGGAGTGCAGTGGTGCGATCTTGGCTCACTGCAAGCTCCACATCCTGGGTTCATTCCATTCTCCTGCCTCAGCCTCCTGAGTAGCTGGGACCACAGGTGCCCGCCACCACGACCAGCTAATTTTTCTATTTTTAGTAGAGACGGGGTTTCACCATGTTAGCCAGGATGGTCTCGATCTCCTCACTTTGTGATCCGCCCGCCTCGGCCTGCCAAAGTGTTGAGATTACAGGCATGAGCCACTGCGCCCGGCATGATGACTTAATTTTCAAAAAGGACTTGAGACAATTTAAACCAAAGCACATGCAAAACTCAGGAGGGAGGCAAGCAGGATAGACAGCAAGGTCTGAAAAGTAATGTGGCAGAAGCAGGCAGGACACACAAGGGGCCACGGAATTATATTGCATTTCCATTTGGATTCTGAGACTCCCATCTCAAAAAAATCCCAGGGTAGAGGGGAGGGTGGTAGGGTAGGGAAGATAAAATCAGTAATGAGAGTAAACTCAGGGGAGAGAAAGTTTTCTGAAGTCGTTACAAATAAAAGGCTTTTTGGAAGAGAAGTTTTTTTTTTTTTTTTTTCTTTTTTGAGACAGGGTCTCACTCTGTCACCCAGGTTGGAGAGCAGTGGTGTGATCTTGGCTCACTGCAACCTCCACCTCCCGGGGTCAAGCCATTCTGCCACCTCAACCTCCCAAGTAGCTGGTACCACAGGTGTGCACCACCAAGCCTGGCTAATTTTTTTTTGTATTTTATTTAGAGACATGGTCTCACTATGTTGCCTAGCTTGGTCTCAAATTCCTGGGCTCCAGCGATCCACCCACTTTGACCTCCCAAAGGCCGAGGCATGAGCCACTGCATATGACCTTGGATGTGAGGTTTCTTAGAATAGACGTAGGAGGTACAGGGGCCCCAGCTCCACAACGTAAGCAGGTCCAAATCAAATGCTTCATGCTTTCTGCCCTGTTTCTTGGAGCTTCCCTGGTGAAAATATAAGTCTGTAGTTTTGTTTGGAACCCAAGTATTAAGTACCTAGGAGTTTACTTTACTGATGTCCAGCTGTATCCAAAGAAAAATCCTAAAGTACTAAGAAAAGTGAATGAACTAAATAATTTTTAAATAGTCCTTCCTAGGGAACTTTCTCTCACGCAGCTTTTGGGTAAGAGTTGGAAGGCATCAGTTCAAGGGCTTAGAGAGACGTTATTTTGTGTCCTTATTTGAAGAATGATCTGTAGACTTGAAACCTTATTATGTTGTGATGGAAGGCAGGGAGGACCTGAAGGCAAAGCCAGGAATTTCTCAGGAAACAGTTCGGGGTCCACCTTATCCCATGAACAAGTCAGAGCTTTATTATCCAGAGAGGGCTAGAGGTGATTTCATCCTGGAAGATTTTCAAAGCTCGCGTCCACCACCCCACGAAAAAATCCATCAATGCCCACATTTTTATGGACAAAAAGGCATGTGTCTCCTAAGCCCCTTGTGGAGACTGATGTACCTGAAGCCCTTTTATGCTCACTTGACTCTTAGTCTAGTCTAGGTGACATTTCTCCTTCATATTTCCTGACATGGAGACCGAGTTTCAAATACCTAAAAGCACTAGAATCCAAGAATTCTGATTCCACTTCATTTTTTCTATTAATCATGTCCTGCTACTCCCAACTCCCCATGCTTAGAGATATCAAAAGTGCAGCCATATGTGGAATATTAACTGGGTAACAGCAGTATCACGCTGTTCCCCCTCCACCTTACAAAAAGCACAATCTGCAGAACTGTGAGCTCGGCCTCCACAGAAATGGAAACTCTCAAGCGCTGCCGTGTGGCCATGACAATCCGTGTAGGGGGTCAGAGCTTGGGGTGACCCCAAAGAGCTAAGGTTCCTTCTTAGCCTTTACTCTCACGATGTGGATTTCATCTGAGGAGTGTCATAAAACAAATCACTGAATTGGGTATCTCTACCAAGAAATGCAGTCCTCCCCTATCTCCCTCCCATCCTGACACTCGGCAGAGAGCCTCTGCTGATTTCTAAGCAGCGTGTTATGCCTGCGATCAACCACGTGCTAAAAGATAATGCTGAAAATGACCAGACAGTAGACTGTGAGCACGTCCACGCCCAGGATTCATTTGAAGGGGTTTGTCAAGTCTGGAGGTCTCATCCTGGCTTGGTGGAATCCCAGATTCCCCTGTGGAGCAGACTGGAGAATCCAAGTGTGAAAACACATTTTTGAATCCAGATGCAGCTGCCTCCCTTCACCCTGAAGGTTGACATTTAGAAGCACTTACAAAGCACAAGGAAGTGTGAATAGCAACTGGATTCTGAAAGTAAAACCTCCTGCTTTGAACCTCATTTGCATGCTTTTTTCCCCCAGATTGTTGCAACCAAATTAATTCTCTTCACTGCTCCTAGCTCCTTCTCTCAGAGGTGAGGCATTAGGTGAAGATAAAGGAATGTGAGGAGAGACCCTTTATCGGGGAAGAGAAATGGAGGATGGAAAACAGGGTGGTGATTCAATTACATACAGCACATTTCCTGTTCTTACAGACTGAAGGCTGACAGTTTAAAGAGATCAAAGGTTGCCTTTTGAAATCACCCCCTCAAAGTCTGGATTTCTATTTGTCAGCCATTAGCGCTAGGTGAAATAAATATCTTAAGACTCTGTTACTTGTTATTTTTTAAAGGAGGAGAGCTTGGGTAAGTAAGTAGATAAATGGTTTGAGAAGTCAGTTCTTGCAAATGGTTTGAGAAGTCAGTTCTTGCACCTACCAAGACATACCTACAGCGGAGTCCCCCGGGAAGATTGCCAGAGTCATTTGAAGAAGAGACCTGGAATGCAATTACATACAGTTCTAGTAAAGCCATGGGTGACTGAAACCTTAATTACAATGAAGGAGAAACATACTTTGTGAGCATTTGGAGTTGAATCTTCCTCTTGCCCTTTGCCAATAGGAAGAATAAAAAAAGTAAAAGAAAGGA
The DNA here is from genome assembly GCF_000001405.40 of Homo sapiens. Taxonomy (NCBI): domain Eukaryota; kingdom Metazoa; phylum Chordata; class Mammalia; order Primates; family Hominidae; genus Homo; species Homo sapiens. Next base: position 6,261,732 of record NW_018654717.1, read on the forward strand.
GAAGAGACAGCAAATACTTCTGTCCACACCTGACCTGATTTAAATTTCCTCCAGGGCTCACTAGACTTAGCTCTGAGACAAATGGGTATTTAGTTCAATTGTCTAAGAGGGTCTAAGTAGATAAGGAGAAGAAAGATACTCAGAGTTCAGCTCCTTCTCCACTTCCTGCATCTCTCATAAAGGAAGAACTTGTTGGGCTCTCAAGATTCACGCTCATGGTATGGCCATAATCAAAAAATCAAAAAATAATAGATGTTGACATGGATGTGGTGAAAGGGGAACACTTTTACACTGCTGGTGGGAATGTAAACTTGTACAACCGCTATGGAAAACAGTGTGGCGGTTCCTTAAAGAACTAAAAGTAGAACTACCATTTGATCCAGCAATCCCACTACTGGTATCTACTCAGAGGAAAAGAAATCATGATACGAAAAAGATAGTGGCATACGCATGTTTATAGTAGCACAATTTGCAATTGCAAAAATGATGGAACCAACCCAAATGGCCATCAGTCAATGAGTGGATAAAGAAAATGTGCTGTATATGTATCATGGAATACTACTCTGCCAAAAAAATAAAAAAATAAAAACACGAAATAATAGCATTCGCAGCAACCTGGATAGAATTGGAGACTATTATTCTGAGTGAAGTAACTCGGGAATGGAAAACCAAACATTATATGTTCCCACTCATAAGTGGGAGCTAAGCTATGAGGATGCAGTCATAAGAATAATATAATGTACTTTGGGAGTCAGGGGAAAGGGTGGGAAGGGGGTGAGGAATAAAAGACTACAGATTGGGCACACTGTACACTGCTTGGGTGATGGGTGCATCAGAATCTCAGAAATCACCACGACACCACCTGTTCCCTCAAAACCTACTGAAATAAAAAAAAAATTTACTCTATGGGTTGCTGGATTTTGTTTTCTAACTAGATGGAGGTTTCAAGTCACCAAAGGCCACATGTCACCCTAGAGCCCTGAAGGTAGTATGTGTCTGTGTTTGCTGGGTGCTGCAGGGATGGTCCTTCAAGGTAGGAAAGAGGTTTTTAATTTTTATTTATTTATTTATTTATTTTCCTTGAGACAGAGTTTCGCTCTTGTTGCCCAGGCTGGAATACAATGGCGCGATCTTGGCTCACTGCAACCTCCGCCTCCCGAGTTCAAGCAATTCTCCTGCCTCAGCCTCCCAAGTAGCTGGGATTACAGGCGCCCGCCGCCATGCCCAGCTAATCTTTTGTATTTTTAGTAGAGACGGGGTTTCCCAATGTTGGCCAGGCTGGTCTTGAACTCCTGACCTCAGGTGATCCACCCGCCTCAGCCTCCCAAAGTGCTGGGATTACAGGCATGAGCCACTGCGCCCGGCCCAGAGGTTTCTTTATTCAGCTGCCCCAGATCATGGGGTGGCCCTCCTTCCCCACTGCTTTCTCTTCATCCTCTTGTCTTCAGAAGCACGTCTGATTGTAAAGCAGATTGTCTTCTGGTCCATATGATTTTGGAGCCCTGGAAATATGCCAGGTACTATGTTAGTGTTCGGGACAGAGAAGGGAAGAAGGCGATGTTTGCCTTCAAAGACGCTATTGTCTAGGAGCAGACCTAGACCCAAACCAAAACAAAGTAACACAAAACAAAAGGCAGACTCAGACAATACAAAATAATGTGGCCAAACAGAGCGAGCCCAGGGGAAGGACACTTAGTCCCTACCCTGGGGGATATCTTAGAGGAACCATCACTTGAAGAGTCCCTTGGAATTAGCTAGGGAGGTTTACAATTTTCCACTCACCTCTTTGACAGAAGTGTTTGGAAGTTTCAGCTGACAGGGCTCTGGCTCACCACAGAGGATGCTGGTGGCGCTGCTGGGGATGCCAACTCACTAACAAGGACAGTGAGTAAGGGCTGAGCACTTGCCGTAAGGTCCCAAACTTGTCACCTCTCTGGATAACATTTTTTTTTTTTTGAGATGAGTCTCGCTGTATCGCCCAGGCTGGAGTGCAGTGGCGCGATATCGGCTCACTGCAAGCTCTGCCTGCCGGGTTCACACCATTCTCCTGCCTCAGCCTCCCGAGTAGCCGGGACTACAGGCGCCCGCCACCACGCCCGGCTAATTTTTTGTATTTTTAGTAAAGACGGGGTTTCACCATGTTAGCCAGTATGGTCTTGATCTCCTGACCTCGTGATCTGCCTGCCTCAGCCTCCCAAAGTGCTGGGATTACAGGCATGAGCCACTGCGCCCGGCCCTCTCTGGATAACATTTAATTTTATTTTATTTTTTAATCTCTAGAAACTTCAGGTTTTCAAAATTTGATGTCTGGCAATTAAAGTGCATTGACTAAACCAACCTAATTTGCTTTCTCAGAGTTTATAAAAAACACATACAACTGCCAAAGCTTTTGATTATTACAGGATACCCAAGGGAGAATGTGGTGCCTTATGAAATCAACAAAATGTTCTGATTCCTGCATGCAGCCCTTTTGTGCTGGGACAAGATTTGCACAAGCCTGCGCTTGTCTTTCTTGTTTTTGTTGTTTGTATTTTAAAGATACTGAAGAAAGCAACCAGCTCTTTTATGCTGGTCAACTCTAACTTCACTTATTAGGGACTGTGCCTGAATATTAGATAGCCTAGGATAATTTGTGACTTTTTATTCATGAGCGAGCACACTTACTCCATTTAATTATTTGGTTGACACCAGCCATTCTCTTTTCTCTTGTTTTTCTTTTTCTTCTCCTTTTTGAAGACAGGGGTTCCCTTTGTTGTCTAGGCTGGAGTTCAATGGCATGATCACAGCTCACCGCAGGCTCAAACTCCTGGACTGAAGTGACCCTCCCACCTCAGCCTTCCAAGTAGCTAGGGCTACAGGCATGTACCACCACACCCTGTTAATTTTTAAATTTTCTGTAGAGATAAGGTCTTGCTCTGTTGCCCCAGCTTGTCATAAACTCCTGGGCTCAAGCAGTCCTCCGGCCTTGGCCTCCCAAAGTGCTGGGATTACAAGCGTGAGCCATTCCACTTCTCCACGACACCTCCAGCTTCTTCGTGGAAGAGATCCAAACGGCATTCATCGTCTCCAATATGCTAGGAAATTCAGGAACCTAAAACATCAAGCTAAGAAAAAAACAAGCAAACTTACGTTCCTGATAATTACGAAGAAACTCATGTCCCTGTCTTGTGACCCTAGAATCTTTCATGAGGTGACTTCCAGGCAGGTAGCTAGCACTCTGATCCCAGGCAGACTGGTACCCACCTCTCTGTTCTCTGCCTAGACCAGGACATCTCTGCATCATCCAGGGCTTCAGCTACTCTTTACTCTTCCAAATCCTTGCCTTGGCCAGGCATCTGCTCCCAGGAACTCTTGTCCCCTGTTTCCATGGGCCGGGCCAGAACTCCATTTAGAACTCCTGCAGAAGTCTCAGTAGACTCCCACTTGAACTCACCACCCTTTTCCTTCATCTCAAACCTGTTTCTCCTCCTGCACTGCTTATCTCAGACAGCAGCATCTCTCTTCACATGGGCAGTGCAGCTATGATCTAGAGTGCAATCCTTATCTCCCATCTCTCATTCTAAAAGGGCTGCCGCTGCGTGCCAAGGATTCTCCCTCCTCATTCTCTCTGTTCCTCCTCGCCTCCTGCTATTTCTTCCCCACAGCACTCTCTCGGTTTGGGCACTTATGATCTTTTGTGGGAATTATGTAAGGCTCTCCTTGACTAAATCCTTTCCAGTGAATCCAGCCTCCACAACCCTTGCAGGCTTTTGTTTGTTTATTTTTATTTTCTTTATTTTTTTGGAGGCAGGATCGTACTCTGCTGCCCAGGCTGGAGTTCAGTGGCATGATCAAACTACTTCCTGCCTCAGCCTCCCAAGTGGCTGGAGCAGCTGGGACTTATAGGCATGTGCCATCATTCCTTGCTAATTTTCTTTATTTTTTTGTAGAGATAGGGTATCACTGTATTGCCCATCCTGATCTTGAACTCCTGGCCTCAAAGAATCTGCATGCCTCAGCCATCCAAAGCTCTGGGATTACAAGTGTGACTCGGCCAGACTTTTCTTTTAAAAAATCAGATCCAATTCTTTGTGGTTGGACTTAAAAAAATAAAAATTTATTCTCACAGTCTAGAGGCTACAGTCCAAAATTAAGATGTCACCTGGGGCTGGGCTGTGGCCTCCAAAAGTGCTGGGATTACAGGAGTGAGCCACTGCACCCGGCCTCAGTGTTTCACACCTGTAATCCCGGCACTTTGGGAGGCCAAGGCAGGCGGATCACTTGAGGCGAGGAGTTGGAGACCAACCTGGCCGACATGGCAAAACCCCGTCTCTACTAAAAATACAAAAATTAGCCAGGCGTGGTGATGGGCACCTGTATTCCCAGCTATTTGGGAAGCTGATGCAAGAGAATTGCTTGAACCCGGGAGGAGGAGGCTGCAGCGAGCCAAGATTGTGCCACTGCCCTGAGCCTGGATGACAGAGCCAGAGCAAGACCCCGTCTCAAAAAAAAAGATGTCACCTGGGCATGCTCCCTCCAAAGGCTCTGGGAGAACCCTTCCTTGCCTCTTGTAGCTTCTGGTGGTTGCTGGCAATTGCGGGCTCTCCTTGGTTTGCAGATGCGTCCTTCCAATCTCTGCTTCCTCATCACATAGACTTCTCCCACGTGCCTATGACTCCATGCGTCTGTGTCACTTCTTAGATGGAGACCAGTGATTGGGTTTAGAGCCTACCCCATCCAGTGTGACCTCATTTTAACTTGAATTTTTTTTTGACTTTTTTTCATTGCAGTTTTTTTTGTTGTTTGTTCATTTGTTTGTTTGTTTGTTTGTTTGAGATGGAGTCTCGCTCTGTCGCCCTGCCTTGAGTGCAGGGGCGCGATTTCAGCTCACTGCAAGCTCCGCCTCCTGGGTTCACGCCATTCTCCTGCCTCAGCCTCCCGAGTAGCTGGAACCACAGGCATCTGCCACCATGCCCGGCTAAATTTTTGTATTTTTAGTAGAGACGGGGTTTCACCATGTTAGCCAGGATGGTCTCGATCTCCTGACCTCGTGATCTACCTGCCTCGGCCTCCCAAAGTGCTGGGATTACAGGCGTGAGCCACTGCGCCCGACCTGTCTGTTTGTATTTTGAGATGGAGTCTCGCTCTCTTGCCCAGGCTGGAGTATAGTGGTGCCACCTTGGCTCACTGCAACCTCCGCCTTCCAGGTTCAACCAATTTTCCTGCCTCAGCCTCTTCAATAGCTGGGATTACAGGCGTGCACCACCACATCCAGCTAATTTTTGTATTTTAGTAGAGAGGGGTTTCACTATGTTGGCCAGGCTAGTCTTGAACTCCTGACCTCAGGTAATCCTCCCGCCTCAGCCTCCCAAAGTGCTGGTATTACAGGAGTGAGCCACTGCACCCGGCCTCTTTGCAGTTTAATTTTAAAATTTTTAATTGTCTTGGGTTCATAATACAGCTCTAACTCTATCTCCATGCTTCCCTCCTTAAAAGCTTCTCAAAGCTTCCCATTTGCCTGGTGCGTGACAATCAAATTCCTTAGAACGGTATATAAGGCTGTTCTCAATCTTCCCATCTCCCCCGCCTCCTTCTGCAGGCGCTTCTCCTGCTGAGCCTCCAGAACAGCCTCCTCCAGGCACGCAGGACCCTCCCTGCTTTGTTGCCAGCCTAGACTTCTTCAGGCTGCCTATGTCCCCAGCTTGCCCCTGCTTGGAATGCCTCCTGCCCCTTCCTCCACCATCCTTCAGCACCTGGTTTAAGTGTCCTCTCTTTTTCTGGGCCACTGGGTAGAGTCTCCACTAAAACACATTGTATTGAAATTATTTCTCTGTCTCCTTGGAAAGACTATCAGCACCTCCAAGTCAGGAGGGTTGACTTACATTTCTGTGGCCTTCCTCTGTTGGTCATAGTGGATACTTGTTTGTTGAATGCCTAACTCAGTAAAAAATCTAGAAATCCAGTGCTGCTAAATTCCAGAGACTCCATAAGGAGAGGAAGCTGTCAGGCCTTTCCCACCTCACCCACAGGGATAGCCACGCAAGCTTGAATGGTAATAACCTTGATTCATATGAATCTTATGGGTGTGTATAGTTTGTTTTAGGCATGTGCTTAAACTAAGAAAGAATAAGAAACACATTTAGAAGTAATAATACATAGCGATCCTTATGTGTTAGTTACTATGAGTACTAATTTCTTTCTTTTTTTTTTTTTTGAGGTGGAGTCTCACTCTGTCGCCAGGCTGGAGTGCAGTGGTGCAGTGTTGGCTCACTGCAATCTCTGCCTCCTGGGTTCAAGTGATTCTCAGCCTCCCGAGTAGCTGGGACTACAGGCACGCGCCACCACACCCAGCTAATTGTTTGTATTTTAAGTAGAGACAGAGTTTCACCATGTTGGCCAAGATAGTCTCATCTCTTGACCTCGTGATCTGCGCACCTTGGCCTCCCAAAGTGCTGGGATTAGAGGCGTGAGCCGCCGCGCCTGGCTGAGTACTAATTTCTTTATTGTTATTACCTCTGTCTCCTCGAGAGCACATAGCTAGTATAAATGGTGGTTTGACCCCAGAGAATCTGGCTCCAGAGTCCAGGCTCCCACCTGCTACATGACATGGCCTCTAGTACAACCATAAAGATAATACCTAACAGATACCGGGGCTTAGCATGTGCCAGGGGCTGTTCCTAAGGCTTTGTGTGATGAATTTCACAGGGAACCCTGGAGAACTTAGCCTAGCTGTACTTTGCTTTCTCCATTTGTAACATAGAATAATACGACCTCCAATCTCATTGTTTCTTTTGTGGTGAGGGTTAAATAAGATAATGCCTGGAAAAATTAGAACTGTGCAGACCTACCTGCTTAAATGAACATTATTCATGCAACCCAATGGATAGTCATAGCTTTAGGGGAGTAAAAGTAGAGAAAGAGGACACATCGCTGGCTGGTAGGAAGTAGGGCCCTGCGGTAGGAGAATCTGAGTTTTGAATGAAAGTCAGACCCGGGCACCTTGGTGGAGGTAAACCCTGAGAAAAATGACTACAACTGAAGCACTCATCTACTATGTTGCTAGGCAGCGGGGAACCAACCTAAAGTTCCTCCAGAATAACTGTTGTCATCCAAACCTGACTTCTAGCCCATTTACTGCTGTCATTTAAAACCTTCGGGCAAGGGTTCTGGGCACGGTGGTTCACGCCTGTAATCCCAGCACTTTGGGAGGCTGAAGCAGGCAGATCACCTGAGGTCAGGAGTTCAAGACCAGCCTGGCCATCATGGCAAAACCCCATCTCTTCTAAAAATACAAAAATTAGCCAGGCGAGGTGTCACCTGCCTGTAATCCCAGGTGACACTCGGGAGGCTGAGGCAGGAGAATCTCTTGAACCTTGGGGGCGGAGGTTGCAGTGAGCTGAGATCGTGCCACTGCACTCCAGCCTGGGCAAGAGAGCGAGACTTCTTCTCAAAAAAAAAAAAATCCTTTGGGCAAAGCAGTGTGGTGGCTCCTGTCTGTAGTCTCAGCTACTCTGAAGGCTGTGGTGGGAGGATTGCTTGAGGCTAAGAGCTCTAGGCTGCAGTGTGTTGTGACTGTGCCTATGAACAACCACTGCATTCTAGCCTGGCCAGCATAGCCAGATCCCATCTCTGAAAACAACAAAACAAAACAACAAAAATAAAGAAAATCTTAGCCTCTCTAAGCCTGTTTCCACTTCTAGAAAATTAGGTGCTTAGATTTGGCCATCTTGAAAATGCCATCCAAGTCAACATTCTCTGATTCCGTGGCCCCCAAGTCTCTTGCATAGGAAGATACTTTCTTACCCTGTCTTTCTCTACTGTTCCAAAGGAAGGCATCTTTCGTGACTTTGATGCTCTGTGTATTTCTTTCCTCATGGCGTCTTTGCTATTTCTCTCTCCATTGGCAAATGTCCTTTGTTTTTAAAACTGCATATAGGCCCCTGAACTTAAGAAAATTTTGCCCAAATCTACTTTCTCTAACCACCACCCTGTAGCTGTGTCTTCATCTGTCTAATTTATTGAGGCCCATTGGCTCTCTACCTATCACCCAACTGCCTCCTGCCGTATTCCCTCTATAATGACTTTAGATAGCTCTCTCTTCCTAAAGGGGGCAAAGGATAAGGAATTTCTCAGCCTATCTAGCAGAGATAGTCTGAATAGTTTTGTTTTATTTTATTTTCATTTCTTTAAAGATGGGATCTTGCTCTGTCACCCAGGCTGAAGTGCAGGGGTGCAATCATAGCTCACTGCAGCCTCAAACTCCTGGGCTCAAGTGATCCGCCTGCCTCAGCCTCCTGAGTAGCTGGGATTACAGCTGCATGCCACCACTCTTGGCTAACTTCTAAAAAATATTTTGTAGAGAAGGGATCTTGCTATGTTGCCCAGAGTGGTCTCCAGCTCCTCTTCTCAAGCAATCCTCCTGTCTCAGTCTCCAAAAGCACTAGGATTACAGATATGAAACATTGCACCCTGCCAGTTCTCCCTTTTTAAAGGGGACAAAAGATAAATAAATCCTCAGCCTATCTAGCAGAGATAGTCTGAGTACTTTTATTTATTTATATATTCATTTATTTTGAGACGAGTCTTGCTCTGTCGCCCAGGCTGGAGTGCAGTGGTGCAATCTCGGCTCACTGCAACCTCCGCCTCCCAGGTTCAAGCGATTCTCATTCTTCAGCCTCCCGAGTAGCTGGGACTACAGGTGCTAACCACCAAGTCTGGCTAATTTTTATATTTTTAGTAGAGATGGGGTTTCACCATCTTTATCCAGGCTGGTCTTGAACTCTTGAGCTCAAGTGATCCAACCACACTGGCCTCCCACAGTGCTGGGATTATGAATATTTTTAAATTAATAGAAACATAAGAAACATAATCTTGGCTCACTGCAACTTCTGCCGCCCAGGTTCAAGTGATTTTCGTGACTTGGTCTCCTGAGTAGCTGGGATTACAGGCACATGCCACCACGCCAGACTAATTTTTGTACCTTTAGTAGAGACGGGGTTTCACCATGTTGGCCAGGCTGGTCTCGAGCTCCTGAACTCGGGTGATTTGCCAGCCTTGGCCTCAGCATCCCAGAGTGCTGGGACTACAAGTGTGAGCCACTGCAATCTGCTGAAACTAAAAATCTTTTTTTTTTTTTTTTAAGAGATCATGGGATAGGAAGGGAAGGTGTATGGAGGTGTGAAAGATGAACAGAGAGAAAAACAAGGAAAGGATGGAGGGAAGACACAGCGAGCAGGGACCACTTGAGGCCCCGGGAGGGCCCTGGAGTCCTAATGTTGGCTTGAAGGAGGCAAGAGAGAAAAAGTCACGGAGAGAGAGAAGGCATTTGGGTGAAGGAACATGGGCCAGATAATGAAAGCCTGAATACCAAGAAGATGAGAAAAGAAGGCCTAGAGTCAGTGTAAGAATTGAAATAAGAAATCGCATTCTCTCAGGCAGCCTAAGAAAGGGAGTCTGGCTCTTTTGGTGTCTCCAAGCACAGAGGTGTGATGTAGACTCAGGAATTTTTGCAAGTCTATTTTGATCATGAGAAACCTTGCCTTGGGCCGTGGACTGTGGCTCAAGCCTGTGATCCCAGCACTTTGGAAGGTCGAGGTGGGTGGATCTCTTTAAGCCCGGGAGTTCGAGATCAGCCTGGCCAACATGGCAATACCTGTCCAAAAAGAAAAAAAAAGAAAGAAAAAGAAAAAGAAACCTTATCCTGGTCCTTCTTTTGTTTGCTTCCTTCAGAGACTGGTTCTTCCTTTTACTGTTGCTTAAATGAGAGTCTGGTTTTATTTGGAGGATGCTGTTTTTTATATTTCCTGATTTTATCTCTATTTGTTCTTTTCTTGGGATTCAATGGGCTTAGAATCAGAGGAAACTAGGAAGTGAATGAAAGCAAACAAAAGGAGTTAGTCTTTGAAATGGTTTTCTTATTCTGTTAGGTCTCCTATGTCATGAAATGACTCTGTTCAAAAATCACCAAAAAATGCAATTCTGAAATGTAAATGCCCATGGGTCGTCTGAAAGGCAGCTTGACCTTAGGCTGAATGAGCCACTGAAGTGATTCATCCAAAAGGGATGGAACTGTTGGGTCTCTCAGAGTAGAAGTCCACTGGGCTATGGGATATGCCTATGGTGGCAAATATTAATCTGACCCAAAAATGTTTGTGGGATTAAGTTGGCTAAAACAAAATAAAAAGCAATCAAATCCCCCCACCAAACCAAGAGCTTTACCCTCATCCTGCCTTACCAGCCAGGTCTGCTTTCTTCCAGAATTTTAGTATCTTCTTTCCTTTCCATAAGGTAGCTCAGAAACATATTCTATTTTCAGTATTCTGCATCTTGGGGTGAAATATTCTCTAGCTCTTTGAGATATTTCAGCGTTTCCTCCTTGCTTTAATAATCATTACAGACCGTGTGACTAAGAATTTCCTGCTTTCTTGGAATGATATTAATGATCTATTTATATGTTTACGTTTTGAAACACTGCAACAAAATAGAGCTCCGCTTATCTTTGTTATTGAAAAAAAAATACATTCTATCTGCTGGCCCCGGAAGTAAGGAAAACTGTTTTCTCTGGGACAGATGTTAAATCCTCCATTTCTTTGATTAATCACCTCCTGTGCCGAGTGATTAAGAGAGCCAGGAACCTTCACTGGGCTACAGACTTGAGATCGTTGAAGTGAATGGCGTTGGACAGTCTTGAGGTTTTAAAAAAAAGTTTTTAATTTTTAATTTTTCTGAGTACATAGTAGGAGTATATAGATATGGGGTACATGAGATGCTTTGATACAGGCATGCCATGTAAAATAATCACATCATAGTGAATGGGGTGTCCATCCCCTCAAGCATTTATCCTTTGTGTGACAGATAATCCAATTACAATCTTTAGGTTATTTTAAAATGTACAATTATGTTATTATTAATTATAGTTACCCTGTTGTGCTATCAAATAGTAGGTCTTAGTCATTCCTTCTAACTATTTTGTTTTGTACCCATTAACCATATACACTTTTCCCCACTACCCTTCCCAGCCTCTGGTAACAATCCTACTACATCCATGAATTCAATTGTTTTGATTTTAAGATCCCACAGCCTTCAGTTTTAAAAGCCTTAGAAAACTGCTTTTCACTGAGAACGCTCAAATTGTGTGACAATAAAAGTTATTTCACACTTCTTTCTGAGAGGCTTCTAGCCTTGATTAGCAGTTGTAAATAATACGTGTATACGCTGAAAATAAGAAAATGAATACATTACTTCCTCAAACAATTATACTGTGTAATATGAGAAATATTTGAAAACTATGGAAAAGGTGGAGCAGGTTAAGGAATATAACAAAAATCCTTTGGAGGTGAAAGTCTAGAAACCACTGTGGAAGATGCGTCTTTGTCTCAGAATTGTTACTGCTGACTTTTGGGTGCAGACCTCTCTTATCAAACCTGGATCAGGAACTCCTTCCATCAAAGCTGACTCTGGGCTCTGAATGCTGCTGTTGAATGGCCAGTCTTACCAACATGAAAAGAAGCCACGATACCAGAGACAAGCGAACAGACATGCAAAATGACAGGAACAGACCACAAAATGATCTCTGTGGTTGCTGGAACAGCAATGTCTGCGAGGGTCACAGCAAGCTGAGAATAGTCTGAATTACTAGGCATTCTTTTCGGATCAGCTGCGTCTTTATCTCTAGTTTGGAGATGTGTAGATTCCATAGCAGCAAAGAAAAGAGGTCATCCAACTCTGGCTTGAGGAATGTGGAGGCTGGCCATAGGTGGTGGAGATACCGTTTTAGTCTTGTGGCAGGCAGAATGTTGAGTTGATGTTATCTGACCTGAAATATGGCCAGTTAGGTTTTTACAAATTTTTACCGTATTTCTGTTCATTTCTTTTCTTTCTCTCTTTCTCTTCTTTCTCTCTTTCTTTCTCTTTCTTTCCTTCCTTTCTTTTCCTTTCTTTCCTTCCTTCCTTCTCTTTCTTTCTTTCTTTTTCTTTCTCTCCTTCCTTCTTTCCTTCTTTCTCTTTTTTCTTTCTTTCTCTCTCTCTCTTTCTTTCTTTCTTTCTTTCTTTCTTCTTTCTTTTTTTCTTTCTTCCCCTCCTCTCCTCTCCTCTCTCTTTCTTTTTTCTTTTTCTTTTCTTTTTTATTTTGAGATGGGGTCTTACTCTGTTGCCCAGGCCAAAGTGCAGTGGTGGGATCCTAGCTCACCGCAGCCTCAAACTCCTGGGCTCAAGCGATCCTCCCACCTCAGCCTCTCAAGTAGATGGGAGTACAGATCTGAACCACCATGCCCAGCTAATTTTTAATTTTTTTTTCTGTAGAGATGGGGTCTCCCTATGTTGCCCAGGCTGGTCTCGATCTCTTAGGCTCAAGTGATCCTCCCTCCTCCATCTCCCAAAGTGTTGGGATACAGGTGTGAGCTACCGCACCCTTCCTGTTTCTTTCTTAAGAGCATTATTATATAGGCCAAGAGAGTGACAGGGGTTAGATTGCTTGGAAATATTCTTAGATCTTTGAAATAGCATCTGCATTACCCAAATACAGTACCCACTAGCCACATGAGGCTATTTAGGTTTAAATTAATAAAAGATTAAATAAAATGAAGCATTCAACTCCTCAGTTACACAAGCTGCAGCCACATGTGCTAGTGGCTACCATATTAGCCAGGGCAGATAAGGAACATCTCCAGCATGGCAGAATGTTCTAAGTACTGCCCTACAATTTCTTGAGTCCATTTGTAAATATTATGTAGCTACTATATTTCTTTAAGCTTTCCTATCTCTTTAAACTTTTCCATCTGTAAAATGAGGCTAATAAGTTCTCTCCCTCAAAAGGCTGCTATGAAATGTACTTATCTATTATTTTTTGAGACAGGGTCTCACTCTATCACCCAGGCTGGAGTGCAGTGGCATGATCACTGCAGCTTCCACTTCTTGGGCTCCAGCAATCCTCCAACTTCAGCCTCTAGAGTAGCTGGGACTGCAGGAAGGCCACCATGACCAGCTAATTTTTGTACTTTTTGTAGAGACGGGGTTTTGCCATGTTGCCCAGGCTGGTCTCAAACTCCTGGGCTGGAACCATCCACCTGCCTCAGCTTCCCAGAGTGCTGGGATTACAGATTACAGGTGTGAGCCACCACGCCTGGTACTATGAAATTGAAATGAGATATTAACTGTATATAAAGCACATATTCTCTTACCCGGTGCATTATAATATTATAATAAATGGTAGTTCACAGCATGTCCATTCAGACTTGGGCCGAACACATTTGTATTTTAAAAGTGCCTGTAATCCAAAAAGCTTTTGAAATGACTTCCTTGTAAATCAGACTATTTTTGCAGAAACACATCACTTATCATGTTGGTGAGTGCCATTCTCAGATTCATAAAAAGAGTAAGGTTTTTCCTTTCCACAATATTTTGTAATTTTTTTTTTTTTTTTTTAGACATAGTCTCACTCTATCGCCAGGCTGGAGTGCAGTGGCATGATCTTGGGCTCACTGCAACCTCTGCCTTCCCGGGTTCAACTGATTCTACTGCCTCAGCCTGCCGAGCAGCTGGGACTACAGGCGCCCGCCACCACGCCCAGCTAATTTTTGTATTTTTAGTAGAGACGGGGTTTGACCATGTTGGCCAGGATGGTCTCGATCTCTTGACCTCGTGATCTGTCTGCCTCGGCCTCCTGGAGTGCTGGGATTACAGGCGTGAGCCACCACTCCTGGCTGCTGTTTTGTATCTTAATAGGAAAGAGAGGTTGGGCGTGGTGGCTCATGCCTGAAATCCCAGCACTTTGGGATGCTAAGGTGGGCGGATCACTTGAGGTCAAGACTTTGAGACCAGCCTGACCAACATGGTGAAACTTCGTCTTTACTAAAAATACAAAAATTAGCCAGGTATGGTGGTGCATACCTGTAATCCAAGCGACTTGGGAGGTTGAGTCAGAAGAATCTCTTGAACCCAGGAGGAGGAGGTTGCAGTGAGCTGAGATCACGCCACTGCACTCCAGCCTGGATGACAGAGAAAGTGAGACTCCATCTCAAAAAAAAAAAATTAAAAAAAAAAAAAAAGAGAGAGAAAAGGAAATGAGAAGACCTTATGAGTTGTAACACTTTTAGCCCTGAACTCCCCTCCCCTTTAAAAAAAAAATCCAGTGGCTGAAAAATGTGTGCAGAAAGGTGTTTATTACTATAGGTGTCAACACAGCCTTGAGTCCGGACAGACAAGCCAGCTGCTCTCATGCGACCTGTGTATATACAGCAAAGGTAATTACTTTGGGCTACAGCTACTAACATGATTTAGCAAACTCCCTGCCTGCAAAAGTCTCATCATCCCCTAGAGAATGGGCCCAAACTCATTGCAACTGTGCAGACCTACCTGAGCTTTTCCTGCCACAGGCTCTTTGAGATCTGTTATAATTTGCATTCCTTAGGCAAATGGAATTTAAATTCCTTAGGCAAATTTCATCCTGATGGAACACCAAGATGACATGCATGGCATGATCTCATTGTTTGGGATTTCTGCTTTAGAGTCATTAACATATGCTTCAACAGGCAGGGGAGGGAAAGCAGCTGGGCTCAGTTCCACTTTGCTTTCCTGAGTGCTCCCTCACAGCTGAATAACCCTTGCTTTTCAAAGCACCTTCACAAATATCTCTGTGGCGCTTCCTGATATTCTTGTGTGGTGGTGAGGGCATTATGCGGTATTGCAGGAAGAGTTACAAGACTGGTATTCTGGTCCTGGGCTGCAAGTTAAGAAGCCTGTCAGTAGATGTTCCCGTGTACCCACTAAGAAATGCATGATAAGAGAGAATGGGTGCGCTGTGATCAGACCACATGTGTAATTAACTGTTCTGTTCTTGCACAAGGGGAGAATCAGGTCCTATGTGTCACAAGGAGGATAAGCGGAGTCTTTCTACACTTCAAATCATATTTGATTTACGAGACAGACCTACAAAGTCTTTCAACCATCAGCCTGAAATGAAACTTTCTCCTCCTACTTATCTTCACCGATTTAAATTCTCCTGTCATCTTAGTAATAGGGTGACAGAATTTCCTTGGGACGCTGACTCAGGTGGCATAAACCAAAAAGTATCTGAGACAGGTCTCAATCAATGTAGATGTTTATTTTGCCAAGGTTAAGGACAATGCCTGGAAGACAGGTCTGTGAATTTCTGCAAAGATGATTTTGAGGCTTCAGTATTTAAAGGGGAAAGGCTGGTTGGTGGGGGAAAGAGGGAGGGTATTACTAAATCCACAAGTCGCCAGAGAAAAGGAGCACGTAGGGGGCTGGGCATGGTGGCTCATGCCTGTAATCCCAGCAGTTTGGGAGGTCGAGGCAGGCGGATCACTTGAGGTCAGGAGTTCGAGACCAGCCTGGCCAACATCGTGAAACCCTGTCTCTACTAAAAATACAAAAATTAGCCATAGAATGGTGAGGACATGTAGGCTTCACGGGGTGCATGTGAGGCTTAAGTAAGCATATGAAAAGAGGATAAAAGTGCTGTAAAGACACATGAATGCAGCTGTAAAATCCCCCATACCCCTATAACCTCTCTCTTTCTGCACTCCCCTATCTAGTGATGTTGGAAAGTACCTATATCGGATTATTGTCTTCCTTCATTTTTCTTTAGATCTTACTTTTCAGAAATTTCAGTTGTCTCCACAGCCCTGAAAACAAATCTCTTAAAGAATCATGTAATGTTGTTAGATTTTCCCAACTTATTCCATTAAATTGGTAGATAGGATGCTTGGAGTGTGTAAAACAATTACCTTGAGCTTTGTTAAACCCTTAGCTTCTCCTTCTGAGTGCATAGGAACCTGTCCTAGTGCTCATCACGTGGCACTGACATTTCTATTTTAAAAATCTGTGAGGGCAGATTTTAATTCTGCAAGGGCAGGGTGATACCAGCCTTGCTCACAGCTTGATCTCGTGCCGGATACATAGTTGGTGAAAAACTGACAAAATGTGTTGATTAAGCAAGTAGCAGGTGGTGTGATAAGAGCAATCTAAATCCACACTGGGGGCTTGTGAGGGTGGCTACTCCCTCCTTGGTAACCTTGTAAACTGTTGGGAACCAATGACTCCCGGTCTCTTCAAATAAAGTACTAGGTATTCAGGCCTATGATATTTTGATCTTTATTTTATACAGCTCTGAACAAACCAGGTTTGAAGAGTCAAAAAAAAAAAAAAAAAAGTCCCTGATGTGTGTGTGTGTGTGTGTGTGTGTGTCTTTTAAAAAATGATAAGGGGAAGGCTGGGCATGGTGGCTCATGCCTGTAATCCCAGGACTTTGGGAGGCCGAGGTGGGGGATCGCTTGAGTCCAGGAGTTCGAGACCAGCTTCAGCAACATGGTGAAACCCCATTGCTACAAAAAATACAATAATTAGCTGGGTGTGGTGGTATGCGCCTGCAGTCCCAGCTATTTGAGAGGCTGAGTTGGAAGGATCGCTTGAGCCAGGGAGGTCAAGGCTGCAGTGAGCCTTGATCATACCACTGCACTCCAGCCTGGGCAACAGAGTGAGACCCTGTCTCGAAAACAAACAAATCACAAAACAAAAAAAACAAAACAAAACGGATTATAAGGTTAGGGCCCCCCCCCACCAACCTTTTTCTATGCCCAAAGTAAGTATTTGTTGAAATACAACCTCTTCTAGGATAGACATCACATTGGGAGACATGTGATTTGTTAAAATGCCATCACAAACTGTTTAAAATCAGTAGCCATAGTATCTATATATAGTATCTATGTCACCTTCATCAGTTTAAATTTAAGACTCCAACAGGTTAATTTGTCTTTTTCAGTTTAAAACTTAAGATCCCATGAAGTGGCCGGGCGCGGTGGCTCACGCCTGTAATCCCAGTGCTTTGGGAGGCCGAGGCGGGTGGATCACAAGGTCAGGAGATCGAGACCACTCTGGCTAAGACAGTGAAACCCCATCTCTACTAAAAATACAAAAGTTAGCCGGGCGTGGCCGCGTGCACCTGTAGTCCCAGCTGCTGGGGAGGCTGAGGCGGGAGAATGGCGTTAACCCGGGAGGTGGACCTTGCAGTGAGCCGAGATCGCGCCACTGCACTCCAGCCTCGGCGACAGACAGAGACTCCATCTCAAAAAAAAAAAAAAAAAAAAAAAAAAAAAGTCCCATGAAGTTGGAAATTTCCAGTCTCTGTCATCTGAAAATCAGCAGTGAATGAAAAGGAGGCTTTAAGATGATCGGGATCCTAGATGCTCTTCCCTTTGCAGTAACAGAAGCTAATCCAATCAGTTCAGTATAGCAAATAATAAATTTATCAGGTGCCTACAAGTACAAAATACTGAAAGCCGCTGCAGGGGATTATAAAGATGTGTAAGAGACAAGCCCTGCCCTCAAAGAGCTTACAATCTAGGCAATTAGTCACACAAATAAGTTGTGATGGCGCTCTAAGTGACCTCAGCAGAGTTCTTGAAAATGTTCATATCCTTCAAATTCTTCTCTTGTCAAATTAAACAGTGGGAAAGAGAACTTTTGTGGCATTCACTGGTGACCCTGACTCTGCTTGCAAGCATCTTTCTGCTGTTGCACGTTGTCGTCATCCTCTCAGCGTCGTTTCCTAACTGGACCTTTGTTGGAGAGAATCTCCGTGCTTCCTGAACCTTCACCAGGGTTTCCTGTTTGGGAGTGGGTGGCTCAGTTGCAGTTTGGCCTTGGAATGATTTGCAGTCCGATTTTTCCTTCAGCAAATCGCTCTTTTGATTGTAGTTGATGCTAAAATGCTATGCTTTGCAATCTGTGGTTTTAAGGGTGGGAGTGAGATGCAATATTAAGGAAGGCAGCCCAGACTTTTCCCTTACTTTAAACATTTAATAATAGTGCACTTATTGATTATAATCTGTACAGATATAGAGCAAGTTATAAACCTCTTCCTTTTATTTATTTTCTTCACTTAGACTGTATTCACGTAAAGTGTATTTACAATAAGAAGAAAAAAGCCTTGAGGTACAAAACCCAAAAGAATATCTGAGGTATAAATACAAGTATATCTTAAATAATAATCTTTATCATGCTTTATCTATGTTTGAAAGCACAGTGGACATGTTTCTTAATAGAATGGTATATACAACATACAATCTTACAAATCTGGAAGCCATCAAAATTGAATATCCATGTATATCTTCATGAGGAACACTGATATCCAAAATACTCAAATTTTAAAACTCTAATCTGATGCCCTGCCCCAAAATTCTTCAAAGAACCTTTGAAATAACACTGAAAATGGTAACTAAATTATAACAAAATAAAAATCCTTCTTACAGCTCTCATTCATACATTATTCACTTTTGATCCATACACAATAAATTTACTAATACTGTCTCTTGAGTCAATCCTTACCATTACAGTAAAACCTGAATAAAGACCACCCTTCTAAAGGTTCTAAAAAACTTCACTGGTTTGGGTTGGTTTTCTTCTTGTTGCGTTTTACTATGATTACTATTTTTCATTACCACTTAAATATATTTCCAGGGCATTCTAAAGGAAAAAAAAAAAAAAAGAAATGTAGGAAAAATAAAATAAGACAAAAAGTCATAAAACCAGAAAACCTATTTGCTGATAAGAACAAGCCCAATGAATAAACACATGTGGCTTTCAGGAATGCCGTTAACAACCAAAGGCGGGGAAAAAGCCTTTTGTAGGTGAGTTAAATTTACAGGGATTTCCTTGGGACACACATAGTTTCCTATATTCCCAAACATAGTGTCTTAAGGCGTTTCTGTTACAAACACAAAAATGCAAAGAATTCTAACAGGGAAAAAGTGTTGATGCTTGATTTAAGAGTAAGTGTTATCGTGTTCAGTTTTTATATCTCGACTTAAACAAAAAACAAAACAAAACAAAACAAAACCCTGTGGATCAGAGCCAGTAAGGCTGGAGGGAGCAGTTCATCCCTGAACTAATCCATACTGGTTAAAACTACATCACTATTTGCAATCGGGTCTAAAAATAAACTGCATTTGGAATGGGTGTAAGAGCCAACCTATTACAATCAAAGTACAGAAGAGGTTCGTGGAAAAGGAATATGCTTAATAACTTCGAAAAAAAATACCCATAAATGGACAAGGGTGTTGGGCCCCCTTTCTGGGTGGATTCAGGGGTAGTCAGATATTCCAGGTTAAACTGAACCTGATGCATCAATCTCCTTCTTGGAGGTGTCTCAGTGTGCCAGACACTGAATCCACCTTAGACATCTATTGCCATTCAGCCAGCAACAAACACACATTCACACTCCTCTGTGCAAACCTTTCTTTGCTCATCTTGGTGAGAAAACACATCCAAGAGTACCAACTATTCCAGTGGATACACCAGTCCCTCAACACACTGCAAATAAAGCGACACAGGTACGCATACACTGATATCACAAGAGAATGAAGTATCTTCATTATCTTCCATAATGTATTTAAAGAGTTTTGCTTCTCAGAAGCAATCTGAATAAGAATACACATAAATTTTTTTTTTTTTTTTGCACAGTCTTACATATTCCAGTCAAGGTCTATGAATACAGACCCTCAACAAACAGGAAGCAGCTTTAAAAATGTATCAAATTGCTATAGTCAATTCCTACACTCCAGCTTGTAGTTTTCTTTGTTTCAGGATTAGACACAGAACCCATTCTTCAAGGACTGGCAAAAGTTCTAGAAACAAACACCATGGTGGTGGAAGCGGTTGCGTTGCTTCAGTGATCACCTAGATTTGGTGTCTTTGGTTTCAGTGTTCTGGTTACTGAAGGAATCCCGGATCTTTACAACTTCAGCTGCACACAAATGTCCAAAAGATTTTGTGTACCATTCTGGCATGTGGCCCCTATCAGAGAAAAGAAAGAAAAGCTGATGAATTATTTAAGTTAGAAAGCATGGAAATAAAATGAGAAACATCTGTTTGCTAGTTCAAATGCATAAAATCTATCATTTCCCATGCCTTTGAATTCATGGCCGAGGTACCATATTTGCTTTGCTTTAGAACCACATTTTCTAAGGGAACCAAATTAGGAAGTGGTCGCTGAAAGACCAACAAACATGAAATGCTACTTTCTAAACACCATTCTTCATGAAGTCACCAAGAAAAAATGACGTGTTTGTTTAAGGCATTCTTTGCATTAGACAAAAAGTCAGAATTTCCTTCATGACCCTCACCATATAAAAAAATCAGAATCAGAACATACCTTAAGTCAACTCTGCACATGTAGGTGAGTTTGGATTTTCCTGGCCCACAGGGTTCAATCAAATACCTGGACAAGAGCACATTAACCCTCACACCCACCACAGGTGCGCGATCGTGATCCACAGAGGTTAGTAAAAGGGCACAGGCTCCTTTGGGTAAATTAGTCCTCCAGGTTCTGTAGAGACAAAACCAGAGGCAGAAATGATGGAATTTCATAGAAGCCAAGTTTAAAATCGTGCTTCACTCTTCACTATTTGCAGTGTGGTGACGGGTCAGGCTCAGTGGCCATGCTGTGTGACCCAGGCCTAGGTAAATGGCATCCTCTAAACTACTTGCTATGGTGTACATGTGTTCCCCAAAAAGCATGTGATGGAAAGTGAATGCCCAATACAACAGTGTTGGGAGGTGGGGCCTAATGGGAGCTGGATTAATGCCAATTATAAAAGAGCTTAAGGCTGGGTTCCATGGCTCACGCCTGTAATCCCAGCACTTTGGGAAGCTGGGGAGGGAGGACTGCTTGAGCTCAGGAGTTCAAGACCAGCCTGGACAACATAGTGATACCTCATCTCTACTAAAAATAAAAAATATTAGCCGGGCATGGTGGTGTGCTCCTGTAGTCTCAGCTACTCCGGGGGCTGAGATGGTAGGATTGCTTAAGCTGTAATCATGCCACTGTACTCAAACTTGGGCAACAAAGTGATACCCCCCCATCTCAAAATAAATAAATATAAAAATAAAAATGGCTTGAGGCTGCACATTTGCTCTTTTGCTCTCCCTTGCCCTCTCTTTGCCCTTCCACTATGGGATGACACAGTAAAAAGACCCTCATTAGGCATGGTGGGTGGCCCATGCCTGTAATCCCGGCGCTTTGGGAGGTTGAGGTAGGAGGATCGCTTGAGCCCAGGAGTTTTGAGACCAGCCTGGACAATATGGTGAAACCATGTCTCTACCAGAAACAAAAAAATTAGCCAGGTGTGATGGCACATGCCTGCAGTCCCAACTACTTGGGAGGCTGAGGGGGGAGGATTGCTTGAGCCTGGGAGGTGAAGGCTTCAGCAGCCATGAGTGTGCCACTGCACCCTAGCCTTGGTGACAGAATGAAACCATGTCCCCAAATCAATCAAACAACCAACCAACTAACCAGATGCAACTCCTTGATCTTGAACTTCCCAGCCTTTAGAACCATGAGCCAAATAAATATCTGTTCATTATAATTGCCTGGTCTGTGAGATTCTGTTAGAGCAGCATTACATGCACGAAGACACTGTACAAGGACTGCTGAATGAGGAACTCTGTACAGAGCCGTTGTTACAGAGGGTTTATGTGCTCAGACAGTCTCCTCTTTGAAAAAAGAGCCCATTTGAAGTGTAGCTTAAAACCATTTTTCTATTTCACAAATGTCTTGGAACACAGACACCTAAAGGAGCGCTGGCTGTTTGAAAAGGTCTGGACTTCCAATGTGACATTTCCACAAAGATTTTTGGAATTCTTCTTTCAGTAATATCTCCAGAGAATTTATGAATTACACATACATCAGCCTTAACCACATCTCCCTTGGGACTCAAATGTTATTTCCTGGCTTATTCATTCACTAGCTGTTTCTGACAAGAAAATCTATCCTAAAAGGGGCAAAAATCTGCTACGAATGAGCATATTCATTGGAAGGGGCCTCTCTTTCTGAGCTCAGTTACCAAAGAGTTCAGACCATTCTCAGCGAGGAACACACTGCTAGAATAAATGTAGATCTGTTTTCCATATTTGAAGGTGTTCACTACTTTTCTGGAAGCATATGTTTTGTTTTGTTTATTTAGAAATAAGGTCTTGCTCTGTTGCCCAGGCTGCGGTACAGTGGCATGCTCACAGCTCACTGCGGCCTCAAACTCCTGGCTCAAGGGATCCTCCTGCCTCGGCCTCCCGAGTAGCTAGGACTACAGGCATGCACCACAACATCTAGCTGATTTTTAAAATTTTTTTGTAGAGATAGGGTCTTGCTATATTACCCAGGCTGGTCTTGAACTGCTGGCCTCAAGTGATCCTCCCACCTTGGCCTCCCAGAGTGCTGGGATTACAGGTGTGAGCCACCATATGCCCGGCCTCTACTTTAAATAATTATACCATCTTGTAAGATCAGTGACATATAGGCTTGGTTCATATATGGAGTCATCCTTGTCACAAAAAAACAACTGGGAAGCGCTCACCTTAAAACAACGTAGTCTCGAGCAGGATGAGGTGCCATACTGTTTTGGACATACTGGTAAATTTCAGTTTGGCTGTCCAGAATTTCGATCACTTTTGAATCCAACAGGTCTACATCCCAGAGGTGCTGTTCTTTAAGTAGGCGCTTTAAGATTTCCTCTGGCACAGCAGGGACTTCAATGACTGACCTCCAAAGCCTCAGAGGGGGTCCTTCGCTCACCTGGAAAGAGGATGTATTTTTCAGTGCCAAGGCAATCCATACACACCTAGTTTTTGAAGTCGAATTGTTAGTTAGACTAACAATTTTAGTTACATATAATCAACGTTAATTGATTAAATGATATAAATAATACTATATAATCAGTATATAAAGAAATATTGGGGGCTAATAAATCTATGACTTAAATAGGCTGCTGTCCCCAAGCATATTTAAGAGCAAGCCAGAAAGTGAAAAAAAGCTGTTGTCAACTCGAGTCAAAATGATGACATTTGAGCCGGGTGCAGTGGCTCATTCCTGTAATCCCAGCACTTTGGGAAGCCGAGGCGGGTGGATCATCTGAGGTCAGGAGTTCAAGACCAGCCTGGCCAACATGGTGAAACCCTGTCTCTACTAAAAATATGGAAATTAGCCAGGCATGGTGGCAGGCACCTGTAAGTCCAGCTACTCAGGAGGCTGAGGAAGGAGAATCACTTGAACCTAGGAGGCACTTTGCAGTGAGCTGAGATCACACCACTGCACTCCAGCCTGGGTGATGAGAATGAAACTCCATCTCAAAAGAAAAAAGAAAAAAATGATGACATTTGTTTTTTTTTTCTGGGACCTATATCAGAGTGCATGCAATAAAGAAATATCAGTCACTGGCCGGGCATGGTGGCTCACGCCTATAATCCCAGCACTTTGGGAGGCCAAGGTGGGCAGTCACAAGGTCAGGAGTTCGAGACCAGCCTGGCCAATATGGTGAAACCCCGTCTCTACTAAAAATACAAAAATTAGCATGGCGTGGTGGTGGGCACCTGTAGCGCCAGCTACTCGGGAGGCTGAGGCAAGAGAATAGCTTGAAACCGGGAGGCAGAGGTTGCAGTGAGCCGAGATCATGCCACTGCACTCCAGCCTGGGTGACAGAGCAAGACTCCATCTCAAAAAATATAAATAAATAAAAACAAAAACATCAGACATTTGCACTCATTTCCAAAGCCGGCAAGGCCACCCAGCCTACTCCCACTGTTTGTTTATTTTCAAGATGGTAGAGGCGGCATCAACATATACCTCCGATGGACCTATCCTGCTGAGCCTTACAAGATGCCTCTGCCCTCAAGAGGTTTACCAGTCCTAACTGGAGTTAATTTCCCCCTAAGGGATCCCCGCTCATTAAAGGGCCAAGAGAACAGTAACTAAGAACAGAGAAGAGTGCAAAGGGATTCTGACCAAATTATGGAAAAATCGAAGCGTGTCATAGGATGTTCCGCATCTCAATGCCATTAGCAAAACATTCTAGGGAAGTCTAGTGTGATTCTGTAGAGCCAAAGGAGTTCATTAGAAATAGTTGAAATCCTCTCCCAAGTGTTACACAGGAAGAAAATTACTCTTGCTTTGCCCGGTTTCCACTCTCACCACGGGGATCTTACTCACCCCGGTGCCCAGCTCTACAAGGGAGGTTGTGGGCTACAGATCCCCAGACAGATTAGTTGGCAAAAGCGTGTTATCTCTGATGGACCCAAGCTTCGACTCCTGGACTCAACTAGCCGACAACAGGGTGAAGCCTTACCTTCTTATAGGACAGCTCAGCCTGCTCCGAAGTGGAGTAGCTGACCCAGCCTTTAAACTTCTCTTTGACTTCTTTAAACAGGCCATCCACACAGTCCTGGAGGAAGTGTTGGTAGTCAGCTGAGTCATCATTACCCAGGTGCCCGAGTGCTTCCAGAGTGAGGGGCTTCAGCTCTTGTTCGGTATAGGAATTACGACATCGGCTCATTTCCTCGGGAACCTGTGCGGAACATGACAGACAGAAAGGAGGTGAGTCCACCTGTACTCAATCTCAATGCCCATCAGTGGAAAAGACTGGGTAGGAACAATGGCCTGGTCCTTAAAGCAGTGCAGGCATCTTCCCGCCGGAGGTGGGCTATCATGCTGACCGCACGTGTTATCACGAGGATATGAACAGATCACCTCCATAAATGTATCTGAAATCTTATTTCCATGTAAGGTCTTTGGAAAGTTAGAGTAGGGGGAGTGAATTACATTGGTCAAAGCAGGTTTCTCAGATACGGAAGTGGATACAGAAGTTTAATTCCAGATAATTTGTTGCTTTTTCTTTCTTTCTTTCTTTTTTTTTTTTTTTGAGAGAGAGTTTCATTCTGTTACCTAGTGGAGTGCAGTGGCAAAATATTGGTTCATTGCAACCTCCACATCCCTGGGCTCAGGTGATCCTCCCACCTCAGCCTCCCAAGTAGTTGAGACTACAGGTGTGCACCACCACACCCGGCTAATTTTTAAATTTTTTTTTGTAGAGATGAGGTCTCACCATGTTGCCCGGGTTGGTCTTGAACTCCGGAGCTCAAGTGATCCACCCACCTCAGCCTCCCAAAGTGTTAGAATTACAGGCGTGAGCCACTGCGCCCGGCTGCTTTTCCAAGTAAAGGGACAATTTCATTAAACATGATTAACTCTAGCTGATACATTATAATATATGTAAATAAGACATTCTCAGGCTATTTATACCGTCTCCAGCTGTGGAAAAGGTCTTCAGGTAAGACATGAACAAGGGTCAAGCCTAAGATTTTGTACCTATTCACATTATCCTTAATAAAGGAGCCAAACTTCTCAATTCCTTACCTGGAAAAGCTTCTTGCACTCGGCGATCATATGGGCCAGCCCTTGAGTGGCAGCTAGGTTTTCATTCAAATCTTTCTGATCTGGTTTGCCCAAACTTTGTTTTCTTTGCATTACCCTAGGTAGAGGAAATACAGGAGGGGAACAGTTCAAATATTTATATATTTTTCTTCAAGGTATTATTCAAGGAAACCCAAAGAAGAGAGAAAAAAAAATTTTCACTGGAATCTGTTTATTGTTAAGTGGATTAAGAGTGTTTTTACTTTGGTCACCAGAGTATCTCAGAGTTTTGTCAACAACACACAAAAAAACATTAAAGAGATATGCTTTTGATGAAATCCAGGTGATTCAAACCATTTAATTAAATAGGTTCCTACTGGGAACAGGGCAGCTTGTAGGGGCTGTGTTTGCATGGTGGGGGAGCAACTTCTGAGGAGTGTGGGAAAGGAGTCCCAGGGAGTTGGAGTAAAGGGTGTCATCATCTTTATCTGCCTGAATACACAGGCCCCCTCCCACAGGTGAGGGCTAAGTCCATTGTTTCCTTGACCTTTTGTCTTCATCTTATTTGATCTCTCTCCTCTACTCATCTCTAGCTCTGTATCCCATTGCAGTTGGAATGCCCCAGTCAACTTTAAGAACTATTTAAATGTGGCCGGGCGCAGTGGCTCACGCCTGTAATCCCAGCACTTTGGGAGGCTAAGCCGGGTGGATCATAAGGTCAGGAGCTCGAGACCAGCCTGGCCAACATGGTGAAACCCCGTCTCTACTAAAAATATAAAAATTAGCTGGGCGTGGTGGCAGGCACCTATAGTCCCAGCTACTCGGGAGGCTGAGGCAGGAGAATGGCTTGAACCTGGAAGGCAGAGGTTGCAGTGAGCTGAGATCGTGCCATTGCCCTCCAGCCTGGGCAACAGAGCAAGACTCTGTCTCAAAAGGAACTATTTAAACATACATTTAAACATTATATGACTTTCAGAAGCAACCTAACCTGCACTAGCATAACTAGGCCCCAGGCCTCTAGCTAAGAAATACTTTTCAAGTTCCTTTAGAGCTGAGGAAAAGGATCAGTTCGATGGATTTTGTCTGTGGGGGTTAAGTCCAGTGAGACTATTTTCTCATGCACGCCAACAGACCAGTCTCAGGTATGTCTTTATTAGCGGTGTGAGAATGGACTAATATAGCGGTCTAACCTTCTTGCTTGTTTCAGGAAAGAGTCCCACAAAACCACAGCTACGGAGAGTCCTAGGAAGAATGTAGGCTGCCCCCTGTGTGCATGCACCTCCCATACAGCCCGTACCTGGGAGAGGAATTCTCTCTCTTCAGGGTGTTGAGATGGAAGAGGGAAGGCGCTAAGCACACGGCCAGGTTGGTTGGGGTCATCTGGTTTTCTTTTACGGCTGCTGTGACATCGCTCAGGAAATAAAGCAGGGTCTGCAGAACCTCCCGGTTCTCGTCAGGCAGCAGCATGATGGCAGCCTTGATGGCCTGCAGGCGCTGGTCCTTGGGCACATCTGCACGACACCAGCACTTTCTCCATCAGCTTGGTGAATTTGCATGGACATTGCAAGGAAATGTCCCAGAGCAAATATCGGCATCAAATACCTCAGCCCAGTACTGAACAAGCACTTGTAGAAAGTGCACTAGAGGTTAATACGGTAAAAGTTATGAATTGCCACCGGCGTCACTATCCTCAAGTATTTCCTGCCTCATGAAGGAGTGAAAAAATTTTTAAACACCCACAATACCCAAACACTCTTAAATCCACCTCAGAGTTCGGCTCTAGAGGATGCCTGCTCTTTTAGTTTACAGAACAGTTTTTTCTTTCCTAAGCATGAAAAAAAAAATCCCTAATTTATCAATCTCAATTACTGAAAACACTATACACTTTTGTTTAGTGTTGATGAAAAATCTTATCTGAGATATGTACAAGAACGTAAGAACACAGATCTCTCAGCCTTGAGTACAAAATGTTCAGTATCTCTGGAGATTTGCATGAGTTTAACTGATTTGTTCCTTCTTGAAGTGGGAAAAGCTGCTAAAATATTCAGTTCTGAATTGAACTGAACTGAAAATATTCAGTTCAGTTCAATTAATAAATAAAATACACTGAATTAGTAATTTCTTAAGTTTTAGAAAGCATGCTCGAGAGGCTATAAAAATGCATATGAATATGCAAATATATAAAAATGCAAATAAACCCGTAAACAATCTACAGGTAGAAAATGCTGATCCCGATCTTCAGGTCTCCTTGAATACATAACTCTTTAAAAGAGCATGTGGTGGAAAAATCAAGTCACTCAAATGTAGCTCCATAGGACAAACTGATTAAACAGCTCCATGGTTACAGCACATAACAAATACCTCGGTGAGGAAAATGTGACCTGTGTTTTTATAAAATATGAAAGGATGAAACAACCAATGAAATAATCCAGACCAGCTCCATTTCTCATAAAATAAAGTCCACTGTGCCAATCCTAGAGACAATTTGAGCGCTAAGAGAGGCTGCTTTTAAATTACGTTGCTGTAATACCACACTGAGCCAAGAAAAACACAAGGCTGTAAAAGCCATAATCCTGATCTTGATCATTAATTTCGACAACTGTTTTCTTTAAGCTTTACATAAAAGTAAGAAGGGCATGGGTATTGTTCTCCCAAGTATTTCTGGCAGAGACTGAGATGAATAACAGAAAAAGATTATTTATTCATTTTACAGCAAGATAAAACACACAGACACCTGTGAAATTTTAAATCCAACGGCCCTCCAAGAGGGGTGTGAAGCAACTGAAATTTCTGTAGACAAGGTGGAGACAGAAAGAGATCTTCGTACCTGATCTTTATCTGACCAGCTCAGATAACACTGTTCTAGAAACTAATGAAAGTCTAACTTTTCATTTTGCACGTAAAAACGTACAATTGCATCAGTCATTAGAGACTGGGAAATTTATTTTCACATCATTCAATAATTACACAGAAACCTGTTCCACAAACAAGGCGGCAAGGAAGAAGGTGATGACATGGGTTTCCAAGAGGTCACCATGCAGACTCTCTTGTCAAAAGAACGCTATCAAGGCCAGGCGTGGTGGCTCACACCTGTAATCCTAGCACTCTGGGAGGCCGAGGTGGGAGGATCACTTGAGGTCAGGAGTTCGAGACCATCCTGGCCAATATGGTGAAACCCTATCTCTGCTACAAATACAAAAATTAGCCAGACGTGGTGGCGCCCTCCTGTAGTCCCAGCCACTTGGGAGGCTGAGGTGGGAGAATCGCTTGAACCTGGGAGGCAGAGGTTGCAGTGAGCCGAGGTCACGCCACTGCACTCCAGCCTGGATGACAGAGCGAGACTCCATCTCAAAAAAAAAAGAATGCTATCAAGGAAGCTACAAGCTTCAGTTGGTCCCATTTTTTCCCAATGCCAACAATCTTAAGATCAAAGGACACTCACATTGGTAGATCTGTAGAAAGGTTTCCGAGAGTTTGTTCGTCATTAGTGGCTCAGGAAGATCTCGAAAATACTGCTTCAGCATGTCTGCCACGTCATAAGCAGACTGTCCTTCGTAGTTGACACAGTCTATGGCACCTTCATTCATCTGGCGCAGAGCCTGAATCCGGGACTTGACCCCCGATTTTCTGAAGAGCCCAACCTGTCGGAAGAGCAACACTAAGTGTGGGGTACATTCACGTGGACGCAGTGTTTACACCACACAACTAGAAGAAGCTGCATGTAATCCGAGCTCCCCTGAGTACGTGGACCCGCAGGCAGCGCTCTCACCTGATCCAAACAATGGTTCCGGAGGTATCGCATGGCCTGCTGGATGCTCTGAGGCAACGGTTGTCCTGTGCGCTGCACGTTGACCGTCAGTGGGACCCCAAACACACTCCGGTCCTTGTAGTCTGGAACCTTGATCCTCTTCATGAACTTGGGCACGGCCCTGTTAAAGAACACAGAGATGGTGGTGTTGGCGGAGACATGCTCACTTGTCTGTCTACACTTGTCCAATTCTGCAGGCAAACCCTGTGGGCTCCAGATCTGTGCTAATACGGTGGCTACTTAAATTTAAATTAAACAAAATGACAAATTCAGTTCCCCAGTGGTACTGGCCACACTTCAGGTGCTCCTTCATCTTTTGTGCTCAGTACCTACTGTATTGGCCTGTGCAGATAAAGAACATTCCTATCATCCAGACAGTTCTCCTGGACAGTGCTGTTCTAGATCTTCTAAGAGTGGGGGTTGACAGGTCCGTTTCCTCAGTTAGGAGCGTCCTTCCACCTTGAACCTGGAGAATTGGGGTCTACAGTCTTAAGGAAGCTGATGGATTTCCTTACAGAATGGCGGTATAGGAAGGAACAAGCAGAAAACAACATGTAATACCCTAATTAGGTGCATCTGATAGAGTGTGAAAAACAAGGTCCCTTTTGTCTTGAAAAAAGGGTAAGAATCACTTCTGAGTTCTTGATGAGATCGAAAGCATTTAGGGTCAAAAGGCGCAGATAACACATGATGGGAAAACAGCAATGAGAGCCTAACACAATGGGAGCCAACTCCAGAGCTCAACAGTGAATGACCTGAAGTCAAAATAAAATCTGCTGCTGATGACCCGGAGAACATTACATCTTTAGGTTTCTAAAGGAAGATGGAAAAGGAACAATGGGGGTTTTGTGAGCCGACCCCAGGCTCCCTGGTGTCCTGAAACCAGGTCCACCCCAGCACTATATGCAACAGCAGGAAACCCATGTCATGCATTTCAGGCTGTCAAGCAGAAATTCCAGCTCTCCAAATGACCTCTCTGAACAGGACCCGAAAGGGCAAGGCCAAACAGGAAAAGAACCTTGTGTAGGATTCCTCCCTGCTCCACAGATCCCACCATGTGAGGCTTTTACAGTTGGTTTTGAGTCACTGGAAACACTGACCAGAACTCAAGAAGTATTATGGACTTTCAGATTCTTGAGGGTTTGGTGGGATGGGGGTGGGCCACTCCGAAATGAGAATCTAAAATATGCAGTTTTAAATAGCCAGCAGGGAAAATATTACTCTAAGCACAGAGGAACTCCAGAGAAGACAGACTGCTTTGCCTTTTGAATGCTCACCAGCAGCCATGGCATGTTACTGTTTATAGCTCCAGGAAAGGTAAAACGAAAGAGCAAAGTTAAGTTTGTATTTCCATACAGTTAAGTGTGTGGTATCATGGCTATAAGTGTGCATAATACTCGCTTTGTCGGGGGAGAAAAGCCCGACGGCGGAATGTGAAAAGAACACATTACGATCCCCACCGAGAATCTGAAGCATGTGAGGATAAACCGGTCAATACTTATTTCTGTCATTCAGAACAAACAACTTCTGTATTTAGCAAGGCTCACATAATAACAGCCTTTGAACGGGAGGTGCTTTGATGCTGAAGTTAAATCTGCTATGAGTCCTAAGGAGAGGAGGAGCTGGAGACAAAAAGAACAGTTTCCTTGCTTTGCCGACTTTCTCAAGCAACTTGGGTTTGCTACAGAGTGCTACTAATGAAATGGGCGGCTTCTCCATTTTTATCAAATATGGTAGTGTGCGACTGGATAATAAACACTCAGATTACTGAAAAGACTTAAGGATTCCCAGATGACACTGAAAAATGCACTGAGATGTCAATCTAGAAACATTTCTCTGCTTGGCACTGACAGCAGAAAAATTAAGATGTACCCAGATTAGGTGATATCCATGACCCATCTAGCCTTACAGCCTACCCCTCACATTCTATATACTAAGGAGCTATATTTTTCAAAGTAATTATGAACAATTTGTACAATGCATTTCATCTCTACATTTGAGTCTATAATATGTTAGAGTAGTGAATTCCTTAAAATAATTATTCACTGTTAGACAGTCTTTGCTAGAAAAAAAGTAACCTGAATTCTTTAGCACAGGTGGATGCTACAAATATTCACATCCAAATTTATTATTATTATTATTATTATTATTATTTTTTGAGATAGAGTCTTACTCTGTCACCCAGGCTGGAGTGCAGTAGCCTTATCTTGGGGCTCACTGCAACCTCCATCTTCTGGGTTCAAGGGATTCTCATGCCTCAGCTTCCTGAGTAGATGGGATTACAGGTGCATGCCACCACACTCAGCTAATTTTTGTATTTTTAGTAGAGATGGGGTTTCGCCATGTTGGCCAGGCTGGTCTCAAACTCCTGGCGTCATGTGATCCACCTATGTCAGATTCCCAAAATGCTGGGATTACAGGCATGAGCCACCACACCCGCCCCAAAATGATTTCTAAAAACAGGCATGAATACGGTTATAAGACCAGGTACTGTAAATCAAGAATTTCAAAGATGGTCTCATTAAATCTTATTGTTTTCCTTTTCCTCCATCCAAAAATACGATCTGATACTGTGCATACATTTACTTATAGTGGATTATTCTTAATATTGGGAAGGAGGTGCCTATACCACGTGATGCAAGAGTAATGCATTCTCACCCCATCAACTGGCAATCTGTCACTCAAAGAGCTGAAAACTCAATCAACCCACCCACGCTGATAATTTCCTAAGACTCCACTGGCTTCAACAATATCAAATGTGGCCTCAAGAATATAGAGAGTGGCTGGCGTGGTGGCTCACGCCTGTAATTCCAGCAACTTGGGAGGCCGAGGCAGGTGGATCTCTTGAGCCCAGGAATTCCAGACCAGCCTAGTTAACACGGTGAAACCCCATCTCTACAAAAAGGAAAAAAGAAAAAAAAAAAAAAAAAAAAAAAGCTAGCCGGGTGTGGTGGAAAGCAACTGTAGTCCCACCTACTCAGGAGTCCAGCCACTCTGGAGCCTCAGGTGGGAGAATCGCTAGAGCCCAGAAGGTCAAGGCTGCAGTGAGCCGAGATCGCACCACTGCACCGCACTCCAGCCTACGTAACAGAGCAAGACCCTGTCTCAAAACAAACAAACAAACAAACAAAAATGCAGAGAGTGATTGCCATAGGATGACAGATGAAATATATTAATAAAGGAGAGAAGTGTCATTTTTTACTGTGGGGACAACCTCAAGGAACTGACCAAAAATATCATTTTCAACGACAGTTGACTGATCATTTAAACTCTTACCAGCTAAAACCATGCTTGTTAGAAGGTGTGTATTTCTCCAGCAGGGCCGTTAGCTTTAGGAGTGAGTATTTCTGCAGCAGGTTCATCTGGGCCACAGACTGGCAGTTAATCTGTAGTGATACAGAGTTGAGGCTTGGCCGATGTGAGCTCTGGAAACTGTGCCATCTCAGTCGGTGCCTGCGAGAGAAGAGGAGAGGAAAATGAGTGTGAAGCCTTTTTATTTGATTTTATTTATTTTATTTTTTCTTGCTCTGTTGCCCAGGCTGGAGTGCAGTGGTGCCATCACAGCTCACTGCAGCCTTGAACTCCTCAGCTCAAGTGATCCTCCTGCCTCAGCCTCCTGAGTAGCCAGGACTGTAGGCCTGTGCCACCACATCTGACTCATTTTTTAATTTTTTGTAGAGATAGAGTCTCCCTATGTTGTCCAGCTTGGTCTCAAACTCTTGGCCTCAAGTGATCCTCCCACCTCGGCCTCCCAAAGTATTGGATTACAAGTGTGAGCCACTGTGCCTGGCCCAAAGGCTTTTTAATAGGTAGAAGCAACATTAGCAATGGGCTGCTTGCTGGCATCTTATCTTAGGAACTGATAGGACTTGATTTCTATCCCATGCTTTAATCCCCATTATGGGAAAATATACACAATATAAAGTGCACCATTTTCACCATTTTTAAATGTGCAGTTGAGTGGCACCAAGTTCATTCTCATTGTGTGACCATCTCTGCCAACCATCTCCAGAACTTTTTTCATCTTCCCCAACCGGAACTCTATACCCATTCAATCCTATCGATTTCTTTGAATTTTGGTGCTTCCTGGTTTGACACCTTCCTTAGGAATGGACATGGCTAAGAATGCCAGACTTAATCCCATTTCTTCCCACAGAACAAGCACAGGCAATGTCTTTCTGACCCCCAGTGCCCCACACCCGGAGGCAGGAGAAAAGTTCTTACCTGTTGGACCTGGTTAGGGAAGCCCCAACCCCAGAATCCCTTCTTTCCGGGATCTCGGAGGGCTCTTCCGGTTCATTCAGGGAGTTGCCTGTGCTGTCCAGGTCGCTGGGTGTGGTTCGGTCGTTGTCCACATCCAGGTGTATCTGTTTTGGAGAGGACGGGCAGGGAGAGACCGAGTCCAGGGCTGAGTCCGAATCTCCCTCATCAGAAAACTTCTCCGACCACTGATTGACTATCCGCTGCATCCCCTTCACGTGGTAGAGGATGTCGTCCAGCTCGGGGAAGATGTCCTCGTTCTCCAGATCCGCCAGGTCCCCTGAACTGGAGTAGAGGATGGAGCCCGGCACGTTGTCGTAGATGCTCAGGCGGCTGCTCATGGAGCTGGAAGAATTGCGTCTCTTCAGTTCCTTGGGGCTGTCGCTACTGTTTTCCCTCCTGAGGCTGATGTGGCCAGGGCCGTGGAAGCTTCCCGTCCTCCAGTTCACAGAGCCGTTATTCCCCGAGGGGGAGAAACTGCCATTGGTGAGAGCTTTGGGGAAAGTGCCAGGCTTGTGATCTTCAGGGATGTAGAACACCGTGTCCTCTGGGTAGCTCTCGCGGTTCTTAAAGTTCTGCTCCATCACGTTGTTAAATGTTGACTGATTGAAAGGATCGAAGCCCTCTAAGTACATGCCCACCCGCTTGTTGCACGCACTGAGGCTCCGGGTCCTCGTAACAGGGCTGGGCGTGCTGACCGCGCTGCTGGTCTCCGACTGGCTGCTGCTGCTGCTGGTCTGCGTGGAGTTGGAAACGCTCCTCTTTCGTACCATGGGGACGTTGATGCGGTTGCCATTGAGGGCGGAGATCTCCACGCAGTTGAGCTGCTTCAGCTTCTCCTCATCCATCCCCTCTTGCAAGATGGGCCCGCTGATGATCAACCCCAGCTTTGAGGGCGCTTTGTGCTTGCTGTGATGGGAGCTCTTGAGCTTCAGGCTCTCCATCCGTTTCAGCAGACTGCGCGTCTTGGACTTGGCAGTTTTTTCGTGGCCTTTCATGCTGAAGCTGAAGCTGGACAGTTCCTTGGGAGAGGGCAGGCTGCCGAAAGAGTCGTCATTGCCTGCCAAGTTGCTGGAGGAGCAAACGCTGATGACGGAGTTAGTCCGGGGGGTGGCAGCATCCTCGCTGGGGGGCGCGTGGCTGGGGAGGCTGCCAGTGCTGCTGAGGCTGCGGACGGAAGACACCTCCTGGCGCTCGCTGAGGTCCATCAGCGTGCCTCCGGGGCTGGGGCCGTCCTTCGGGTGGGAGTCGTCTGGGGACCCAGGGACCAGGTCTTGTTTTGGAGAAAAGACATCAAACTCTTCAAGCCGGGACCACCTCTTGCTGTCCCTTTGGAAAGTCCATTTGCCACTGATGGCACAAGGCTCATCCTCGTCTGAATCGTCACTCTGCAAAGACAGAAAGGAGCCATTCACACACTGGGGCTGGCAGCCAGCAGGGAGCAGGGCATGAGCAGGAGGCTGCTCATAATATGCCAGTAGTATCAATTTCCCCCTTGTACTTCATGATTTTAATTTTAAAGTTTTTTTTTTTTTTTTTAGAAATAGGGTCTCACTCTGTTGTACAGGCTGTATTGCCCAGGCTGATTCTGAACTGCTGACCTCAAGTGATCCTCCCACCTGAGCCTCCCAAAGTGCTGCGGTGACAGGGATAAGCTACTGTGCCCAGCCCCACTTACATATTCTTTTTCTTTTTTAAATTTTTTGTAGAGAGCAGTAGTCTTACTATGCTGCCTAGGCTGGTCTCAAACTCCTGGCCTCAAGCGATCCTCCCACGTGGGCTTCCCAAAGTGTTGGGATTACAGGCTTGAGCCACAGTGCCCGGTGTTTTGTTTTGTTCTTTAAATAACAAAGATGTATTTAAAGAATTTAACAGGAGAGTGCCTGACCAAATGTTGCAAGTTAAATAAGAACTATTTTATGGAAACTCTGGGATCCATAGGCTGTTCTTTAATTGCTCATAGAGGAAACCTCTGAGATGGTGAAAATTCCAGGCATGCAAAATATTTTGAACTGAAGTCAGCAATGAGCAGGACTGCCTCTGGGCTGCCTTCCATTGTGCTGTCTTTTGTTGGTGTATGTTTATATTCCCTCTTGCAATTAAAAAGGTAGTTTTCAAACACTAAGAAGAGTGGCAACTTAAATCTCTAGACACTAAAAATGTATAAGGTCTCCCACTGGAGTAAAGGGGCCCTGGATCAAGGTGGGTCATCAAGCAGATTCAGTCCACTATCAGTGCTTTGGAGACTCTTACCAGTACCTTTTCTTCCCCTCCCCCACAAGACATGAAGGCTAGCGCTCAGGCCACAGCTGACCTGTGAAGTTTCAACCTCAGTCATGCTCCAGCCAATTGAACAAGGCTTCACAAATACCCAGCCCTGACAGCTCGCGGCATTCATAAACACTAAGGAACGTCTTTGCTGATTATGCCCGATTTATGTACAGGACTCAGGGATAAGCTGTCACACGGACTATTGCATCTTGGCCTTTTCGGCAGGATATCAAAGGGCACAATTCGGTATGATACATGTCTTTTCCACTGGTGTGGAAAATATCCTGTGGCCCAAGTTTCACAGGACAATGAGTGGCAAGCATGGAGCGCTGGCTTCTAGGACTCTTCTGCATAGCTCAGTGGGCGCTGAGGTTCCAGTTCATTTGTTTAAAAGCTTTGACTCCCCAAGAAGGCAACTTTTTGCAGCTCAGGGATTCTGGCATAATTAAAATTTGAACCCGGAAGTCAGAAATATGTTCTTTGACCAGACTCATTCCTGTTTACTCTAATTTGTGACACTTACTCCCAGTACTACACCCACCTCTTCTCCTAAGATCTCATAAAAAGTCTTCACAACTCACACGCAGAAGAAAATACCATCCAGTTCGGTTGTGTACCACCATTTGACTAAACTGTGTGGGATCTCCTGCCTTCTCCTCTTCCTCTTCCAATTCCTTTCCTCCCTCCAAATCTCTTATTATTCTTCAATATTGCACAAATCGGCCTTCGCTTTCATCTCTACAGCTTTGAAGCACAGTTATTGTTATATTTGGGAAGACAGAAGAGTTGGAAATAAACCTCAGTTTATTTCCTCTATGAGCAATGCAAAAATCCACTGGGATTCCTTAAGCATGATCCCTTTATTATGTAATAGGCATTGAGTTAGTAATTAGGCAAAATAATAGCTGATGTGATCAGGTCAAAAACAATAGATAAAATAATGTAATGGACTAGTTGCAACTATTGGCTTCAACTACATAAGGCTATCAAGTCTAGGCGATATCATTCAAGATGTAGATGCTTACGGAACAACAAACTAAGAGTTGGAGAAACAAAACCTATTACAAAACACATCATTCACTTTTTTGTTTGCCCCTTTTCCCCCTCATTCTATTACGCAATTTGTATACTCACTCGTTTCCGATGAGGACTAATTTCTAGCTTCATCACCGCACATTTGTTTAAAGTATTTAGACGCCTATAGAGCAAAGAAATAACGTTAGCAAAGATAGGCAACCACTCTCTAATGAGTGGATAAACACCTGTTTTTAAACAATTCATATATTTAAGGAGTTTCTTGAAACTCAGTAATACCTAATACCTAGAGGAGTATTAGAAACTTATTTAAAAAGTGAGTCATTTAAAAATACCTTGGCCGGGCGTGGTGGCTCACGCCTGTAATCCCAGCACTTTGGGAGGCCTAGGCGGGTGGATCACGAGGTCAGGAGAGCGAGACCATCCTGGCTAACACGGTGAAACCCCGTCTCTACTAAAAATACAAAAAAACAAGCCGGGCGTGGTGGTGGGCGCCTGTAGTCCCAGCTACTCAGGAGGCTGAGGCAGGAGAATGGCGTGAACCCGGGAGGCGGAGATTGCAGTGAGCCAAGATAGCGCCACTGCACTCCAGCCTGGGCGACAGAGTGAGACTCCTTCTCAAAATAAATAAATAAATAAATAAATAAATAAATAAATAAATACCTTTATGTTTTGTAAGTTTTTCACTTTAATTTTTATATTTTAGTGTGAAATGGCACACAGCTATGATACTGTCAAGTCTCTCTGATTCTTCAACTCTCAATGAGTTGTTCTTACTAAGAAAAATCATTCTTCCAATAACTCTTAGGTTGAGCCATTATGGACTGCCGCACATGGAGCCAAGAAAGAAAAGTTTGTGACTCGGCACGGTGGCTCATGCCTGTAATCCCAGCACTTTGGGAGGCCGAGGCAGGCAGATCACCTGAAGTCAGGAGTTTGAGACCAGCCTGTCCAACATGGCGAAACCCCAACTCTACTAAAAATGCAAAAATTAGCTGGGCATGGTCGTGGGTGCCTGTAATGCCAGCTACTCGGGAGGCTGTGGCAGGAAGAATCGCTTGAACCTGGGAGGTGAAGGTTGTAGTGAGCTGAGATTGTGCCACTGCACTCCAGCCTGGGCAAAAGAGCCAGACTCCATCTCAAAAAAAAAAAAAAAAAAAAGAAAGAAAAGAAAAGTTTGTGATGTCTCCTTTCATAGAAATAGAAACAGCAAAACAGCAACAAAGAACCAAGTAGAGTTTTTGGCAAAATAAATAGTGTCTTGTATTTGAAATCAAAACTCAAATTTAAAAAATTAGTTTTAGTTATCTCCGATGAATCATAATCTTGGACAGCCTGTCTAAAATTTTAGAGTCCTTGCACAGAATGGAAATTGAAGCCCTCTTTAATATCCAATATTTAGAACAGCTTCCTGTTATAGGACAATATAATGTGTGCTATAGTCACGGCAAATGATCATTTAAAGAATTTGCGTACTGTAACTTCAAGGATCCAAATCTTACCGGGTTCAAAATTAAGCACTCAGGTAAGACTCTTTTTGCAACAGCCATCCTATTGTCATTTTGATACCAATACTTTCACCTCTGCCAAACAGCAATATCAATTTAAAATTAGGGAAATTTAGTTTCGTTGAAAATAAAATACTTACAAAAAAAAAAAAAAAAACCCAAAACCTCATGGAGAAATAATGCAACAGTTGAAAAAAGAAACACTTTAAATATGCTGAACTAAACGGTATGTACAACTATGAATGACAGCCCTTCAAGGCCCCAATTTTCCTGCCATCTCCCAGATGATCATCACTTAGTCTTCCTCAAATGAACCTGTAATGTGTCTGTTTGCCATCTGCTATCACCAGTTTTCTAGTTTTTCCTACGAATTGCAATTCTACATTTTCATAAGATCAGATCATTTAATTCACACAAATTCCTGGGAACCGTGAGACCTCCTCAGGGCTTTATCTTCCTGATCCTGTTCTTGCTGTTTGCCTAACAATGTTGATGCAACAGAACAGAAAGCATTTTTGCCTGCCTGATAAGCCCGATTTTGCCTTCATACCTTAGGTGGTAGCCTGTTTATAGAATAAATAAAGATAGCCCAGAGCGCCTAGGTTCAGAAAAGTTCTCTCTGTTGATGGGGAAGAAAAGAAAACAAATAACTAAGAAAAAGTCTGCACACTTTAAAATGAGTGGATATAAGGTCCCTCTATTGGGGGTATCAATTACTTAAATGACTTACACCCACAGTGTTTTAGTTCTCAAATGCTTTCAAGATTTAAAGAATCCGGAATTGTTACAGTTAGTCTTAGGTCTGGGTTCCATTAATCAAACCTGTAATCAAATAGTCACTTGACTTCATTTGGGCTTTAATGGTTGAATGGTGTTTATAACCAAATTTACTAGCCACAGAGGCCTATGGGGCTGGAGAGGGGTTTAGCCTCACAAACTCCAGATTTTAGTCAAACTAAAAAGACCCAGGAGGCCAGTTCTATAAAGGTCAACATTACCTTTTTATGTTGGTAGCACCCAGCTAATGGCATTACAGACCTAAAGCCCAGAGTTATACCCTAGGGTTTCTGTGGTTTTCATTTGTCCTGGAGGACCCCCAAAGAATGTACTCTGCTGGGACCTTATTTCCTTACAGAGACAGTACTGATATCAAATCATAGTTCCAGCTACACAAACGAGGCCTACTGCGGGCCAGGCACTATGCTAGGCACTTCCTATATATGACTTCATCTTCCCAACGACCCTATGGTACAGATATTATGATTAACCTAGATTTTACAGATGAGGAAATGGGGCTCGGGGAGGTCACAGATCTTGTCTAAGTCCACACGATTAAAACATGGTGGCTCTCAAACCCAGTAACTTCTAGGTTCCTTTCTTTTTCTTCTTTTTTTTTTTTTTTGGAGACAGTCTTGCTCTATTGCCCAGGCTGGAGTGCAGTGGCTCACTGCAACCTCCGCCTCCCCGTTTCAAGCAATTCTCATGCCTCAGCCTCCTGAGCAGCTGGGACTACAGGTGCCCGCCACCAGGCCCAGCTAATTTTTTGTATTTTTAGTAGAAGTGGGGGTTTGCCATGTTGCCCGGCTGGTCTCGACCTCCTGAGCTCAGGCAATCCGCTCATCTCGGCCTCCCAAAGTGCTAGGATCACAGGCATGAGCCACTGCACCCGGCAATCTGTGTTCCTTTCTAATATAAATATTAATGGTAGTAATAAATGAAAGCAACTTATATCCTAAGGGATTCCTCACACAGTGGCTGATATGCTGGGCGTAACCCATCCGTCCAGAAGCCTGGGCCTTTCCCATCCCCCTAAGGACCCTCCCAGGCTGGGCTCCACAGGAATGTGTCCCTCTTATCTCCTGGGCAACTTCTACCCTGCTCTGAAGAGGGAGGAGTGCAAGGCTGGCCTATCAGAGGTTCAAGAGCTTCTCTGCATGGAGCTGCAGGAACCCAGATAAAAGCACAGCAGGTGGGGACCTGGGCCCCATTGTATTAAAAGTAAAAACAAGCCAAAAACAAAGAAGAGAAGAGGGAGAAGGGGGAAAGATACAATTTTCCAAGTAAGACTCTCACAAATAAAAATGGTTACAATTCTTAAAGATATTTTCTTGGAATCTGTGCAATTGCTTTAAAAAATTACATGCTACTCCCAGCCTTTTCTTTTCTTTTTGAGACAGGGTCACTCAGGTTGGAATGCAATGGTGCTATCATGGCACATTGGAGCCTGGACCTCCTGGGCTCACAGGATCCTCCCGCCTCAGCCTCCCAAGTAGCTGGGACT
Organism: Homo sapiens; assembly: GCF_000001405.40. Classification (NCBI taxonomy): domain Eukaryota; kingdom Metazoa; phylum Chordata; class Mammalia; order Primates; family Hominidae; genus Homo; species Homo sapiens. The sequence goes on from NW_018654717.1 coordinate 6,302,069, forward strand.
ACAGGTATGCACCATCATGCCTGGCTAATTTTTGTTCTTTATTATAGAAATGGGGTCTTGCCATGTTTCCCAGGATGGTCTCCAACTCCTGGAGGCTCAAGGGATCCTCCCATCTTGGCCTCCCAAATTGTTGAGCCACTGTGCCCGGCTACGTGCTTACCTTTTAACAGACCAGAAATTGTGACAAAGTTAAAATCTGCTCTAAGGTGGGCTGCTTTGCATGGCTCAGGCATCTGATGGACTGCTTTACAACAAAGTGAATACTGCAGGTGACAGTGTGGAAATCTATTTTTCATTATACAACTGTCACTTGATGTACATACTTCTTTGCTGTGTTTATAGAAGGAGTCATTTTTAATTCCAAAGGAAAATAGCAATTTGGAATAGTTTTCAGAAGCTGTAGGAAGGCAAGCAATAGAAAGAACATTTCACAAGAGGTATCCTCGTAGTGAATCACAGTTCACAATACTACGTGCACATGCTTCAAGACAAAGCGAATCACTCCTCCAGGATTACCATTGAGTATAGCTCTCATAATATTGGCCTTATCATTGGAATTGCATTATATAGTAAAGCTAGCAAGATCAGGCCAAAGCCGTTTCTCCAAGGGAACAGACACATGAACCCCTTGCAGTGTGAATGTAAAAATGCTGGTTAGCAATCTAAATCCAAAAAATCTATAGTCCCACACTTGTAACTTTTGGTTATTGCCAAACTTTATATTTAAGACTATGTCATTGTTCTCATAAAACCCACTAACTCTACAAGTCTTCTTGCCCTGAGTAGAAAAAGAAGCTCCTACTTACTTCTTGACCAAAGGAGCTGTAAGATCTGTAAATGTCACAGGTACATGAACACTCTAAACTAAGAATAATGCTAGAGTAAATACGAGATCACTTATAAGATCCCTGCATAAAATATGGTCCAGTACAAGGGGAGGAGGTAGGTGGGAAAGATTTTGTAAAATGTTTAAGCTGAATTTCTGCAACCATATTACCACATGTATTTAAAATCAACTGTTCAGAAAATATCAACAAGGCAAAGACAAAAGTCTATAAAAAGTCTGTCAGTCTAGAGAGAACTTCTAAATCACAGGGCAAAATTTCAAATAATACTGGAGCTTCGTTATTTGCTGGCCCTTGAATTCCATAGGCCAAGAAGGTATTTGGAAGAGGCAGGTCTAGCAAATGAAGTGACTATCACATAATCAGTACAACAACTATCTCAACTACACTATGCAGCTGACAGCTCAGAACTTGTACTACGTTTTAAAGAAAGTTGCTGGCTGGTCGTGGTGGCTCATGCCTGTAATCCCCAGCCCTTTGGGAGCCCAAGGCAGGTGGATCAGGAGTTCAAGACCAGCCTGGCCAGTATGGTGAAACCCCATCTCTACTAAAAAAATACAAAAAATTAGCTGGGCGTGGTGGTGGGTGCCTGTAATCCCAGCTATTCAGGGGGCTGAGGCAGAGAATTGCTTGAACCTGGGAGGCGGAGGTTGCAGTGAGCCGAGATCACGCCACTGTACTCCAGCCTGAGCGACAGAGTGAGACTCCATCTCAAAAAAATAAAAAAATAAAATAAAGGAAGCTGCTTGAAATACACCCGATAGAGGTCCCTTTTCTTCTGAACATTTGTTTAGGCCTCTCGAAAGGGGCATCATTTTCACGAAAAGTCCATTTATGTGGACATGTGGACAAGAGCCCTGGGGTTTTCCATTACAAACCAGTTGATGACTATTACTGTGAACTCTGAAGAATTTCCTTTTTTAAAAAAGAAAATCCAACCCTAGGCCTTTCTGCACATACTCAAATTGGGGCCTGATAATTTAATTTTTAAAGCGCTCTGACATCCATCACTGCATTTCCTATAAGATGTTATTCTATGCAGGAGAGAAAACTGAAGCCCAACTAGCATATGTGGCAGAGTCTGCTTCTTCTAGGCTTTTCTTTTCACCAAAGATCTAGCAGCACAGACTTATTCGCTTCAGAGAAAGGTGGCTTCTCAAAAGGTACTCAGAGCCAGTGTAAATTGCAAAGTACAGAGGATACTTTTTTTCCCAGAAATGGAAAACAACATTTCAAACTGATATTCTGAAAAAGCATTCAAGAATTTAATCATGACCCTTTGGCCTGAAATGCTGCAGTGATATTTTTATGACCCAAGAATTCCTAAGCTATTGCTGCTGTCCAGAGTGCCCACTCTCTAACTGCGTGAAATGATGTAATGCTTAAATATTTCCTAAGATGCATCTCAGAAGTGACCTCATGCATATGCATGATCAGCAGTGATGGATTGAAAACAGATTAATTCTGCTCCACAGCTAAGCATGAAAACATTAAAAAAATGTCTGGAGTAGTTCATATTCCAGATGCAGACTCCTTCCCCTCCCGAAACTGCATCTGGTTTCATTCCCGATGATATAGTAATGATATTACACTCCACAGTGAAGTTCTTGGAATTAGGTTTCTTTCAGAAAATGGGTACACACCCTGTACGTTTCTATCAGTCATTTAATTGGACTACAAAAGTGACAGCGTTTCTGTGGTTAAGAGGACTGTTTGTTTTTTCCTCTCTTAAACCATGAGAACTAGTCTAGTCCATACACTATGCTAAATATCCCATCTATCTGCCCCAAACCACTGCTTACTTTGGCTGCTTCATATAACACTGTATTATATGAGAAAGGCAGAAAACAGAACTACCACTGCTTTCCTTGCCTACAAAGAGGAAAGAAATACTGGGTGTCATTCTACCTTCATGATGTTTTTCCAAGTTGAAAAAAATACTGAGATGGGGTGTGGTGGCTCACTCCTGTAATCCCAGCACTTTGGGAGGCCGAGATGGATGACTGCTTGAGCCCAGGAGTTCAAGACCAGCCTGAGCAACACAGCAAGACCGCATCTCTACAAAAAATACAAAAATTAGCTGGGTATGGTGGTGTGCACCTGCAGTCCCAGCTACTCCAGAGGCGGAAGTGGGAGGATCACCTGTAGCTGGGAGGTCAAGGCTGCAGTGAACCATGATTGTGCCACTGCACTCCAGCCTGAGCGACAGAGTGAGACCTTGTCTTTAAAAATAAAAAAAAATAAAATAAAAAACAGAACAAAAAAAAAAACAGGCTGGGTGCGGTGGCTCATACCTGTAATCCCTGGACTTTGGGAGGCCGAGGTGGGTGGATCACCTGAGGTTAGGAATTTGAGACCATCCTGGCAACATGGTGAAACCCAGTCTCTACTGAAAATACACAAAATTAGCTGGGCGTGATGGTGGGCGCCTGTAATCCTAGCTACTTGGGAGGCTGAGGTAGGAGATTTACTTGAACCTGGGAGGCGGAGGTTGCAGTGAGCCGAGACCACGCCACTGCACTCCAGCCTGGGCAACAAGAGCGAAACTCCTTCTCAAAAAAACAGAAACAAAAACAGAAACAAAAAAAACAAAAACAAAAAAACCCTGAAATTAAAATAATACTTAGTTTCATAATCAAATCAACCTATGTGAGTTTTGTCTGTGTATAATTTTTTTCCCCCAGAATTCAGCTTTTAGGGATTTTAGCTTTTGAGAAAAATTAGAAAGGATGAAAAACTTAAAATGAGTAGACATGTCTTGAAGAGCTTGAAAGGATTATCAGTGTCCCATCATCGACTGCTACAGGTTTTATTACTTCCACCTCACTAAAACCTATAAGCTGCCTCTCAGCTTGAAGACCCAAAACCACAATGATCAAGAATTTCTGACGGTTTTATTCAATTTCTCATCATTTAACTGTCTGTTGCCTATATGTTAAAGACCATGCTGAGTTATTTTATAGCCTTATTTCGTCCTATCATTATTTTATACGAGGGGAAACTGAAGAGGTTGAGAGGAGCGTTCTTGGAATTCAAATGATGCTCCTGTCTTTATATGCCACCCCCCATTTATTCCTCTGAACATGCTTAATTTCCATCGTACCCTTTTAGGAAACCTTAATCCACGTTTCCAAACCACCTGAGAGTTGTTACTTGTTACACCAATTATATCAAATATGGAATGCTATTGTGTGAGTACTTCCTAGGACGGCGTGGATGCTATTTTAATGGCAATACTAAATAACAATATTTTACTTAGTTTTTAATTAAAAGGTCTATGATCACTCTATGGTTTGCCAATAAAAACCTAACACAATTAGCAAGAACAAAAGCAAACAAAGCCTATCTTTGTGAGAAGTACTGTGTTCTTAAAAAATAAAAAAGGAAAACACTCAAAACGTGTCCATTTACCTGCATAGAGCCTCAATGGCATCTCTGTCCAAAAAATCATGCTCTCTCTTGACCAAGGAAATATCGATGGGGAACAGGAAATCTATGAGAAAAATAAACAGATGTATTTGTTGAGCGCCTAAAACCCAATTTGCCAAATAGCCCAGTTTACCAAAGCAGGGATAAAACTCTTCAGCAATATACTAAGCACCTACTGTAGGACACCTCATTCCCCGTCAAGTTCTATGGGACTATAAGGCAATTGAAGCCAATCGGGCATCACTGTCCTAAAGGAGCTTCGGCTTTAATGTGGGGGAAACTCAAAATATTGCTTCTGGTCAAGGAGAAGTGGTTCAGAACATTGTTATATGTTTAAACAAATCAGCAGGCAATGAGTCCCCAGTAGAAATTATAATTTAAGCCACAATGACTGTCAGAAGAATGCTCCGTTTTAATGTGGCTGGGCTGTGTGTATGTGTGTGTGTCTTTGCTCACGTGTGATCAGGGAAAGGTCACGGAAAGAAAACTGAGCCACAGAAAGATCTAGAGAACAATGAAAAGTGGTAGGAAATGGAATGTAATCCACTCACATGGCATCAAGAGCTAAGGAGAATTCAAGATATGCTTTTTAAAAACAAATATTAGCACTGCAATATGGCCTTGCAGAAATTGATATAACTCCCCTAAAAAGAAAGGGCTAGCTATGAAGTTGCTATAGAACAACAGAATCTCAAATCCTTTAATCTGTAGAAGAGTTCATTCAGTTCTCTCGAGACAATGAAGAAGCTGTATCAGAACTGAAAACCAGAGAGGGGGAAAACAGTCAACTCAATGGAGGAATTCCTTTCTCTGGACTACATAAAAAGATCCCTTGGTAAGTAAATATACCCAAGAAAAGGAGAGCGGAGGTAGCCGCTGTGGAAATTTACAACAGCTCTGAAATTGCCACTGGATAAAGGCAAGTTATCACCCTCTTGGAGTCCCAACTATGAGGGCAAATCATGGGCCTCCTCAGTAGAGTGCTACTACAATACCAGGAAGAGGAGTGTCTCGGTGTAGGGTAACCCTTTGGACCAGACCTGGGTGAAATCAGTCATCACAGCAGGAAACTAGAATCACCACAAGCTAAAAAATTCTCTTTGGCTGGGCACTGTGGCTCACATCTGTAATCCCAGCAGTTTGGGAGGCCCCAAGGACAGAAGATCATTTGAGCTCAGGAGTTTGAGACCAGCCTGAGCAGCATGGCGAGACCTTGTCTCTACAAAAAAAATCTAAAAAAATTTTACTGGGCATGGTGGCATGCGGGCTGTGGTCTCAGCTACATGGGATGCTGAGGTGGAAGATCACCTGAGCCCCAGAGTTTGAGGCTGCAGTGAACTCTGATTATACCATTGCACTTCAGCCTGGATGACAGAGTGAGACCCTATCTGAAAAAAATAAATAAAAAATAAAAAAATCCCTTTGGCCTTCAAAATGGCTAATGCCACACAGTGGAACAGACATGGCTGTCAGCAGTTTTGGAGATGCAGGTAATTAGTCCTGCTCCAGCTCCTGCGGGTGCACAACTGTTCATTATGTTTTTATTGTTTCTTATGATTACTGGTTTTATGGAATGATACGGAATTTCTTATTCTTAGTAATCTATTTTCTAGAGATAATATATCAGAATGAGTATAAAGTTATAGTCTATCCTTTTTTTTCTGAAGGCTACAGTTGGATTACTGACATTGTTCCCTAAATGATAATATAAGCAGACCAAGGAAGTGGCTATAGTCCAGAGATTTATGAATACATAAAATTTAGTATCACAGAATGACATTTCTTCACTAATTTATAGACCAAGTCTCTCTTAGACAAATGATTCATGGAACCATTATAATGGAAATAGAAAGACTTATAGTCAATGGAAACTGGAGCACTAGTAAATGAGGGAAGACAGGTTGTAACATTGTTTGAAGGTTGTGACACTGTATTTTGCTTTTTTTTGTTTGTTTTCAAATTTTTTAAATAGAGATGCGATCTCACTACGTTGGCCAGGTTGGCCTTGAACTCCTGGCCTCAAGTCATCCTCCCACCTCAGCCTCCCAAAGTCCTGGGATTACAGGCATGAGCCACCATTCCTGGCCAATATTTGACTCTGAATACACACCAAGATGAAATAACAGAGCTGATATTAAGGAATATTTTTTAATATTTACAGAGTATAATATCAGATCTATAAATGTAAATTGAAATTTTCATATGCCTATTACCTATATGTGAGAAAGTAACTATGTTATTTTAGGAATTCTAAGTTAGTATACCCAGGGCCATATTTTAGATTCCTTTTCTAATCCAAATTAACAATTTTTAAAAAATCTGGTAGGTATTAAATGCAAGTGAGGAGTGTAAGAATTAAATCAGTAATTTTCTTTTATTTGCCTGGACTCCTTTCTGAAAGGACTGGCTTTTAAAAGATGATAGTTTACTGATGTATAGAAGATGTTCTCTGAACTCAACTTCCACTGTGGGTTGAAAGGCAGGAAGTATAAATTGCCAAGTACCCAAATCAAGCTTAACAGGGGGACATGTGTGGGTTGGTATGGGGTGTATAGTGTATGTACTCACCCAGCACACAGTGGCAGGAAAAACGGGGGGAGGCAATGGCCCAGAACAATACGCAGTGTACCCCAAAAGTAGTCTTATGCTTCAAAAGACTTGGGAACATGAAGGGACCCCAAATGTAACTTGTGCAAATGCACCCTGCATTTTAGGATTAGGAAAGAGGAGACACAGGGAATGGAATTGGGTCTTAGCAAACATATATATCACAAGAAAGTGCTACCTGGCAGCAAATCAATGCCAAAAACGAGCATAATTGAAGAAAACTTAGTTTCTAAATAGGAGAACAAAAGGACAGCCACTTTGGTGTTACTGCCAATGCAGTTGTCTTTCCTTATCTCCAGTAGAGCTATGAATTGAAAATCCAATAGAATGCTGGTCCCCCTTTCCCCAAAGCCCTTCTAAATGTTAACAGGTTAAAACTTCTCTCTAAAGGAAAGACAAGTAACTCCACCAAAATAAGCATGCAAGTTAATCAAAAGAAATTGGAGATATTCTCTGGAATGAAGAAACAGTAAGATATTTTACACGGTCTAACAATAAAACAATTCAGAATCCATCTTCTTGGAAAAAATATCACAATCAGTCTAGGCTACATAAGGAAGACCGGGTATTCTAACTTGGGAATCACTTTGCTATTCACCCAACCTCTGTTTGAAAGTTACCCATAAAATGGAATGTATTAGTTCATAGCTGTAATTATTTTAAATTGACTTCATATAGAGTATAATGAAACTCCCATTTAAATGAACTGCCTAGGCCAGGCGTGGTTGCTCATGTCTGTAATCCCAGCACTTTGGGAGGCCAAGGTGGGTGGATCACCTGAGGTCGGGAGTTCACGACCAGCTTGGCCAACTTGGTAAAACCCCGGCTCTACTAAAAACACAAAAATTGGCCGGGCATGGTGGCACATGCCCATAATCCCAGCTACTCAGGAGGCTGAGGCAGGTGAATCGCTTGAACCCGGGAGGCAGAGGTTGCAGTGAGCCAAAATCACACCACTGAACTCCAGCCAGGGCGACAGAGCGAGACTCCGTCTCAAAACAAATAAATAAATAAATGAACAGCCTATTTATCTTGACATGCAGGGAGCACAAGCACTCCCCAGGGTACGCAGAAGCTGAGAGAATGACCTCAGTATCCAAGCAATCCCCAGGGCACTGATAAGAAAATGAGATGTTAAGAATTCAGCACAGATCCTATTTTTTTTTTTGAACCATTTTTCTCAATTGAAAAACTGAATGCCACAGAAAACATAATATTCATTAAAAGACAACCTAGAGAAAAGTGAAATGCCTAATTACAAATGGTGGGAAAGATATCTGCAACACGTGACCAATGAAAGATTAGTATTTAGAATAAAAAGAGCCCTTATAAATCATTAAGAGAAGCATAATGTGAGCAAACAAATGTGGCCGAGTGACATGAATAAATGCTCATTACCATGAAGGATTAGGGAAATGGCAGTCAAAATCTGTATATCATTTTATATCCATTTGGTTGGCAAAAATTAAAGTCTGACAATATCAAGCGTTGAGGGAATGTGGATACACAGATTGGTAAGAGTGAAAATTGGTACGGGCACTTTCGAAAAGCTTGCATTTTAAAATTGAACATACATATTCTTTATTACCCAGTAATTCTGTTCCTAGGGATAGAAGCAAGATGAATCATTATGCATGTACCACAAAAGATAGATGCAAGAATGTTCACAACAGCACAGCTTATAAAAGCAAAACAGAGAAAGCCAAAATACCCACCAACCAGAGTGTGGATATGAATAAACAGTGGTTTCTTGTGTAATACACAATGGTGTATTACACAGCAGCCAAAGCAAATGCATAACAGGCCCATACAGTATAGAAGAATCTTAACAATACAATATTAAGTGAAAAATAAAAACCCCATGAAATTACATACGACACACTACCCTTTTTATAAAGGTAAAAATTACTTTGTAAAAATGTACTTTTCAGGAAATGGAGTAGAATTATACAAAAAGAAAGCAAGAAAATGATAGTCTTCAGCATGCTGATTACTTTGGGTAGGGAGTGGCAGGCAGCAGATGGGGGAGTGGCATGGGCGTGTTACCAAGGTGCTAGCTTTTGTTTTCAGGGGTGGGGGTCTTGCATGCTTACAACATTTTTTTTTTAAAATAAAACATTTAAACGATAAAACTGCTGAAAATAAGTCATAGATCAGTAATACTCGCGAACAAGGGATTATGATTATGCCAACTTTTAAAAAGCGGCATTCCCAGCTTACCTTCATAAAGCTGTGCATACTGGGGGAAACCAGTTGCCCGTAGCCAATCACAAGCTTCCTTGGCTTCAATTTCTAGAACAGAACAGAAGAAAGACAAAATTAGCCATGTGTACCTCGCCATGCTTATTTTTCCTGAATAAGCTTTCGTTTTATGATACAAGCAAAACATGACTGCCATAGAAAATACAGATAAGCAAACAGACATACACGCTTAATTCGAATGGTTTACATTTTGTATGCATCGTTTCCAGTTTTTTCACGTGTACATGAGGATGTATTTTCCCTTTACAAAAAATAGAAATGGGGTCCTGAGAGTAAGTTTCTCATTTTGTGCTGCTTCTGAAGTGCTCTGATTACAAACGGTTATGAAAATAAGGCATCATGAGAAAGTTGAAGAGAGATTTAATAACTCATTTGAAGCCTGGCCGGCCTATTGTACTACTTTTCACTTCAACAAAAGGCCACAAAGTACCTCCACCAACACGCTAAAATAGAATTTATCTGAGTAAAGTCACAGGCTTTCTGACACCCAGGGGTTGGGTGTTTCAAAAGCCCCTGACCTTGTGTTGTTTCACTGTTGCGTGATCAGGTACTCATCAGGTATTAATCCAGTAGGAGAGGCCCAGGCTGTCAAGGAACATGGAGGGCACGAAGTCAGTAAATCCCACAATCTTGGCAGGCAGAAATGGCTAATAAAGCTTCTACCTCCCTGTGGTTTCACATCTTGTAGATAGAATCGATAAACAGAAAGGCCAAGAGCAACTGACACACTGTGTTAAAACTCACTGGAGCACATATTTACAATCCCGTTAAAACTGACTCACAGAGGAGGTCCTGGGAACATTAGTTAGTGTCTCTGCTTGCACAAAGAATATTCCTTTCAACTCTTCCTCCCACCTTCCTCAGGCCATGAGAGTACTCAGTTACACAAGTCTGTTCACTCATTTATAAAGGTCTCAACATTGCATAATTTATGCCAGATTCAAATCTTCATTAAGCATCTCTCTCAAGCAAGTGGGAGACTAATAGTTCATATCAGAAGTGTAACACATCTTATTTTTGTCTAGTAACTTTATGTTTTCAAAGCACTTTTTCACCTATTATTTCCTGAGTTCCTTGGCCTTTGAAGAAAGGTAATTAAGCAAATCCAAATTCATTAAAGCAAGTGGGAATTTGATCAATGAACACAGGAAAGAGAAAAAAAATAACCTGCCATCTCCTGATGAGTTCTTAATACCCAAACTAAAAACGATTATGGCAGTAGCCTGGAAATAAATAGCATGGCAAAGTTAACTTCATGAATCTTTTCAGTGCAGCAGTGAAAGTAGCATTATTCAACCCAAGACTTAGGACCGAAATGGGAGCGAATGATAGTGACATCAGTGTGGAAGAACTTCGATGTTTACACTGAATAAAAGTGTAGAATTGTCCAAAGTCAATTATTTGAGCTTACTTTTTTTTCGTATGTGTATATCCACATTTTGTCTCAGCAAGGAAATAAAGATGTTTTAACTAAAATTATAAAATAGACACTTCCTAGAAAACTATATTGCTGGAAAAACATATACAAGCTCAATATTTTATTTTAAAAAACAAGGAAATTAGACTGGGTGTGGTGGCTTGCGCCTATAATCCCTGCATTTGAAAGGCTGAGGTGGGAGGATCATTTGAGCCCAGAAGTTGAAGACCAGCCTGGGCAACATGGCGAAACCCTGTCTCTACCAAAGAAAAAAATTACAAAAATTAGTCAGGTGTGGTGGTGTGCTCCTGTAGTCCCAGCTACTCTGGAGGCTGAGGTGGGAGGATTGCTTCAGCTTGGAAGGCTGAGGCTGCAGTTAACCTCAATGGTACTACCACACACCAGCCTGGGCAACAGAGTAAGACTCTGTAACCGCTAAAAAAAAAAGAGGAACTTACTTTTGCCCTATCTGTGTGCCTGCCCCCTCCCACAAAACATAGATATGGAAAGAAAAAAGGCTGTTTGTCTTTAAAAATATTTTAAAAACTCATTTCATTTGGCTACTTAGAGGTTATTTTCATTGAACAGACTGTTAGACATTGAACAATAGATTGTTAAAAAGTAAATGTGCTTGCTTTCTTAATATTTAACTTAATAAGTGGTGAGTAACCAAAAATTCTCAGTGCCCGCCCTTTTTTGACGATAGTCAGACACGGCAGTAGGTGAGCCCACATACAAAAGTCTTAATTAGATACCAATTCACTAGCCAATCCTGCCAGAGCATGCTCCTGCTTTACTAAGAGAAATAGTTTCATGCCAAGAGGCATGGAAGATGTAAGATACTAGTTTTTTAAGCAATCTTTATATTTTTTATATAATAACTTTACAAAGTATTTATTTAAGGTCCCATGTGATTTCAGCAACACAAAAATGCATATTCCTGTCTTCTTGTTCTCTTTCTTTTTTTTTTTTTTTTTGAGACAGAGTCTTGCTCAGTCACCTAGGCTAAAGGGCAGTGGTATGATCCTAGCTCACTGCAGCATCGACCTTCCGGGCTCAAATGATCCTCCCACCTCCGCCTCCCAAGTAGCTGAGATAGAGGCAGGAGCCACTGTGCCTGGCTGTCTCTCTTATTTTCTAATGGCCCTGTCTAACAAATAAAATGACTCCAAATGATCATAAACTGATCAGAAAAGCTGTGTCAAAATAGTCACTCTTAGGGCCACTTAGTTAGAAAGAATGTAAACAGGCAAAGGTTTGCTTCTTCAGCAGATAATTTAATTAACAGTTTATACAATGGCTAAAACACAGTACTCCCCAAACAGCAGAGATCTAGTCATCTTATCCTTTCTCTTCTTCACCCTAAAAAAAAATGACAATTTGTCTTTCCTTTTGATATGAAACCATGGGAAATAGACAAGCATATGACTATTTTACCAACACAAAGAGTCCACTCTGAAAACTTAGGCTGCATTCAAATGAGACCCTAACCCACTGCTTTGTAGAAATCAGAATTGGAAAACTGTAAAAAGTTGTCACATATTTTTTAGAAAATGGAATACTTGTTGACCTCACGCCTACACTTTCCAATTCATAGGTCAAGAGAAAGTACTAACAATCCAATGTACGTACTGATTTTTAAAAATCAATTATTTTTATTTTTTTAATGTGAAATGAACCTATATCTACATGCGAGTCACACAGTTTCATTCCCCGATTCACACCATTACTTTCTCTCTAATCTAAGTATTAATAAAACTCTGGGTCTGTAAACAACCCTCTCTTAAGAGAATCTGTCCATCAATCCTGGCTCATCAAACTTTCTGAGTTACAGTATTAATCTTCTCTCTCCTTCACAAACTTCGCTGGAGCTCCACGTGTAAAGAATGAGGTCTTAGCTCTGTGCGGTGACTCACGTTTGTAGTCTCAGCACTTTGGGAGGGAGAGTTGGGTGGACTGTTTGAGCCCAGGAGTTCAAGACAAGCCTGAAGAACATAGGGAGACCCCATCTCTACATAAAATACAAAAATTAGCCAGGCATGGTGGCACATGCCTGTTGTCTCAGCTACTTGAGGGGCTGAAGTGGAAGGACCTACTTGAGCCAGAGGTGGAGGCTGCAGTGAGCTGTGACCACACTACTGCATTCCAACGTGAGCAACAGGGCAAGACCCTGTCTAAAAAAAAAAAAAAAAAAAAATAGGTCTAAACACCCTGGCAAGGTTTTCAAGGCTCTCCACTTGGCATCCAACCTAATTGTTCAGCTCCCTGTACCCAAGCACTCTAGCCAAAGTAAATTTGGTGCTCATCTCCACACACACTGCACTTCAGTGAATTATCTGGCCTGAAATGCTGAAGATGAAATTTCACTCATCCTTCAAGATCCCAACTAAATGCCACCTCCTCCATGCAGTCTTCCCATTTACCTCTCAACAGTTCTATATCAATGGGTCACTTTACTGAGTGCTTAATACGCATAAGGCCCTGTCTAAGCGCTAGTGCATATTAGTTCATTTACACCTCACATTGATCCTAAAATGTGGATTACTAATATCTCTGAGATAAACACATGAGGAAACAGATAGAGAAGTAACCACCTCTCCTTAAAAATGAGCTTTCTGAGGCCAAGCGAGGTGGCTCACACCTGTAACCCCAGCATTCTGGGAGGCCTAGGTGGGAGTATCATTTGAGGCCAGGAGTTCAAGACCACTCTGGGCAATAATTGCGAGACTTCATCTCTACAAAAAATATAAAAAGAAAAAAGAGCTTTCTGCCTGTATTCGCAGCTACTCAGGAGGCTGAGGTGGGAGGATTGCTTGGGCCCAGGACTTCAAGACCAGCCTGGGCAATACAGTGAGACTCTATCTAAAAAAAAAAAAAACTTATAAAAAAATTTTTAAAAATGAGATTTCTACATTCAAATGCCATAGTGAGAGAAAGAACAATTACAAAAATGCAAGGTTCTTCCTGCAAGACAGATTCTTCCCTTTAAAAATACTGTATGTAACAGCTTGGGCATGGTGGCTCACGCCTGTAATACCAGCACTTTAGGAGGCCAAGGAAGGCAGATCATCTGAGCTCAGGAGTTCGAGACCAGCCTGGCCAACACGGTGAAACCCCGTCCCTACTAAAAATACAAAAATTAGCCAGGCGTGGTGGCGGGTGCCTGTAGTCCCAGCTACGCAGGAGGCTGAGGCAGGAGAATGGCGTGAACCGGGGAGGCGGAGGTGGCAGTGAGCTGAGATTGGGTCACTGCACTCCAACCTGGATGACAGAAAGAGACTCCGTCGCAAAAAAAAAAAAAAAAAAAAAATATATATATATATATATATATATATATAAAATGTATATTATGTAACAAATACATATAATATATTATGTAACAATGAACAAAATCTAAAATATTACTGAAAACCGCATATATATTATATTACTTTGGACACGTTTATCTACCCCATGCTTGTTTTGGGGGGCCTCTAACACAGCTCTGAATGTGTGATTTTCCCTTCAATGTATGTGGGTGGTGATGTGAAAATTACGAGGATGATTTTTTTAAAAAACATTCCCCACTGAACAAAAATGCCACTAGAAACTAAAAATACAATGGAAATACAATGAAACTTTTATACCTGGGTTTTCTCTAAGCAAACAACAGACAAATGCCGTAAGGAGGAAACAGGAAATTTTTATTGGAAACAGCTTTAGTCAAAGTCATTTCACAAAGCAGTTCTGGACATTAGATGGATGAGTCCCGGACACCCTTTTGTGTATGGCTGGGAACCATTAGGCCATATTTGCACATTTCCTGGCATGACGGGATGATCCTGTCTTCCCATCACTCCTCAACAGTAAGCTGAACAAAAACTCCCCACCCCCAGCATCATTCTGTGGAACTCTGTTATCTTAGCTGGTTGAGCAACAGTAATTGGGTCTAAACAAGATATGATTACTTCAATCTACCATTCGCTCTAGCTTCACAGGGGGAACTTTTGGATTTCCTCTCTTCTGTGATAATATGCCACCAAAATCAGGCTTCGATGCAAATGGTACAGTGAATTTTTTTTAAAAATGCAATTTTAAGAAATTAAAGGAATGTAAGAAAATTCAAGCACTTTGCAGATTCCCTGGATTCCCTAAAATTTGATAGACATATGGGCAAAGATTCATGGAAAAGTTGATGCTTTTATTGCTAGAGAACCGTGTCAGCTGTGTGCAGGCAGGTGGTGCTTTTTGATCCAAACCAAGATGCATTCTCCTCCCCGTGGTGACAAAGATTCCTTCAAATGGGAAGGAAGACACTGCTTATCAATTCTGATGACATCAAGGTGACCAATTTGGCAGGAATGTTGTGCAGGTGGATACGATGGTTTTAATTACAACCCATCTTTACCTGATGGGTGGGTTCCAGAGGGCGTTCACTGGGAGAAGCAAATCACGACCACAAATACTTGTAGTAAGGTAAGGAAATCTTGGTGACTCCCAGCCCTGGATGTAGGCAGGCATTGCGCTGGGGAGTTTTCTTTTCTTTTCTTTTTTGAGACAGGGTTTTACTCTGTCACCTAGGCTGGAGTCTAGTGGCATGATCACAGCTCTCTGTAGCCTTGAACTCTTGGGCTCAAGAAACCCTCCTGCCTCAGCCTCCTGAGTAGCTGGGACTACAGGTGTGTACCACCATGCCTGGCTAAGTTTTTATACTATTTTTTATAGAGACAGAGTCTCGCTATGTTGCCCAGGCTGATCTCAAACTCCTGGGCTCGGGCAATCCTCCTGCCTCGGCCTCCCAAAGTGCTGGGATTACAGGCGTGAACCACCCGTGCCTGGCCAGGGAGCTTTTTAAAAACACCGACCATCCCCTCCCCAGGTATTCTGATTCACTCAGTCTAGGTAGGGCCTGGACATTGTATTTCAGAAAAGCTCCCTCAGTTTAAAGGCAGCCAGGATTGAGGACCACTAAGCCAGATAACATTTCTTTGTATTCCTTCGTCCTGGACTTTTTCACCCTTGGATTATCCTAACAGCCTCCTCACGGAACTCTGATAAGCCTCACCCCTCCCTGCCCCCAACAAATCCGTCCTCCTTCAAGGATCCCCGAGCCACTGGGCTGGTTTTATGAAACACATATTTCATTATGTCACTCCCCTGCTTAGAATTCTTTAGTGACTTTCCACCGCCTTTCAAATACAATCCAAACTCCTCAGCAAAGACCACAGCCTTCACAGTTTGGCATCTGCCTATCCACTCAACTCCTGGAAGGCCTCCAAATGTAAGCTTGCTCCAGGCTTTCCAAACTCCTTGGAGTTCTGAGGACGTACCAAGCTCTCATACCTTAAGCCCTGAGTTCTCTCAAATGAATTACCCCTTCTTCACTCCACCAACTTCTCACTTTTTAATTCATTTGTATATCCCGAAAGACAACTTTTTGCACAAAGGAATTACAGATAGGTTGGTGTGAAGAAGGAAAAGAAAAAAAAAAATCTATTACTATTTTCCTTTCTTTAAAGGCAGACTGAAAACGATGACTTGAATCTCTTACTCTTTGCAATTAAAAAACAACCAACTGTTAAACATACGCAGTTGCCAAAGACTGGTTATCAGGAGTTATCTATGTAAAATAAATTCCTAGTAAGGTTAAGACAGACAGCAGACTTCATATATTAATATTTATTAAACTCTAATGTTATCTAATCACAGTAAAGATTTTCACCAGCAACTGACAGCATTCCTGCCCTCAGGTGCCTAAAAAAATTCCAAACATCTGCTATGCATAGTCTGAAAAAAAAAAAAAAAAAAACAAGAAGCTTCTGGGAGACTGGTCAGTCACTAAGTCAGTTTCTTAGGCTATCTGGCTTAACAATAGCTAACTCAAATCTACTGTTAGGTATATTTTAGTACAGTCCTATGTTTAGCTAAAGCTAATCATCCTACATTTTCCCTTTCACTATTTATTGATCCAACTAGGCGTACTGCCAGCAGCTCTCGGGGAAAATCAAAGACACAAGCTCCTGACTTGAAGCAGGAAGCCAAGTGGAAAGGAAATTCACAGTGGAGTACAGCGCGTATGAGGACCCTCTATCCTCCACTTAGAAACGAACTGGTTTCCTAAGGGCTATTGCAAGGTCCACGTGTTTGTTAAGCCCGAAGTGACCCTGTACACGTCACGTTAGTGAGTGCCCCTTTCATTGGTGAAAGCCAAACTCCTAACAATGTCCCACATGTCCTGGCCCCTGTCAGGACCCTGCCTGCCTCTGACTGATCCAGCCACACCGGCCTCCTCTCATGCCCTGTCCCCCTGCTCCCTGCACCCCCCGCCCCCGCACCTTTTTGGTTGTTGACAAAGAGTCTCAACTCTGTCTCCCAGGCCGGAATGCAGTGGCACAATCTTGGCTCACTGCAACCTCTGTCTCCCAGGTTCAAGCGATTCTCCTGCCTCAGCCTCCTGAGTAGCTGGGGCTACAGGCGCCCGCCACCACACTGAGCTAATTTTTTTTTTTTTTTTTTTTTTAAGTAAACACATGGTTTCACCGTGGTGGTCAGGCTGGTTTCGAATTCCTGACCTCAAGTGATCTGCCTGCCTCGGCCTCCCTCCCAAAGTGTGGGATGACTGGCGTGGGCCGTGGCACCTGGGCCCTCTCTCCCTCTTTTCCTGTTTTATTTTTTCTTCTTCCACAAAACTTATTATGTTTACTTTCTGTCTTTCCTCTTCGTAAGCTCCAAAAGGGCAAGCTTCTTTGTCCATTTTATTCTGTGATATATCCCAAGCACCTACAACAGCACACAGTAGTTGCTCAATAAATATTACATAAAGAAATAAACCACTCATACAATTTTTGTTCTAGTAAGTGGTCTTAATTTTTCTGACCAGGATCCCCAATAGGAAATACATTCTACATTGTAACATGGTACACACATATACATGTATGTACATGTATATATGTGTGTATAAATATAAGTACACATTCATGCATATAAACACGTGTCTGTATATGTAACTATTATAAAAGAAGTTTCAAATAAAACCTACAATAAGTGATACAGTCTTATATTTTTATATATTTTTAAATGCTGTGTTATATACCAATGTGACCAATTTGAAATGCACTATTCTCATGCATAGTTTTTCTTCTAAGCATGAAGAACTTGTGTACAGTAGGAAGAGGAATGTGATATGACATAGGAAAGACATGTGTGACATCAGAGTGGGAGGGGTGTCCCTTCTCGCTAGTGGACAAGTGGGGTCTGCCTGGGCCCAGTCTGTACTCCTTTATTTAAGGAAGCATTATGATCTTGGATATGAAACTGGATTGCAGGAGAGGGGATTCGGTGTAAAGGACCCTGAATGAAGTAAGAGGTAAGCTGGGAAGCAGAAGTGTTGGGAGGAATGCAGTCTGGATTTACTACAATACAGACCAAAAAGCAGGAGTATGAAGCAGAAAGGAAGTTATCTCATGGATCAGATGGAAGCACCTTCTGAGCCTGGTTATACAATGAGCAACCAACATTATTTCCTCAGATGTAAAACAGCTTTGCACCTGGGTGCCCTGGAGTCCTTCTGATACTCTATCACAGAGGACAAAGCATTACTGTAACAAGTCAGGAAAACAACTCCAGGAAAGAATCCACTGCCTAGATAGGTGGCCTTAAGAAAAGAATTTCTCTGGCCCTGTTGCTTCATCTATAAAACCTGCGCTTGCCAGTGGCTTTGTAAATTCCCTAAGTTTTTGACTCTAATATTTCCTTTATGCCCATTTCACCTTCTCTCTAAGACCACCTCTAGAAAGGGTTCCATGCCCGCTGTTAATTTTCCAGATGTCTTATCAATTACATGGAAACATTCTTCTTCCCTCAAAAAACTGGACCACTAGAAACTGCTACAAGAGATCCCCAGTTTTGTAAATTTACGAAAGTTTTAATTACTTTTATTTTAAAAGCTAACATTTCCAATTTGCCTTTCTTTTTTCCTTTTTTTTTTTGAGACAGAGTCTCACTGTGTCACCCACGCTGGAGTGCAGTAGCACAATCTCAACTCACAGCAACCTCTGCCTCCTGGGTTCAAGCCATTCTCCTTCCTCACCCTTCCAAGTAGCTGGGATTACAGGTGCTCACGACCACACCCGGGTAATTTTCGTATTTTTAGTAGAGACGGGGTTTCGCCATGTTGGCCAGGCTGGTCTCAAACTCCTGACCTCAAGTGAGCCATCCGCCTTGGCCTCCCAAAGTGCTGGGATTACAGGCATGAGCCACCAAACCTGGCCTAATTTGCTTTTTAAGAGATCGACTTCTTGATTTGTCCCATGAAGCCTGTATTCATATCATAGACAACACAAAACCAATGACGTTTGCTTCTGTGCGTGTCTATAGCCCTCTAAATTTCAACTTGAGAGGAAGAAAACACTTCAATGCATAGAAGGCTCTTAAGAGTTTTACTTTCCTTATTGATCTTTCATGTTTACAGCAGCATGTTGTCTTCCAAAGAATCCGTGACTTGGGCGCTGAAATACCTCTTGAAGCTTTTCATCTTTTCTCTTTACAAATGAGGAAGCTGGTACAGAATTGAGGTGATTTGCTGAAGGGGCTAAAGCTACCCAGCTCTCATCCCCAGGTTAGGCCCTTCTTGCCTATTTCAACAGTGCCCTCACTTGTAAATCACCATACTGGTTTTCAGTCCTAGTAAGGAATGGAAGCTTTGGGGAGCTTCCTTTTTAAGTTTTGTTCATTTTTTTTTCTCTTATTCTTCTGCTTGAGATTTGGAGACATACATATACAGCTTTCTATTAAAGAACATTCCTAGAAATTATAGAAAGGAGGGGAAAAAGGACCCATTTTCCCTGTGATGTGATGACAACTTAATAAATGGTTTTGCCTTGAAAGGAGGAAACACTGGGAGACAGGCCCTGCAAGCCTATACCTGGGGTGAAGCCCTGCAAGTGACACTTTAGCCATGTAGAATTTAAACCAATTGAAATCCTCTTTGGGGATCATCTAGTACAAGAGTTTGCAAAGTACTCCTTTTAACACATAAACCAGGAAAAGGCAAGCAGCTCACATCAAAATATGTGCTCTTCCCTGGCAAAGGCAACAGCTCTGGATGAATTTGAGCCCATGAGGGACATGGCTCCATCAGGCCCTCTAGGCTTGTGCGGATCCAGTTATTTCCAGGAACAGAAAATATCTCCCAACTAATCAAAAATTGGCACTTATTACCCAGCAAAAAGAGGTCAAACTGAAATCAAAATAAACTAAGAAGGAAATGGATACTGAATCATCACATCTTTCTATTTCATTTCAACCTGGGGCAGGATAAAAATAAATCGCTGCTACAGGGACACACATATCTCTCTATCCATACACACACACACACACACACACACACACACACGTGTACGTATTTCTAGTATTCCACGTCAAATATTTATGCAGTTCAAACTATGCACTAACAACAGTAATTTGGAATAGCTCATAAAGTACGAAGTCCTTTGAAGATGATAACTGCATAGATTAAGAATTTCAAGAAAGAAAAGTATCTAATTAATACAGTTTTAAAGGTCCTTATTTTTCTGAGTCTCATTTTTTTTTGGTAAAATGAAGCAAGTGTTTTAAGATTATATAATCCATTCCCTCTTTAAACTTATTATTCAAGGCAAAATATCTGGTTACAAACCTAGAGTAACCCTGTCTCTATTATTAAAAGTTGGCATACAAATAAACTCTTTCTTTTACATATGTTAGCAAAGCTTATTCTACGAGGGGCATCTCCCGCAACATTGGCTTTTGCTTTATAGTTCTGCGATAGCACAGGAGAAAATAAAATAGTGTGCAAATTGCAACACTGTAAAACCTTAAATTAGAAATAAAGGTGATAGCAGGAACGTCTATTAAAAAAACTGCTCACCCATATTTTCGTCCATTCTAACAGAAAAAAGAAAATGAATGAAATATCAAGTTCCCTTATCAAAGACCAATGACAATGAAAATATGGCAGGTACTTGTTAGGAGTATAAGCCACCTCCAGCCATTTCTATGTCAAACCTCAAAGAGGAAACACTATTCAACTAGACGTTCTCAGTTTTGTGCCAAAAAGTGTGAGAAAAAAGTAAGATTTGCTGTGTTCTAGGTGAGCTAAGGAATTATTTTCACCAGTATTGCTTGGGACACCCAGCCCCCTAAATGAACACTAATGAATGAACAGAAATTAATCTAATGGTCAAATTGTGATTCAGGTTCCTACAAACAACTTAAGACCTTCATTTTGTTTAGACATGTTGACTGGAAGGGGTCTGAGGTTCCAGTCAACTCACATGTGATCTTGGACTGGTCACTGAACCTCTCTGCATCTCAGCCGCCCCTCAGTAGGGAAAAGGCACTGGTTTTCCAGGCTGCCTTTGCCAAGTTCTGGAACGTCCCATGAAAATGACTTTTACAGATGTCCAAGCATTACATAAAATGCCCTTTCTGTGCTATACAATTTGAAAAAGAGAACTGTATGGAGATTGGATCCCTTATGAGTTTATGGTTTCTCCAGAATCAGGAGGTAAAAATCACTTCAGTTTCAGCATCTTCTATTTTGTCACTTGAGTG
Organism: Homo sapiens; assembly: GCF_000001405.40. Taxonomy (NCBI): domain Eukaryota; kingdom Metazoa; phylum Chordata; class Mammalia; order Primates; family Hominidae; genus Homo; species Homo sapiens. The sequence continues at coordinate 6,323,201 of NW_018654717.1, forward strand.
TGAGGAGGGACACAGCGTGGCTGTGGGGCAGCACCGTGCATGGGCCACAGGCCATTTCACTTCTGAAGTCTCTTCTTCCGTGGCTTCCTAAAGTGCTGCCAGCCTGGGAAATGCTACCACCCCAGGGTGTGGAAAACTTTTGTCCCTTAAACATCCTTTAGAGACTCCTGCGAGGAGAAGGAAGGCGCCTTTCTGACAAGCTTCAGGAAGTGACCTCCAGTCCTCTCCACAGGACACTCAAAGGTGGGGCAGGGCAGAGAACAAAATGTGGATGGGAGGTGCCAAAGGCATCTGAGGACTCAGCTTCACTGACCTCAGCCTTCAATGAGCTTTTGATTTTTCCCCGACGGGGGAAGGGGTAGACACCAAAAGGCACCAAGTAGAGAAATGTATAAAATGAAAATAAGCACACTTTTCACGAGGAAAGTAAGTCTAGTAGAACAAAAAAAAAAACCCCAAAAAAACAACAACCAAAAAACCCCAAGGCTGATGAATGATTAAGAGAAACTGATTTCCACTGTGTCTTGGCTTCACTTTAGAAGGATGTAATAGTTCACTTTTTGGTGCTCAAAACTTTATTTCCTTATAGGCAGGCATTCACATATTTTCAGTCACATTTGGGAGAAAAGTTTCCTTTAGAAATAATATTTGAAAGTACTTTCACTGAAGAAAACATTATTTCGTACAGTCAACGCGGGCCAGAGTTTTAGAAAATGGTATCCCAGAACACTCCCCCAAATGTTAAAGACAGAGCCCCAAGTCTCCTCTCACTAGACTCCCCCCATGGAGGGGACTCACAAAAAATTTGTCATTCCTGCACTCTAACATTACAGCTGCCTACCTACGCACACAAGCCTCCCAGGAAATTACAAAGTAACTATAAGGCTCCGTAAGGGCCACAATAGAGAAGTCTCGTTGCTGCCTGGGAGACACTAAGAAAACATATGGGCTTGCTGGACGCGGTGGCTCACGCCTGTAATCCCAGCACTCTGGGAGGCCGAGGCGGGCGGATCACGAGGTCAGGAGATCCAGACCATCCTGGCTAACACGATGAAACCCTGTTTCTACTAAAAATACCAAAAAATTAGCTGGGCATTGTGGCGGCGCCTACTGTAGTCCCAGCTACTCGGGAGGCTGGGGCAGGAGAATGGCGTGAACCCGGGAGGCGGAGCTTGCAGTGAGCCAAGATTGCGCCACTGCACTCCAGCCTGGGCGACAGAGAGAGACTCCGTCTCAAAAAAAAAAAAGAGAAAAAAGAAAATATATAAGCTTAATGTGAAGGCTTTCTTCCTGTTCTCCATTAATTATGATGGCAAGGCAGAACAAATTATGATGGCAAGGCAGAACATTAATTATGATGGCAAGTGAACAAAACGTTAAGACAGAGTAGACCTAATTAGAGGATCCCCAGGAGGACTCCGCAGTTCTTATCACTGATCATGGTAATCCCTAATAACACAAGGTCCCACAGAAGGAAAAGGGCCAGAGGACAGAAGGAGTCCTTCTCAGCTGGGAATCTAAACCCTTTTACATTAACTGAATCTCTAACTAATTTGAAGCTGAAAGAAAACACCGCTGATGGCGCTCATTCAACGCAGTAACTCATTCCTATAAAACATACTTCAACCCTACAGCACTGTCTTCCTTCAAAGAGGAACAGCCTTCACCTCCCTCTGCATTCATCCATATGCAAAGGCCACAGAGTCAGAAATAGAGACAGTTGTGAAAGTGCTCCAGAAAAGCATGTTCCTTCTAATTTCATAGCCATGGAAAAGAGGATCTTGGAATTGTGCTTTCTAGGACACACTGGATATTTACACTCTATGGTTGGGCATTAGTTCACCCAGACTGCAACATGAAGGAACGTATTTTTTAGTGTCTTGAATGACGTACAGATTACTCCTTTGCATTAGAGCCCCACAGCTCCAAACTAAGAATTTCAGGAGCAGATCCTGATAAAATGAGCATTCTGAGAAAAGTCAGAGATACAACTGTCTAGACACTAAAGAAATTAGTTCTCTCCCACTAGATCCCAACTCATGTAATTCAAATCATTGGACTGTGCACACATTACAAATGAAAATCACCTTTCTCCCCAGGTCTGCTTTATAATCTCAAGAACAGGCTTGGCATGATGTGGGTCTGGATGCGAGTCACACCATGGGGCCAGGTTTTGCTATGATGTTGTAAAGCACTGAGAATTCGGTCTTTAATGATTTGGCAATAGCCAGGGAGGAAGGGGAAACATCTGAAGTTATTTTTACTTTTGTAAAAGTCTTCTGGCTATACAGGGTGAATGGTAGGGTGGATCAGGTATTGTCTGGAGTCTTTCAGGGTCTTTTATTTTTGCATGGCCTCATTTCCGTCTTCCTGTTGCTAGGAAGGAGAGTGAAGCATGAGAAACTTGTGTTGACAATACTGGACCATCCTGTCCAGCACAAGGCTCTCTTCCAAAAAGTCCGATCCATTTCACCCACTGTACTCTGGATGCCCCCACTCTTCTGGACCAAATCACCCTTCCCTGAATATTTTCCAATTGCATATTTACCCGCTTAAGTCATAAAAATACCACTCTGATTTAAACATTGCATCATGGCTTAAAATCTCCATGGGGACACCAAGGGAAACCCAAGTACTTATTGCTGTATTTGAAACCACCTCTTGGAATCTCACCAAGCCTCTGATTGGAAGGCATCTCAACTGTGGCCTCCCATATCCCCTTTAAGTCCCATAATAGTTCTACAAATAAGAGTTTAAGTACTATATACATTTTTAAACTCACTTCACAGTAATAGCTTGTTGAATCACAACATGTCTTTCTACTGGTCTGGTATATTTTCCAGAAGCACCCAAACACCTCTTTTAATGTAGAAATGCTCTAAACTTTGCTTAGTCTTTGCTCTCTCAACTACAGTACAGAACAACAAAAAAACATGCAAACAAGGGCTTTAGGTTGAAGGGTAACCTGCCTTTCACCTTTACTCCAGAGCCCTAAGAAAATCCTTCAATCTTTCCAGTGCATTAAAATTTGAAACACTGCCTTCATAGTTAGCAATAGTTAATTGCTCATCTATTCACTGTTTAAGGAATGAGTGGTGTTTCTCATGAAATCTGCAATTGGGAAGTTATGACATAAGTCACCAAAACCACTTTTCTCACCCACTCCAGGGAAAGATTTAAGTTGGAAACTATTTATCCCCAGTCCCCTTTTTGAAATTCCAGGCTGTTTGGTGTCTGGTGCTACTCTGTGTAAATTAAAATAAAATAAGTATTTGTCAAAAGCAAACTTTTCAAAACAGCCAGGAGAGAAACTCAGTCTGCTGTGCTTCATTTTAAACTCTGAACAGTAGTCCTAATGCAAAAAGTATGCATCTGCGCTCAGGCCACGCTGTAAATCTGGCATGCCACAAGAAATGTGAATACATGCAATCGCCAACATTTTCTCAGAAAATGTCTCAAAATAACTTTTGTGCACACATCTGCTAACCATTTGACACTGGTTCCCCAGGACTTTAGTTCTTCGATTAGAGGGGCTGCTGCCTTACAGGGCACCCCTCTGACCATCTGCTGCCGTCTGCAAGCCAAGATGGCAACTCCATTAATTCCACACTTACAGTCTGCAAATTATCTCCACCGAGGACCAGTCTGTAGTCCAGATGGATGGCGAATTAGTCAACCTCTTGGAGCTGCTGATAGATTTACATTCAGAGGGCTGCAGTCTGCTGGACTATTATTTTCCCTCATCCCTTCAGCAAACAGAATTTTGGAGGAAAAAAAAAATGTAATCTGAGACTCAGTATTCTGCCTTCTCCCGAGCTGCAATGTTTTTTCCAAATACATCATCAATGCCACCAGCCTAGGCTGCATTCCTCTATGTCACCAGTAATCGCCGAAACAACCTCTGAATCCTGAGAATGAATCCATTTGCTCATCCATATTGGGTGTAAAAAGACTCACTCAAAACAAGACTGGGGATGGGGAAGGGTGGGGAGTGGGACGAAGCTTTCTTTAAGTGCAGATTAATGACTGCAAGCAGGGGTTTCCTTCTGCGGTGATTAGCACACACTGGGTATTTATTGAACATCGGGAACAGGCAACCTGCTAATCACTTTACTTGCATGAGCTCATTTGATCCTCACAACCTCCCCGCGCGGAGGTAATACAGTTATCACCCCTTTGGTGCAGATGAAGGAGGCACAGCGAGGTCCTGTCACTGCCCAAGTTCGCCCAGCTAGCAGGCTGCTGACCAGGATGAGACCCCACCAGCCTGACCCCGTGTCCCCTCTCACTTTCCTCGCCCCAGGGGCTGTGCGCTGAAGGACGCTCGCGGACGCAGCAAACTACACGCAGCAGGGTGCTGCAGAGAGGAGGGGTGCACCTCCTTCGGAGGGATCAAAGGCTCGCCCCAGGACTCTGGAGGTGGGGACAGCGACATGGAGTGGGGGCAGGCTTCCAAGAAGCTGTCGCCTTGTTACGAAAATAGTCGGGTCGGGAGGCGAGCTTCCTTCCTCTCTCCGGCCCAGGAACTCGCTCCTCGGCCTCCTTGTCCGGGTCAAGGGGGTGGGCATCCCCAAGGGGGCATTTCAGGGACACGATTCAGCGACCCATCTCCGGGAAAAAAACCAAAACTGTGTGTGTGTGTGTGTGTGTGTGTGTGTGTGTGTGTTTCCTAGCAAGAAGCACGTTTGCAAGCCACGGGGCTTGCTAAACTACCCCAACACTCTCCAGGTACCTGCGGCCACCAAACCGAGACTTCCCTGGCCAGGTCTGAGTTAATTCCCAGCGCTTAAAGTATCTTACCCAAAAATGGTTGAAAAGGAAAACAAGTTTTTGGTGAACTTTCAGGCAGTGATGAAAAAAAAAAATTTCCAAGCGCCACTAGGGTCTAAAATGTTCCCAAACAGTAAACTCTCCCGGAGTTCACTTTGATTTTGGACTAAGCTGGTGAATGACAGGAGATCAGTACGAGCGCAGAGCAGTCCCCAGAGGAAAGGAAGGTAGAAGGCGGTGTCGCCGCGCCCCTCGAGCCAGAGCCGCGAGCCCCCGCCCGGCTCAAGGAGGAAAGTGAACCAGGGCTTCCCTTCACGGGTTGCGACCGATCCGGAGCCCGCCTGGTGCGCTGGCCCGCGGTCCCCAGGCAAAAGGTAATCAAGAGTCACTCCTCCAAAATTCAAACTCCCTCCCCAAACTGCGAGTCCTGCTATCCCCACACCACCTCCAAGAAAATCCGGAGACTCTGCAGAAAGCGTTTAAAGAGCACAGAACAGGCACCGACTTGACAAGGCGGGGTGACACTTTCTCGCGGCGGGTCCCCTCCGCAGCCCGCTCCCGCGGCCAGCCCGACGGCAAGACGCAAGTCTAGCTTACGTGTTAGGATCATGGTGTCCGGCTTCTTTCTGCACATCAAGCACGGCAGGCGGCGGCGGAAGCGCTGTGGGGAAGTCGAGGCAGGCGGAGGCGGCTCGGCTTCCGCGTCGGGACCCACGGCGGCACCCGAGACGCGCGCCCTCGCGGTCCTCAACGCATCCTTGCTCGCCGCTCCCTGCCCCTCGTCACGGCCCCAGAAAGAAAGCGGGGTTTTCTAAAGATCGAAACGAGGGAGCGCTCAGGGAGTTGGGCGAGAAGTCCGTGAGCCGGCGCTCCTGATGAGGAGAGGTGCGGCCATGTCCTGGCTGGGAGCGAAGCGCCCTCGCTCGGGCAGTCGGAGCGAACTGTCTCCCGCGCGCTCGGCCAGCCGGGCCCTCCCGCTGGGCCCACCCCCCGAGGGGCGGGGCCAGAGCGGGCGGCACCGCCTCCTCCCCGCTGTCTGGGTCGCAGGCCTTAGCGACGGGCTGTTCTCCGGCCCCGCCCCATTCCCAGGCTCCGCCCCCCGCCCCTCTTCCTCGTGGCCGCAGCCTCAGGCCGCCCTCTAGCCCCGCCCCGCCCAGGCCCCGCCTCTCCTCTGTCCCGCCCCCTCGGTTCCCTCCTCCCCCCCGCCCCGCCCCGCGCCTCCTCCGCCGAAGGCTGGAATGTTTCCCCCACGGGCCTCCACGTTCCCAGCGGGAAGCGCCGAAAAGTCGCCAACTATTGGCCCCGGGTGCAAAGGCAAAGGTCACAAGGCATTTACTTGGCGGAGGTGTCCGGCCTGGACCCTAGTGTGCCTTGAGCGTCCCTTCTTTTTCTTGGTAGCTCTGCGTACTTTTTACCTGTCTTTTATCCTGGCGGGAACCACGTAAATTTGCGGGAACGGAGGGGAAGCGGAGAGGAAGGGATGGTCAGTGTTTCCAGATCTGTAAAAACGAGCGAAGGGTACCTGTCCCTTGGACATTGGTTATTTATTGCTAAAACCCGCATGGGTACGGAGCCAATGTAGGTGATAAATACTGCCTTAGAGGAATTGAGCTTTCACTCGGCACGTGCTGGGGGTCACAGCCCGTGTTTCTCAAACTGGCCCTTGGGCCACAGTCCGAATGCAGCTCCTGGAACTGCCCTTAGCTGGGGTCTGACTGCATAATTCCAATCTTTGATGATGAGAATCTGCAACTTTTACAAGCTCTCAGATGATTCTGATGGCCTGTAGTTTGAGGACCCCTGATGTATTAGGAAGCCTAATGTGAAGGGATCACAGCTAAATATAGTTGCATTAAGAGCCTTTAAAAAATCCAGAACTGGATTCCATGAAAATTTACTTCGGGGTTAATTGATGTTTTTGCCTGCTATCTCTGGGCAAGGAAGACTACTGAACTAAACTCATTCATTCAACAAATACAGAAAGAGCATTTACTATGTGCCAAACACAGCTGTAGACTGGGAGATACAGAAGTGAGCAAAAGAGACAAATATCCCTTCCCTCCTGGAGGTTACTTTCTCGTGGGAAAAATGCATAACAAACAAAATAAATGAGATATATAGAGTATGTCTGATGGAGATACATAAAGCAGGGAGGTAATATTGGAGCTGGGGAAGGGCACAATTTGTTTTTAAATGGGGCAAATACAAATAGGAGAATTTAGTCTCTTAATTATAGTTTAAAACTTATTGGTTTCATAGCGATATCTTAGTTTACATACAGAAGACTCTTCTCCCATTTCCCTCATAAATTTTGATAAAACAAAAATGCTGGGTGAATGCAGTGGCTCACACCTGTAATCCTAGCGCTTTTGGGAACCGAGGTGGGAGGATTGCTTGATCCCAGGAGCTTGAGACCAGGGTTGGCAATATAGCAAGACTCCATCTGTACAAAAATAAATAAATAAATAAGCTAACTTCCACTACTGGCTCCCTAATTTACCCAAAGCAGAATTCAGCTCTAAAGGGTATGGGACTCCTCCGTTCAACAGATGTTTCCAGGCTTTTTACCTACTGGTAACTGCTGAGGGTGCAAAGGCTACAGCCTGGTGGGAGGAAGCAACAGGGTTGTATGAAAAAGCGGTGCTGTGAGGGCCCAGGAAATGGAGATCTGATCTGGCCCAAGATGATGCAGTTGCCCTCATGAGTGTGGGAGCCGGAGGAGCTGCCCAAGAGCCCACCGTCACCAGCAAGGGGGAGTGTGATTCAACGGGAGGCCAGGAAAGTAAAAGCAAGAAGTTTCAGTCCCCTGCGTGACTATGTTAAGGAAAGTCCTTAGGAGTGATAAACAGTGAGAAGCCTTTTTTTTTTTTTTTTTGAGACAAAGTCTCGCTGTGTCGCCCAGGCTGGAGTGCAGTGACACGATCTCGGGTTCACGCCATTCTCCTGCCTCAGCCTCCCGAGTAGCTGGGACTACAGGCGCCCGCCACCACACCCAGCTAATTTTTTTGTATTTTTAGTAGAGACAGGGTTTCACTGTGTTAGCCAAGATGGTCTCGATCTCCTGACCTCGTGATCCGCCTACCTCAGCCTCCCAAAGTGCTGGGATAACAGGCGTGAGCCACCGCGCCCGGTCGAGAAGCCATTTTAATGGAAGAACGCATCCCGTGATTGGATTTGCATTTTGAAAAGATCGCTCAGGCTGCAGTGTAATATTCAAACTTAAAAAATAAGAGTGCACCTTCGAAACATACTAATTTATCTTATTTATTAAAAATTCAGACTTTAAAAATATATTCTAAATATCTCCCCTCCAAATACACCAATTCTCAGAATAAGTTCTTAATATTTTTTGTTTGCTGGTTAAAGTTGTATTCTAATTTAATTAGGTTCCCAGGAGTCTTTTTATTCCACTTAGCATTCATCTTTCCAGAGTAAAACAGGCAAAACTTCTCTTCTTATTCAAGCCCCATTCCTCTCTCCTTGATTATGGATGCCACTGTCCCTGGATCTTTTCTAATTTCATTACATGTCTCTGGAGATTATGTTATGTAGTTTGCTCATTGTATAATAATACTAATAATAACTCCAAAATCCTTTCTTTTGGTGATGCATTGGTTTGCGTTTGACCTTCCCTGAATCTCATCTTCTTTCAGTCTTTGGTCTATTGACACAGCCTGTGACAAGGGCCAAGCCCCAATTTGTATAGCTTTAATTCCACTCTTCTTAGAAATGGACATGCTACATTTTGAAAGCTGCTACGCTTAAGAGAATAGTGGTTGAAAGCAGGACTTTTAGAGCAGGCCACTTACTAGGTTTATGATTAATATGTTATTTGTTTATGTTATAATTTAAACTTTTATTTTAGATTCAGGGGGTACATGTGCAGATACATTGCATGATGCTGAGGTTTGGGGTACGATTGGTTCAGTCACCCAGGTACTAATCATAGTACCTAACAGTTTTTCAACTCCTTCTCCCCTTCCTCCCTCTCTCCCCACTCTAGTAGTTCCCAGTGTGTCTTGTTGCCATCTTTATGTCCATGAGTACTCAGTGTTTAGCTCCCACTTATAAGTGAGAACATGGAGTATTTGGTTTCCGGTTCCTGTGTTAATATGGTTAACATAATGGCCTCCAGCTGCATTCATGTTGCTGCAAAGGACATCATTTCATTCTTGTTTTTGAGATCATCTCGCCCTGTTGCCGAGGCTGCAGCACAGTGGTGAAATCTCAGATCACTGCAGCCGAATGTCTGTGCATCCCACTGAGGACAAGAGGATCCCAGGCTCAAGCGATCCTCTCACCTTAGCCTCCCAAGTAGCTGGCACTACAGGTGCGTGCCACCACATCTGGCTAATTTTTGTATTTTTTGTAGAGACAGGGTTTTGCCATGTTGCTCAGGCTGCTCTTGAACTCCTGGGCTCAAGTAGTCCGCCAGTCTTGGCCTCCCAAAGTGTTGGGATTACAGGTGTGAGCCACCACACCTGGTCTATTTCATTCTCTTTTTTCATGGCTGTGTAGTTGAATATGTTATTTAGCTTCTCAAAACTTCAGTTTCATCTTTAAAAAAGAAGGTTGTTATAGTGCATACCTCATGAGGGTTTTACGAGGCTTGAATAAAATAATGTACATAAGTGCTTAACACATAATAACCATTTATTAATGTTAGCCACCATTATTAGAACTAAAACATGAAATCCTATTTAAATCATCATCCAAGAGATGATTAAAACAAAATAAGACCTTGGCATTACCCTTTGTGAATCTGAGGAACCTTTACAAGCGGGGGAAGGAAAGTGAAAAAATCATGAAGAGTGTCAACAAACAGTGGCGCTTTACCTCTTAGGGTCCCCAGGCCCCTCAGTGTCCTTCCTCTTCATTTAACCTTCAACTCATCACTCAAGGTTTCATCTGTCTCTGTCATACGTTAGAAGTTAATGTTAGATAACGTTAGATAATGTTAGAAGGGATTTTTTAGCTGAGCTGCATTCAGTGAGATTTTGGTTTGAGATGCTAAACTAAGAGGCAGGAATTACCTGTTCAATGTAGCCTGTTTCAGTGCCAACAGCTTAGGGTCCTCTGAAAATGTTTCAATACATCAAAATGAAAACCTATCATTTTGTTATATGGGGTGTTGTTACTTATTTGTTCTCCATGGCAGATTTTTAAAACATGATTTGGCAACAAGACCTGTGCTGTTCACTGCCTGTCATGCTCTTTTGCTCTTTCTTCAGCTTGGACATCAGTTTTTGGTTTTGTTTTTTTTTTTTTTTGAGATGGAGTTTCACTCTTGTCACCCAGACTGGAGTGCAGTGGTGGGTTCTCAGCTCCCTACAACCTCCGCCTCTGGTTTAAAGCAATTCTGCCTCAGCCTCCCACATAGCTGGGACTACAGGCACCTGCCACCACGCCTGGCTACCTTTTATATTTTTAGAAGCAATGGGGTTTCACCACATTGGCCAGACTGGTCTCGAACTCCTGATCTCAGCTGATCTGCCCGCCTCAGCCTCCCAAAGTGCTGGGATTACAGGTGTGAGCCACCGCACCTGGCCAGACATCACTTTCTTGGAGACTGTTCACAGGGGTATCCGTGGCCACTGTATTTGGATGTTTTCCCATTCAACTGTGGTATTAGCATGGAAAGAAAGATTACGTAGTTAACTCCTAAACTGCATGACAGAAGCCTGAGTGACTACTGGCTTTGGTTCCTACTCTATTTTAATAATTGATATTAGTTATTATTGATACTGTCCAAGGATACTCACTTGCATTTTTCCCACTGTAATATGTTAAAAAACACTAAAGCACTGACAGGCACTTAGGCAGGCAATGATAGTGAGTAAAGTTGACCCTAGTGGGATGTTGAGAACTGGGGGGTTCAGGACCCCTCTGAGAAGACAGCCATCATTAGGGCTTAGTGGCTTGTTGACCTGTCTTAACAAGAGCTGAAAGATTTTTTCCAGAACCCCTATAATTTTATATTTGTATATGAAATCTCTCAATTTTTAGATGCTGGCAACTAATTTTAAAAAATGGAAATCCATTCCACTTAATTTTAACTTTGGGCTTTACTTAGCCCTAGGGCAACCAGTTTAAACCTCTGCTCTAGTGATATGAGCCAGGCAATCTCTTTGGAAATTGATTTCTCTCCCTGAGGAAATAACAGACTCCTCTGCACTTGGAAAATGTTATAATTTGTGTTCAATGCAGCATTGCAAAATTACAGGGGGGATAATTTTTATTTGTAATGTTCAAAGGACATACGACAAAGAATAGAATGTTTTGAAAATAATTTTAAATGGTATTCAATTAAGGAAAGTAACTAAGTTAGAAATTGAATGGCTGTCCTTAAAACATTCATTTATTGTTAAGCTTTCGTGACCCCAATCTGGGTTCTCCCCCTACCCCCACTCTCTACCCTACCTGGTATTTAGCCTTTTCAGAATTTGTCAAAACCCAAATGCTGGAGTGTAGGATGAAGAAAGAGGAGAATAATAAGGGGCTTAGGCAGCAAAATTAATTCACCACCATTTAATTTTAACTGGAGTGTGTCTCTTCTTCACTCAGACCTTCTATTGATTACAACTTTTGAATAATGCAAGTTCAAAATATAGGGACGTTTAATTTAGTTGTCCAGTGATATTTTTAAGAGAGAGAAGCTGGGCACAGTAGTTCATGCCTGTAATCCCAGCATTTTGAGAGGCTAAGGTGGGAAAATCACAAGCCCACGAGTTTGAGACCAGCCTGGGCAACACAAGGAGACCCCATCTCTACACAACATTAAAAATAAAAAAACAATTAGCTGGGCATGCTGCTCGCCTGTGTTCCCAGCTACTTGGGAGGCTGAGGAAGGAGGATTGCTTGAGCCGGGTAGTCGAGGCTGGATTAAGCTGAGAATGTGCCACTGCACTCCAGCCTGGGCCACAGAGTGAGACCCTGTCTCAAAAAAAAAAAAAAAAAAAAAAAAAAAAAAAAGGAAAAGAAAAAAAATGAGAGTCTGAGATTCTGTTGTGCCTGGGAAAATGTGATCTAATTTTCAGATAATCTTTTAAACCCCAACTATGAACCAGCCCAGCATAGTACTTTCATCATTCAACAAATATTTACTAAACCCTAGAAAAGTCAGGGTATTGGGCAAAACTAAAATAAACATGAAGAGGGCACTTGGTGGAGACAGCTCTGTTAATAGCGCTCTGTAAGGAGCTCCATGGAGGGCTTGGACGTACTGAATTCTTAGTCCTGATTTGATAAATCAACCAGCATGCTTTCCTGAGATACTTACTATATTGACAGTAGGAATTCCTTTTAAAGGCTATTTTATTTAAAGTCATCAGCTCAAGGCCTCCCTGCCAGAAAATGAACCCAAAAGTTCTGGCTTCCAGCCCCAACATCCATTTGGTCTTTACCAAGGACAGCTCTGATTCTTTCGTGTGTCCCCTGACTACACAAAAATCAAACAAGTGGAAAGTAAAACATTGTGATCACTTTTTATTTCATAAAAGCAACTAGGCTACTTTCCCATTGAATTAGCTAATTTAAATGGCATGGTAAAATATACATAATATAAAATTTACCATTTTAACCATTTTTAAATGTCCAGTCTAGTAGCATTAAGTACAGTGCATTCACGTTATTGTGTGACGATCACCGTTATCCATCTCCAGAACTTTTTCATCATCCCCACCTGAAGCTCAACAATAAACTCCTCTTTCTCCCCTTCCCCCAGCCCCTGGTAACCATTATTTCACTTGCTGTCCCTAGGAATTTGACTATTTTAGGTATGTCCTATAGGCAGAATCATACAACAGTTGCCCCTTTGTGTCTGGCTTATAATGGTTAAATATTTTCTTTCTTTCTTTTTCTTAACAAGTTTATATCTATATCTATATCTATCTATATATTTTTCCAGACACGATCTTGCTCTGTTACCCAGGCTAGAGTGCAGTGGTGTGACCATAACTCACTGCAGCCTCAAACTCCTGGGCTCAAGTGATCCTCCCACCTCAGCCTCTGGAGTAACTAGGAGTACAAATGGGCATCATCATGCCTGGCTAACGTTTGTATTATTTGTAGAGATGGAGTGTCGTCATGTTGCCCAGGCTCTTCTTGAACTCCTGGGCTCAAGCGATTCGCCTGCCTCTGCCTTCCAAAGTGCTGGGATTACAGGTTGAGCCACAGTGCCTGGCCAACTTTTTTTTTTTTCAATGAAGCATTTTTGTCTTTGCTTGTTGATCTGTAAGTATTATGTATATTAGGGATATTAACCATGTGCCATTTCTTATACAAATATTTTTACTAGTATGTCATCTGCCTTTCAAGCTTATTAATTTATGATAAAAATTAACAAGCTTCAAACAAAATTTAAAGGTCTTACTTATTTGTTCTTTTCAATTATTAACTAGGAGTTTACTTAAGTAGTTTTTCCTATAGGGCTTGACCCCAGAAAGGCGAAGACACAAATTTAATTTACAAAACAGGTCATTTACTAGATAGGGTTTTTGGCTTTATTTTTAGTTATACATTTTATTATGTACTCAAAAAATATTCTAGCTGTCTTATTTTTCTCTCTCCCCTAGTATCACATATAGATGCCTTGCTTAGAGTGAGGCCTCTATAAAAGCCTGCTGTGGCTGGGTGCGGTGGCTCACGCCTGTAATCCCAGCACTTTGGGAGGCCGAGGCGTGTGGATCACGTGGGGTCGGGAGTTCGAGACCAGCCTGACCAACATGGAGGAATCCCCATCACTACTAAAAATACAAAATTAGCTGGGCATGGTGGCGCATGCCTGTAATTCCAGCTACTCGGGAAGCTGAGGCAGGAGAATCACTTGAATCTGGGAGGTGGAGTTTGCGGTGAGCCGAGATTGCGCCATTGCACTCCAGCCTGGGTGACACAGTGCAAGAGTCTGTCTCAAAAAAAAAAAAAAAAAAAAAAAAAAAAGCCAGCTGCTAAAAAGCTAGCAGAGATCTAAGGGCACCGAGTTTTTAAGAAATGTTTTGACTTACATTTTCTGTAAGTGCAATATATGTATGTGTGCAGATATATATCCATTAATACTAATAAATCAATCCTGGAAAATCTGTGAGGTTTTCAAGAGCTACGTACAATGCTAAGATGGCTATTTTCAGCCTTTCACCTTGTCAGTAAAAAAGAATGGACTCACTCATGAGTTTATTTCCACTAAGGAGACGTTTTGTGCTCATTTGAACTGTATGTTGCTCTTTCTTTCTGGTGGATTGGTCCTAAAATAAGATGCTATGGGGTGGGTTCGGGCAATTGCCTGGAAAATAAAGCACAGTTCCCTTTCTTCGCTGCTAACTACAGCATGATGGCCATTCTAGAGCTATTTCTGGAAACCCCTACACAGCTCCAGATCATTAACTTACTTTAATAGTCAGCAGGAGAATGGAGCTGCCGTCTATCTTCCAAGATTGGCTTTTCATGTGTAACTAACTCAATTATCTCTTATTGATTCAGTTGAATTAAGCTGGACTTTGGGGGAACTGCAAGGCAACGAATTACACATTTTAAAAAATAGACCTAGCAACAAGGCTTATGATATGGTTAGATTTTGTGTCCCCACCCAAATCTCATCTTGAACTGTAATCCCCAGGTATTTAGGGAGGCACCTACTGGGAAATGATTGGATTACGGGGGTGGTTTCTCCATGCTGTTCTCGTGATAGTGAGTGAATTCTCACGAGATCTGATGGTTTTATAAATGGTAGCTTTTTCCCACACTCATACATACACAGTCGCTCCTGCCGCCTTGTGAAGAAGTTACTTGCTTCTGCTTCAGCTTCCGCCATGATTGTAAGTTTCCTGAGCCTTCCCCAGCGGTGGCGAACTGTGAGTCAATTAAACCACTTTCCTTTATAAATTACCCAGTCTTGGGTATTTCTTTATAGCAGTGTGAAGAACGGACTAATACAACTTACTAGTTGTGAAAGACTAATATTTGAGGATTTATCAGTAGAGAAAGGATTAGATCTGATCTCTATTATACAGATTTTCTGTTCCTGAACAAACAGCTATTTCTCTACTGGTTGTCATCTTTTAGACGGTTAACAAAATAAATATATTAAGGCAAAAACAACACAGAGGATTAGAAAAGTCTGCTAAATTTCATAACCGAGTTCTCCAGATATCTGAATCTCTAATAATAAAAATAAAAATCTAGCTATATAGTGCTTACTTAGGCTACATCATAACACTATGATATAAGAAGGTTAAAAGTAAAAGGAAAATTAGGATAACTACATATTTATGAGAAATAAAAGTTTTTAATTCAAAAAAGACTTTAAGTGGTAAAGAGGGTTATTACACAACACTAAAAAGTTTATTTAACTAAAATAGGGAAAGAAAACTATTCTGAACCCATGTACCCCTAACAAAACCTCAAAATATACAGAGTAAAACTGGCATGCCAGGCAAGGTGGCTCACGCCTGTAATCCCAGCACTTTGGGAGGCCGAGGCAGGTGGATCACCTGAGGTTGGGAGTTCGAGGCCAGCCTGACCAACATGGAGAAACTCCATCTGTACTAAAAATACAAAATTAGCTGGGTGTGGTGGCACATTCCTGTAATCCCAGCTACTTTGGAGGCTGAGGCAGGAGAATCACTTGAACACCAGAGGTTGCGGTGAGCCAAGATTGTGCCGTTGCGCTCCAGCCTGGGCAACAAAAGTGAAACTCCGTCTCAAAAAAAAAAAAAAAGGCAGAATTAGAGGGAGAAACTAACCAATATCATATTGGTGGGTGCAAGCCCAATAAAAACGTTTTAATGATCATGTATAGATATCTGTATCCATCAGTTAGAACATACACATTTTCAAAGCTACTGATATTAAGAACAAACAAAAAACAAAAGCACTGACCATATACTAAACCATCAATTAAATCTCAGCAAATTTCAAATAGGTGGTATGATACTGACCGCTGTTGTGCTCTGAAAACATGTGCAGAAAATCTTTGGCAACCCTTTCATCAAAAGGTGGAGTCAATGTCCCCTTCCCCTGAACCCAGGTGATGCTTTTTGACTTTTAATAAACAAAATATGACATATGTGATTTTGTGTTACTTCCTAGGTAGGTTAGAAAAGGTCAGGTAACTTCAGTGAGTTTTTCTTTTTGAGACAGGGTCTCAATCTGTTGCCTAAGCTGAAGTGCAAAGGTGTGATCACGGTTCACTGCAGCCTTGTACTCCTGGGCTCAAGTGATCCTTCCTCCTCCGCCTCCCAAGTAGCTAGAATTACAGGTGTGCACCATCACCCTGGTTGATTTTTTTTTTTTTTTCCTGCTAAATTGGTGTCCTCTCACCTTAGCCTCTTAAAGTGCTGGGATTCCAGGCCTGAGCCACCACACCCAGCATCAGTGACTTTTTCTTGGGATAATCATTCTGGCGTCTTTGGCTACAATGTAAGAAGTTTGGTTGCCCTGAGGCCCTGATGTTGAAAGACCAAATGAAAAGCTGAGAGAGAGAGAGAGAGAGAGAGAGAGAGAGAGAGAGAGACATAGACATGCCAAGGTTTTCCAGCCGTTTCAGCCCAGAGCTGTTTGAGTTTTCCCCGGGCAGGCACATGTGAATGGAGAAGGCTTTAAGAGAGGCTGACCCCAGCTATCATCTGACTGCAGCGGCCGGAGAGACCCTGTGATGGTTAATTTTTGGTGGCAACTTGACTGGGTAAAAAGGGCTGAACAGATAGCTGGCAAAGTATCATTTCTGGGTATCTTTATGAGGGTGGTTCTGAAAGAGACTTAGGACTGAATCAGTGGACTAAGAAAGATCTCTCACCCAATTTGGACAGGCACTGTCCAATCAACTGAGCACCCAGATAGAACACAAGACAGAGGAAAGCAAATTTGTTCTCTTCTGGGGTTGGGTCACCATCTTGTCATGTCCTTGGACATCAGAACTCCAGCTTCTCTGGCCTTCAGACTTGAACCAGTGCCCCTGCAGGATCTTAGGCCTTCAACCTCAGACTGAGAGTTACCACTGTCAGATTCCTTGGTTCTGAGGTTCTGGACTTGAACTGAGCCGTGCTATCAGCTTCCTTGGTTCTCCACCTTGCGGATGGTGTATTATGGGACTTCTCAGCCTCCGTAATCACGTGAGACAATTCCCTTAATAAATTATCTCTCGGGCCCAGCACAGTGGCTCATGCCTGTAATATCAGCACTTTGGGAGGCCGAGGCAGGCAGATCACGAGATCAGGAGATCGAGAACATCCTGGCTAACACAGTGAAATCCCGCTTCTACTAAAAATACAAAAAATTAGCCAGGCGTGGTGGTGGGTGCCTGTAGTCCCAGCTACTCGGGAGGCTGAGGCAGGAGAATGGTGTGAACCAGAGAGGCAGAGCTTGCAGTGAGCCGAGATTGCACCACTGCACTCCAGCCTGGGCAACAGAGCGATACTCTGCCTCATAAACAAATTAAATAAAAATAAATTCTCTCTCATCCATCTATCTATTTATCTGTCCTACTGGTTCTGTTTTTCTGGAGAACCTTGACTAATACAGACCCCTAAGGAAGAACTGCCTAGCCATGTCCAGTAAACACTCAGATCCATGAGCAAAATAACTGATTGCTATTGTTTTAAGCCATTGCCTTGAAGTATTTTGTTATGCAGCAACAGATAATTAGAACGGCCACATTCTCTGACCAAATGCAATAAATTAAAAATCAAAAACAAAAGTATTTATAAATTATAAATACTTTCATTTATAATTTGAAAAAGTACTAAATATCTCATGAACTGAGGAGAAATCATACTGAAAATTTTAAAATTCCAAATGATAGTGAAAGTAGTACCTATTTAAACTTATGAGAGATAGCAGAGCCAGTATCTGATGAAACATATAAGCTTAATTGCTTATATTAGCAAAGAAGAAAGTCTAAAAACTAAGCACCCAGTTCAGAAAAAGCACAAAAGAATAAAAAAGCAAAACAAAGAATTTAAAAATAAAAGAACATAAATAAAATTAGACAAAAGATATAACTGGGCATAGAAAACATACAGTGAATAAACGTATACTAAGTTTATACTTTAAAATGCTAAGTTCTCCATGAGAACTCGTGTATATTTCTCATAGAAAGGTGTGTTACTACAACTTCTTAAGAAAAATTTTACATTCACATTAAAGCTAAACACTAATTATGCTATGATCTAGCAATTCTACTCTAAGGGATGTACTAGGGAAACTGTTTCTTTAGAGAAACTCCAAACAACTAAAAATATCTACAGCAGCATTATATTAGGAAAAACTGGAAATAATCCAAATGTCCATCAACTGAAGAATAGATCTTTAAAAATTGTATATTTTCACAGTGGAATATTACACAGCAGTGAAAATAAATGAGCATAGCTACATGCAACAACGTGGATAAATCTTTGAAACAATGTTGAATGAAATATAAAAGCTAAAAATAAAGAGCTTACATAATTTTCAATTTAATAAAATATGAAGGGAATATAAGATCAATATTCAGGATTATGATTTCCTCTGACGCAAGCCAAGGAAACTGGTTAGGGAAGAGCATGGGGGTAACTTTAACAGGAAAGAATATTCTAGTTCTTCATTGCGTGGTGGGTTAATGGTGTTGTATTATTGTGCCTCATAATGTATATATCATAGTCTCTTAAAATATACTGTAGGGCCGGGCGCAGTGGCTCATACCTGTAATCCCAGCACTTTGGGAGGCTGAGGCGGGTGGATCACAAGGTAGATCGAGACCAGCCTGGCCAACATTGTGAAACATCGTCTCTACCAAAAACACAAAAAAATTAGCCGGACATAGTCGTGTGTGCATGTAGTCCCAGCTACTCGGGAGGCTGAGGCAGGAGAATCACTTGAACCCGGGAGGTGGAGGCCGAAGTGAGACTAGACTGTGCCACTGCACTGCAGCCTGGGCAACAGAGCAAGACTCCATCTCAAAAAAAAAAAAAATACACTGTAATACGTAATAGTTGTAGTAATATCACACTGATATTTTGCTTATGTTTTAAAAGGACTCTTTTTTTTTAATCAGTACTAGTTACCCTCTATTGTAGTGTTATTATTGAAAAGTTCCATAACTAGTGAGCTAGTGATACTAAAAATAATAACTTTTTAATATCTAAATTTGTAAGTTATTAGAAATAATCACCAAATTGGCCCTATTTTCTTCTTTGTATTGTCAAAGCCAAATAATATTAATATTATTAATAATAATAGTAGTCATAGTAATTTGATCTGTAAAGGAATAGCTACTTTCCAATATTAATATCAACTTTATTATTATATGGCATCTTACACAGGGAGCTTCCATATTTATTTCAGTTCTGTGTTTTTAAAAAGTTGACATCATTACTATTGCTTGTGCTATTAGAATGCTTAAAGTTGAGAGGATAAAGTCCAAGATAAGAGTTATGGCAAGGTTTATAATATTCTTCACAGAAAGTCACAAGGAAAAGCAAACCAGGAAATTTAATTTAGAAACCAAAGGACACTTCTGGTTAGTGTTGACTTGACTGGGCCCGAATAGAGCTCTGTTTCTAAATAATGCTTTGACATCTGCATGGCATTTAGGAAGAATGAAGGAATGCTGACTAATGTAGTATAAATTTTAAATCTCTCTGGGATGATCAATCTAAATTTAGGCAAGTGGAAGACAAAAGCTTCTCTAAACCGTGTTGAAAATGAAATCAATCAGCTCACAATGTATATATATTTTTCTTCATTTGCCCTGGTTTGTCTAACTGTACCTAGGAACCATTCATCAGTAACAAAAAAATATTCTTTGTCCTTGCTAGGCCATTATAGAACTGAATCTATCAGCTGTATCATTTAGATTCTTCCTTAGAACCTAGTTTCTAAGTAAGACTGCCAGTCTCCTGGGGGAGCGAGGGATCTCACCCAAAACTCTGACCTAAATAAATCTCCACTACAAAACTGAAGATGAATGATGAATGAAGCACCAGTGAACTTCCCTAAATTAGTATGTGTGGATTTCTTTTTCCCCTTTTCAAGTGAATTGAGTATTTCTCTGTGCTAACAGCATTGGGGTCACATTCTTCTATCCCAGTAGCTTGTGTTCCTTCTCTCACTCATTTCGAATCTGAAAACTGGAAAAGAAAGTTCTTTCATACTGATTTTCAGATCTGTGGCTGATACTGACCATGTGAATCTGCATATTTCACAGTTCTGGAGCGGGCAGGCACTCTTATCTGGAATTTAAGTGTATAATGAAGCAGTTCTACTCCAACCAGGACCAAGGTTCGAACAGTACTGTCCAGCATGCTCTGAGCTTGAGAGTGTGGGATCTCAAGGTACAGCATACTTATTATTATTATTTTTTTTTTGGCTAGCCACAGAAAAGCATTTATTGGCTGGGCATGGTGGCTCACGCTTGTAATCCCAGCACTCTGGGAGGCCTAGGCGGGCGGATCATGAGGTCAAGAGATTGAGACCATCCTGGCCAACATGGTGAAACCCCGTCTCTACTAAAAAGACAAAAATTAGCTGGGCGTGGTGGCAGGCGCCTGTAGTTCCAGCTACTCGGGAGACTGAGGCAGGAGAATGGCTTGAACCCGGGAGGCGGAGGTTGCAGTGGCAGAGATCGCACTACTGCACTCCAGCCTGGGCAACAGAGCAAGACTCCATCTCAAAAAAAGAAGAAAAGCATTTATTACTAACCTGAGATTTGACAACAAACCATTGTTGTATTCTTCCTCTCTATAGAAATGATGTACTGTTTTGTGTTGTGCTGTGTGTTGCATGTGTGTGATAAGATGTTTGATTTTTTTTTTTAATTTTAGGTCTGGGGTACATGTGCAGGTGACATAGGTAAACTTGTTACATAGGTAAACTCATATTCACAGGGGTTTGTTGTACAGATTATTTCATCACCCAGGAATTAAGTCCAGTACCCAATAGTGATCTTTTCTGCTCCTCTCCCTCCTCCTACCTCCACCCTCAAGTAGACCTCAGTGTCTCTTGTTCCCTTCTTTGTGTCCATAAGTTCTCATCATTTAGCTCCCACTTACAAGTGAGAACATGCAGTATTTGGTTTTCTGTTCCTGTTAGTTTGCTGAGGATAATAGCCTCCAGCTCCATCCACATTCCCGCAAAAGACAGGGTTCTGTTCGTTTTTGTGGCTGCATAGTATTCCATGGAGCACACACAATTTTGATTTCGTGGCCACTAACAGCTATGCAGGGCCTGTAAGGAGAAGCTGACCAACTAAATCCTGTGTATGTGTGTGTGTCTTTTACACAAATGGGACACAGGCATGCTGGCATTTCCTCCTTGGTAACATCTGCAGGCTTGAGAGGGTTGTTTTTGTTGTTGTTGTTGTTTTCTGTCTAAAAGCCTAACCTAAAGTTCTTAGGCTCTATGCTCTCCCTTCTCATTCTTCTATGCATTTACTTGACAGCAAACACCTAGCTGGCCAGTAATGAGGTGATAATTTTTTCTTTTTTATTTTTTATGAGATGGAGTCTTGCTCTGTCTCCCAGGCTGGAGTGCAGTGGCGCGATCTTGGCTCACTGCAAGCTCCGCCTCCCAGGTTCACACCATTCTCCAGCCTCAGCCTGCCGAGTAGCTGGGACTACAGCTGCCCGTCACCACGCCCGGCTAATTTTTTGTATTTTTAGTAGAGACAGGGTTTCTCCGTGTTAGCCAGGACGGTCTCGATCTCCTGACCTCGTGATCTGCCCACCTCGGCCTCCCAAAGTGCTGGGATTACAGGTGTGAGCCACTGCGCCCAGCCAATAATATTTTTATGATACTGTTTGGAAATCTCTCAGCAGAATCAATCAAAATACAGAAGGCACAATCTCAATTCTATTATCCTGAGAGAGCTTAACTCAAGTAAACTTTCAAAACTCCTCCATTTGCCCTTCCTAGTTCACATCCCACCCTGGAATCAAGCTCTTTTTCCTAGCTCCTTGTTCATATATGAGCTCTGTTCTTTTCCTTCAATTTCTCTGAAATTTTAAAACGGCAACTCTGGTGCCTCATTGTATTCTGGGCATTAATATTCTTCTCATTTCCTACCCCCAGAACTTGCTCTGAAGCAGTCTGTGTCTTTCCCTCGGACAAACTATTTAACTCAACATCTTTTGTTGCTCCCTAGCCCTGTATTGAGCCAATCCCCTGCTAATTGTCAGGTCATAAAAATATAGTATTTGCCCTCTCTGTGTCTATTCCTCATCTCAGTCTATAAAATCTGATTAGGGTCCTTCTTCCTGGCTCTATCCCGACCCATCTGTACCTTCACTCTTCCTGCCCAAGCATGACCAACATTAATATTTTTCACGTTCTCTTTTATAGTTGATGACATTCCCCCTATCTTCAGAAAGGCAAAGAGAACCTGTGTACTTGGCCAGCCTTAGGAGCAGTTGGAAGAACATCTGTACCTAAGAAAGAATGAGCTATAAACAAACTTTAGTCCCCACTGGTTAAGGCTGGAATAAAACAGGTGATTGTGAGACCAAAGCTCCATGAACAGCTCCTGGGGGCGTCAGGCCTCTTGTTTGCACTGGGTTGGGGAATACTTGCCTAAATGAATTACTCTCAAAATCCAAAACTGAGACTTCATTCTGCTGGTAACCACATACTTTGTTTAAAGAAATCTTCTCAAGGAAATAATAGGCGTTTCTCAAGATCTGTCAGCTCTGGGCCAGTATTACATCAGCCATTTGTCTCTGAAGGGTGTTGTATTGCCCATAAAACCGACACCACTTGAATGTCTTTTGTGGTCTGGGATGCATATATGTGTGTATGTGCGGGTGAATATATGTTTCTCCAGCCCTCTTAGACAGCTTAAAAGAAATGGAGAAGAAAGACAGCACTATGGGTTGCGTCTGGGGAGGCCCTGTGGCTTCTCACATTACATCTATTTGTAATGCCCTTTTTTTATAAGAAAAAAGTTTAATGAGTGTTTTCTTTTAAAATTAAGTATTGCAATGGCTTGCCCAGCAGGCTTCATTATTCCTTTCAAGGTGTATTTTTTTTCTTCAAATTACATTAGACAGTGATTGGGAGATGGTAACTAATAATAAGGGTTTCATTGTCTCTCTTTTTTTTTCTTTGTCGCCAATACTGTAATTACTCACTGTATTGCCCTTAACAAGGAGCTATGGATGAGCCATGGTGTGTAACCCTTATCATGTGACTCCCTGGTACAGACAGGGATTGTGAGACACATGACTGGCAGTAAACACAGAAGCCTGCGATGGCTTTAATATCCTCTTAGACAGAAGCATGACATATTAGTGGGGACTTCCTCCTTTGCAGGAAACCAGGCCTCTGGCTATGGCTTTGTCTTTAACTCAGTCTTAGATCTTCATAAACACTTTCCCCCTGAACTCTAAAGGACCCGTGCTTTTCAGTAACAGTTTAATGTGCATGAAACAAAAACTCAGATAAAGGCTTCAAGCATAAAATCTCACTGAGGGGTCTGATTTCTCAAGATGCTTTCTACAAACAGACTTCACATCCAGAAAAATATTTCAACAGAGAACTTTCTTCCCTGGAGAAAATACTGGCCTTAAAAATGCATGAGCCTTCATAAGTAATAGTGAAGCTCAGATGTTTTAAAGAAATACAACTTGCTACATTCTATTAGGGACAGGTTGTAGTCAAGGCCCTCAGTGAAGTGTCTTGGATAAGAGATGTCTACAGATGGAACAGGGTAGTTGGGAGGTAATAACTAGGAATTACAGGAATTGGAACCATATGATGATGAAATATCTGGGGAAGTTGAATTACAAGAGGAGAATGTGAATCCTTATAAAACACGGGTAAAGATCTGTGGGCAGATGTCTGAAGAAAGTGGACTCGAAAACATAAAACATATGATGTTTACATGGGAAGACTCAGCATTTACAGATGTCAGTCTTCCTCACTCTGTCAATTTAATGAATTACCAGTAAAAACACCAACAGCGAATTTTCAGCATAATGATAATACACATTCAGTACTATGTATGCACTTTTGAAGTGTTTTCAACTATTAGTCCCCACAACAATCTTATGATTATTAATATCACCGTTTTATGGATGAGGAATTTAGGCAGAATTTGAACAACTTGCCTAAGGTCATACAGGTGGTAAACAGTAGAACTGAGACTCCAACCCAGGGATTCAGGCTCTAAAGCCTCTGTGTGTGCTTAAGTGTAATCTGCATTTTCAAATCAATGGAATTAGTCAGTCTAGAAATGGACTGAAAAAGAAAAAAGAATTTAGATTTAATTGACTGTAGCTTTGCATATCAACGGAAGAAAAGAGAAATGATTAATCAGTATCTGAGCTTGAGCTACCTTGATTGCCATCCAGAAACTAAAGAAGTTGACCCCAGCCTACTCTTTGCACCCAAGTATTTTTCAAATGTATCAAAGATTTAAAAGTAGAAAACAAAATGAAAATGATGTGAAGAAAACCTGAGTGTCTGAAGGACAGGGGTTGGGGAAAGACTTTTTATTCCATACTATATTACACCTTTAAAATTTTATACCATTTACATTTATTGTCGGTAAAAGTTATTTTTTTTAAAAAAAGAAAGTGGTAAGGCTGCATAATGTATGTTATGAATAAATGCTGTTGCATTCAGACCCTGTTCCTGCAGGAACAGATCTCTGCGATTTATTCCATCCCAGAAAAATATGGTTGTGTTCTATCTATTGCTGTGTCATATTATGGATTGCCCATTTTTTATAGTTTCATATTAATTGGACAGTATGAACTTCCCCTCCATGTTTACTAAATACAGTCTCAGGGTTGCTTTGAGTGCACAACTGTACTTGTAAGTTTAGGCATGCTTTGTGGGGCACAGGTTGGTTCTTTAGACAAAGTCCAGAGCCTTCAAAAAGTGGCAGCAGTGCCAGGTTTTCCAAAGTCCGTAAGAAGTGTTCTGAAATGACCCAGAAGTTACCATCTAGTCATTGCTAATGGTGGTTAACAACTTTGCATGCTTCTCTTGATAGACACAAATCATTCTTTTTGGTTCACCTGCAAAGATTTTGGATTAAACTCTGTAATTCTGAGTTTATATAACCCAAAAAAATGACTCAATATGTTTGAATAATGTCAATGGTATCTCAATAAAGCTTTAATTAAAGCGTCTTTATTTAGTGGATTATGAATTATTCTTAGTTAATGAAGCAGTGGTTTTAATTTCCATGAAATATTGAGGCAACCTTTCCGAAGGTGTGCTAATGCCATTCAAATATAAGTTTTTAAAAATGAATGTTGTATTTTCTTTATGCTTAACAAATGGAAGCATGGGCAACGTGGAGAAACACCACCTCTACCAATAATAATAATAATAATAAAATTAGCCAGGGACAGTGGCTTGGGCCCATAGTCCCAGCTACTGGGGGTGGGTTGGTAGCTAAGATGGGAACAGCACCAGAGTCTGGGGAGGTCAAGGCTGAAGCAAACCATGATCTTGCCACTGCACTCTAGCCTGGGTGACAGACTGAGACCCTGTCTCTGGGGAAGAAAAAAAAAAAAAAAGCAACCAACCATAACTTGGTCAATTATCTGAAAAGCTGCTGCCATTTTTGCCTTAGAGAATTAGTTGGTTAGAAGAATTTAAGTTTATGACTTAATGAAACTTTGTAACTACTTTGACCATAACAGACTTTAAGGTATATTTTCTTCTTAGCATGTTGCCTCCGCATATTTTCATTTTCGCTTTGTGGAAATACCCTATGCTCTTCCTTAAAATTTTTAACATTCATACTGTGCCTGGAATTGGTGGGTTGTTGGTCTCACTGACTTCAAGAACGAAGCCGCGGACCCGCGCAGTGAGTGTTACAGATCTTAAAGATGGTGTGTCTGGAGTTTGTTCCTTCTGGTGTTCTGACGTGTTCAGGGTTTTTTTCCTTCTGGTGGGTTCGTGGTCTCGCAGGCTTCTGGAGTGAAGCTGCTGATCTTCGCTGTGAGTGTTACAGCCCTTAAGGTGGCGCGTCTGGAGTTGTTCTCTCCTCCCGGCCAGAGCTCTCCATTCCTCTCCGTGAGTTTGCGATCTCACTGGCCTCAGGAGTGAAGCTGCAAACCTTCACAGTGACTGTTACAGCTCATAAACGCAGTGTGGACCCAAAGAGCGAGCAGCAGCAAGATTTAATGCAGAAACTTAAAAACACCAAAGCTTCCACAGTGTGGAAAACGACCCAAACAGGTCGCCACTGCTGGCTCCAGCAGCCTGCTCTTATTCCCTTATGTGGTCCCACCCACATCCTGCTGATTGGTCCATTTTACAGAGAGCTGATTGGTTTGTTTTGACAGGGTGCTGATTGGTGCGTTTACAATCCCTGAGCTAGACACAGAGTGCTGATTGGTGCATTTACCATCCTTTAGCTAGAGGTAAAAGTTCTCCAAGTCCCCACTAGATTAGCTAGACACAAGGCACTGATTGGTGTGTTTACAAACCTAGAGGTAGACACAGAATGCCGATCGGTGCGTTTACAATCCCTGAGCTACACAGAGTGCTGATTGGTGTGTTTACAAACCTTGAGCTAGACACAGAGTGCTGATTGGTGTATTTACAGTCCTTTAGCTAGACATAAAGGTTCTCCAAGTCCCCACTAGATTAGCTAGACAAGAGCACTGATTGGTGTGTTTACAAACCTTGAGCTAGACACAGGGTGGTGATTGGTGTGTTTATAATCCTTTAGCTAGACACAAAGGTTCTCCAAGTCCCCACCAGATTAGCTAGATACAGAGTGCTGATTGGTGCATTTACAAACCCTGAGCTAGACTCAGGGTGGTGATTGGTGTGTTTACAATCCTTTAGCTAGACATAAAGGTTCTCCAAGTCCCCAGCAGACCCAGAAGCCCAGCTGGCTTCCCCTAGTGGATCCCGTGCCAGGGCCGCACCAGGTGCTTGCGCTCCTCAGCCCTCGGGTGGTCACCATGGAGCAGCGGGAGGCACCCATCAGGGAGACTCGGGCCTGCGGGAGCCCGCTGCGGTGGGGGCTCAGGAATGGCCGGCTGCAGGTCGGGAGCCCTGCCCTGCTGGGAGGTGGCTGAGGCCCAGTGAGAATTGGAGCATGGCGCCTGCGGGCCAGCAGTGCTGGGGGACCCGGCGCCCCCTCCGCAGCTGCTGGCCTGCGTGCTAAGCCCCTTACTGCCCAGGGCCGGCGGTGCCGGCCAGCTGCTCCGAGTGCGGGGCCTGCCGAGCCCGAGCCCATCCGGAACTCGTGCTGGCCCACGAGTGCCAGTGCGCAGCCCCGGTTCCTGCTGGCGCCTCTCCCTCCACACCTCCCGGCAAGCAGAGGGAGCTGGCTCTGGTCTCAGCCAGCCCAGAGAGGGGCTCCCACAGTGCAGCAGCGGGCTGAAGGGCTGGTCAAGCGGGGCCAGAGTGGACGCTGAGGCCTGAGGAGGCGCCGAGAGCGAGCGAGGGCTGCTAGCATGTTGTCACCTCTCAATACTTTATTGCACACTCATATTTAATGTAAACAATAGATTATATAGATGATCAAGGAAGAAAAAATAGAAAAACGACTCAATTTTTCACTTAGAAATAAGCGCTATTAAAATTTTGATAGGTAGATAAGGGAATCCTATTATAGCAATCACTGTTTTTTATAAATTTAAAAAACTTATGTTTTTAAAATTCAAATAATATGGAATTGAATAAACTCAAAAGTGAAACTTTCGTATATGAGGTAGTATCATTCAAATCATTTTCTATGCAATTACTGTCATATCCTAGGCATTCTCATTCTGTAACGTATATACTTGTATTTAAACACACCCTTTTTCTTCACTAATTTCTATGCAAACTTTCTACAACTTGCGCTGCTTTTTTTTTTTTTTAAAGCGAATGTCTCCATATCGGTGTATAAATGTACTCAATTTCTTTTAAAGTATGCATAGAATTCTATTATATGGCTATATCCTAATTATTTAACTAGTCTTCTGTTGATGGTCATTTATAATGTATCCAGTTTTTTATTGCTTCAGTAAATATCCTGGTGCCTGTAGGTTTTTTATGGTGAGCACATGACAAAACCACCTCCACCAAAAAGCAAATGAAAAATAAAAGATATGGTTGGACATTAACATTCTTAGTTTTAGAGTCTTAAGTACTGTAATTATAATAAATGTTCTAGTTTATACATTTTTAGGCTAAAACAATAATTTAAATCTATTTTTTTAAAAAAACATGTTCACCAAAGTAGGTATCTTCAGTGCCTCAGGAAGTTAATTAATAAAATATTGAGATACATGCTTTTAGTTAAATAAAACTTAAATATTCTAATATTTGATAAGTTCCCATATATTTTAAAGTAATATTGTTTGCTATATTAAGTTGCAATTTGAGGGTCTTCATTATGACTCTGATAAAAATTTTGCTAATTTAGAATTACCCCCAAATCTGAGGTCTCCTGCTAAATATTACTTATTAATGAAAATGCAATAAAGATCACATTTAATAGTTCACATGAGGAATAAAAGAACTCAGAGCTGTAGGTTGGTAGTAACTTTAACTGAATATATTCGCTATGAGCCGAAAGCTCATAAAGTGAAATGAGAAACCTTCTAACTAGTTTTTATTTTATAAGAGTGAAATATTTTTAAATAAATGCACTGGAAACTCATTCTATCTCATTTTTCATTCTGAGTCTTGATTTTTTAGACATTTGAAAAAAATCTGTTCTTTAAATTTATTCTAGATATATCCCTCATTTGCCAACTTAAAAATTGGAGACAAATGTGACAATTTATTTTCTTGTTGCTTAATCAGCAAGGTACATCAACCCATCAAACCAGCAAAGATGTGGCGACAGTATTCAAGATTAATAATCTTTAAAATAGATTATTATTCTTTTCTTTTGGGAAGTTAGCTTGCTTAATATATTATTAAGCTTACTGTTAACAACTGTTTCAACCCTTACTCCAAGCTGAGTCCTATAGCAACTTTCTGCCATGAATATCATGGCCAAAATGTCATCCCGTAGGATCCAAGTTACATTCACATACAGTATCCTGAGTACATAGTTTTGTTTTGTTCTGAATTTCTTCCTGCTGTGCTAAATAATTACAAGGTTACAAGGTGAGAGTGCGCTGGGTGTACCAGATGCTTTTTATATATTAGCTCTCACTATGCTTTACATTGTTCTGTTGTGTGAGTTGCCCTGATGAAAACTCTTCTTTTCCTTCCCACCAAAGCCTGGCAAAACCTATCAAATATTTTCTCTCGGAAATTCTGACTCTTGAGTCATTGGCGGGCTGCGCATGCACACACTTCCCATCCCTTCCTTCCAGGGCGTAATCATACTGGTTAGGGGGAGGAAAGGGTGGGTGTCCACATTTATAAACTCTAGAATGAAAGGTTATGAAAATTCCAAGTGTCCCTGTATCTGATGTGGCTAAAGAGAATGTTCGCAACTCAAAAAGTCAGGGATTTTAGGTGGAAGGCTAGCTCAGAGCATCCCTCAGTAGGATCCAGCCAGCGCCTAATAACTACTAGATTTATCCAG
The DNA here is from genome assembly GCF_000001405.40 of Homo sapiens. NCBI lineage: Eukaryota > Metazoa > Chordata > Mammalia > Primates > Hominidae > Homo > Homo sapiens. Next base: position 6,352,437 of record NW_018654717.1, read on the forward strand.
GGGCAACCCTATGCTTTGCCCCTTTGAAAATGGAAACCTTGTTAAAGTCAATGTATATTTTCCGAGAATACATTCGGGATAGGCAGAATAGCCACTGTCTATTGCCTTTGTGATTTTTTTTTCCGAGTATGAAGGTTAGAGTAAAATTCCAGGATTAACTGCAACGTCTGAAATCTGATTCTCAGACAGGAAGTGTAAACAATTGTGCTGATGGTGTTCACGCAGAACCTTGAGACTGATTTACCGGGGACTTTTTGGAACTTTGTCATGCGTGTCACGCTGACCCTGCAAACTTAATTACCTAAGCCATAAGAGGCAGGATACCTACTTCTCTGCACCATAACTTACAAATGAAAACCGGTTACCCAGTGAAACTATCTTTTTCCCTTTTTTGGTATAAGCAAACAAGTCTGAAATACTCTATGACATTAAGGACTCAAATAATCTTTGACAGTAAAAAGAAAAAAAAGAATACGTGCAATTTGAGTAGGCGGGGTTAGAGAAAGTACAGGAGCAAAAAGTGAAATTGAGCCTTGAAGGAGTTTGGGAACAGACGAAAATTTACCACAGGGAAGAACATGTGTTTTTGTAAGAGAGAGCCTGCTAATGCATAGCTTCAGAGGGGACAATTGGAATAAGCAGGTGAGGAACAAAAAAAGGCAGTGATTAAGGGTAATTTAGCATTTGAAAAATAAGAAATCTTTGGTAATCACCACACACCTACTTTTTATTGGCTCCCAAATCATAGGCTAACTGAACTAATCTAAGCTGACTGAAGAAGGGTCAAGCAGCCTGTTGCCTCACAAAAATAACTATATTGTCGGGGCAGAGGTCTAAAAAGGGATGTCTTCAAAAATGCTATCCTGAGCTCTAGAATTTAAATGCTAACAGGGTGGCTATAATTAAATTCTATCTGAATGTAAATCCTTGGAGATTCTTTCACACTCTGCATGGAAACTTAGCTTTTATAATTTTTATTACACTTGGAATCATAATATTTCTTTTCCTCTTCCACTAGGGCAATTGACGTTTTTTCCTCTCAATTTCTATTTACCACACAACATGCTTTACAACAAAAATAAAGCACATTTTAAAAGGGAAAACTTACTCATTTAGTTTACTCACTAGTTTACAGTAGTAGAATTCTTTGAAGTAGAATTGTTTGAAACGAGATATCATGGGAATATTTCAGGGTTTGGAACTTGTGCATACAAACCAGCTGGGCTTTGTTTAAAGTTTTAAAGCCTTCAGATATTTCAATGAGAGAAACTCAAGACAGCTTTTTTTATATATGTCAAGAGGTCACATTTTTATTGGTTCATCTGTGTGTCATATAAAAGCCCATGTTTTTAACCATAGTGTATCTCTGGGGTCCCCGCCCAATCACCCCATATCATCAAGAGGGGTTAATTGTGTGTCTGACTTTTGTTAAGTGTACACTTATTTATGGGAGCCATATTCAGTGAAACTTGTTCATCTTTCTACATAATAAACAAAAGAAACAGTATTTTACAATGCATTTGCTCTACTTGGAGTAACTACAGTTGATTTTAATTTAGAAACGGTTGTGTTGAAATCATTTGTGTATTTGGGGAAAATTCATGATTATTCAATTGTACCTTGACCCTAACTTTGTGACGCCTATGAAAACAAAGGTGAATCTTGTTAGACAAGGCTGGCGAGAGGTTCTGAGACAGGTAAGAGAAGAGGAAATGCATCCAGTAATATGTGCTTGTTCTTCCTCGGGTCAAACAGTATCTTGTGATATCTGTGAAGCTTTCCCATAGTGAAATCTGGAACATTTTAAAGGGAGGGACAGATACTTCCCTCCAGATCTAGCCCTGCTTTTCTTCCAGTGCTTTTCATTAAGGTTCCTCAGTAATCTTTATTGCTAGAGTTAATGTTCACAACCACCACCCTCCCCCCCCCCCCCCGCCCGCCACACATCTCTCCTCTTTTTTTCCTCTGTCTTATTTTTCTTTGACACCTCTGCATCATAAGACAGGTTAGGTAGTTTGTTTAGCTTCATTTTATGACAGAGAGAAACAAATCCAGGGTCCCCTGGTACACCCAACAGACATACAACTAACACTGGAGTCTGGGTTGCAGCCCAGGGATGAGTGCCCTGAGCCCCTGAACCTTTGCGTTGAGATGGACCACTCTGGGAACCAGCGCTGTATTCATACAAACAGCTGCAGAATGTAGCAAGGAAATTTATGTAATTAGTGAAGCAGGCAGAGATAGGAGTTTTGGCTTCATATTCAAATTCCACTCCATGAGCCCAAGGTGGAGAGTGTTTTGTTATCTACCCACGTGGGACTGATTTCCCTTTTAGGCCTCTAAATCAAATACCAGTACGGTGGCAGGAGCCCAAGAAACTGTAAGAGATTGAGGCCAGAAAATTCTCATGCGTCCACTCCCTAAAGCTTTGGGTTCCCAGTTTCTGCCAAGCTACAGAAGCTCCTAAGTGAGAGTATCACACGGGATGCCAAGCGGGCATTTCGTAAAATTGCCCTTGTTAGGCAGTGGTGCCAGCCACCCCAGAGGCTCAGTACTGGGTCACTCTGAAGGACTCCAGGGCGCTGCACTTTATCAAAGGATCGGGAGACAGCTGCGCATTCTCACGTTCAGGTTTTTCCAAGGGTGGAGAGAGGACTTAGTGGGCTCTCCGGGCTCTGTGCCCTCTCCCTTGCTGAAGGCACCATCTCATTCAACACCTCCTCTTTTGTTTACTATTGTGAAACCTCTAGGTGTATCACCTCAATTATAAACCCAGACTGGGGCTTTCCTCTCCCCATACCCCATCATCTCATAACTTTCCTGGGTGAGCTGGCACAGGTACTACAGAACAGAGCCCACACATGTCCACCGTCTCTCCAGACGGCATCCAGGGCAAAGTCTGTCTCCACCCAGTAGGCCTTGATGGCTTAGTTGGTGCTTGTTCCTGGGGATGTTCTTCCAGGGAGTGTGTGAATCTGAAGGGCAAGTGGCAAGAAGCAAGAAGGTAAGGGATGGATGGAGGCATGGAGTGGAAACCTGGTTTGAAAAAAAAAAAAAAAGGCGAGGCCAGGTGTGGAGGCTCAAGTCTGTAATCCCAGCACTTTGGGAGGCTGAGGCGGGCAGATGACGAGGTCAGGAGTTCGAGACCAGCCTGGACAATATGGTGAAACCCTGTCTATACTAAAAATACAAAAATTAGCCGGGTGTCCTGGCACACGCCTATAATCGCAACTACTCAGGAGGCTGAGGCAGGAGAATCGCTTGAGCCCAAGAGGTGCAGGGTGCAGTGAGCCGAGATTGTGCCGCTGCACTCCAGTGTGGGCAACAGAGTGAGACTCCGTCTTGGAAAAAAGGTGAGTAGGGGGGCTGGTCCAAGTGCAATGGTATCTACAACGAATTGATCACAACCAGTTACAGATTTTTTTGTTCCTTCTCCACGCCCGCTGCTTCACTTGACTAGCCTAAAAAAATAAAAAAATTAAAAGGCGGTGGGGAGACACTAACTTTGTGTTGCTAACTTGAAGCCATAAACATTTGAGTCATAAAGAATGACTCTGATGAGTGGACTGAATGCTGTTTGACTCAGAAAATATTCCAGTACCTGTTCCAGCTTGATTTAAAGACTTGTAATGTTTCTCATCATCCCCACTGGGCTTTCACAGGCTCTGTCCTCTTGGATGTGGTGGCTAGAAGGCTGGGCATTCCCATCTCTGCTTTACTTCACTCCATAAGGCGAGCAAGGGCCTTAGGAATCTCTCCTTACTTTCTTCCTCTTTTCCTCTCTCTCTCTTACCTGGCATAGGTTAAACCACCAGAATGATTTGGCTTCTAAACCGCAGAAAGCTTCATGCATCCTAGCTCTATGTTAAAAGAGAGGGCTTTGATTAGGGACGGCAGGGAGCAGGTAATGATTGATAATATCCTTCAATGTTTTTGTGAAACTACCATATGAAAGAGGGGGTGGGGATCAGGATAGATTTAGGAAGGTGGAGCCGGGCGTGGTGGCTCACGCCTGTAATCCCAGCACTTTGGGAGGCCAAGGCGGGAGGATCACGAGGTCTCAGGAGATTGAGACCATCATGGCGGTGAAACCCCGTCTCTACTAAAAATATAAAAAATTAGCCAGGTGTGGTGGCGGGTACCTGTATTCCCAGCTACTTGGGAGGCGGAGGCAGGAGAATGGCACGAACCCGGGAGGCAGAGCTTGCAGTGAGCCGAGATCGCGCCACTGCTCTCCAGCCTGGGCGACAGAGCGAGACTCCGTCTCAAAAAGATTTAGGGAGGTGGGAGTGGGAGAGGTAGGCCTACAAAAGATTATCCCATAGGTAACCTAATCTAATTAATCTCTTTCCTCACCCAAAATATACCACCTATGTCTACGTGAAGCAGAAATGAAACCTAGATGAAGGCGTGCAGGAACAACAGGAGCATAGTAAGTGCGACCACAGTAAACCTGACGATTCTAAGAGCAGCACTGAATGCAGTGAAAGGGAGGTGATCAGCGTCATTTGTGGGTTTTTTTTGTTTTGTTTTGTTTTGTTTGAGACAGAATTTCACTCTGTTGCTCAGGCTGAGTGTAGTGGCATGATCATAGCTCATTGCAGCCTCTATCAAGAGGATGGCTTGAGCCATCCTCCCACCTCAGCCTCCCGGAGTAGCTGGGACTACAGGCACGCACCACCACACCTGGCTAATTTTTTACTTTTTGGTTGAGACAGGTCTTGCTTTGTTGCCGCTGGTCTTGAATTCTTGGCCTCAAACAACCCTCCTGCTTTAGCCTCCCAAAGTCTTGGGATTACAAGCCCTTGATTCTGATCCTAACTTAAACTACTTTCCCTGTCCCTGCCCCTTCTGGTTTGAGGGTGACTGGTTTATATGTACCTCTGTTCCTTATGGAAATGTCTCACATCCCTTGGAGAGAACGCTTCCTTGTGGATGTCTTTTCTGAGATGCTACAGAACATAGAGAACAATACACTGATTCTTAACCTGTGCAATGCGAACTCATGTTCAGAGCCCTGTGCTTCTTGTTAAAAGGGCCATAAATCAATATTCGTAGTATTTTTAGACATAAGGGACAAAATATCTTACTCAGATATGTACACATTTTATGTTATTAAAATATAGGTAGAGGCTTTTGTGATAAATAAAACACAAAGTAATTTCAAAATGTACCAAATTCATAGCAGCCGTTTGGTATATTTCAATCAACAGAATAAAAGTACAGCTGCACTTCTGTAGGGGTTTATGAAAGTTTTTGACTTTCATAAGAATTTATAGCAGAAAGGTTGGAAACCACTGCTATATAGAGTGGCTGCCTCAATGTATAGCCACTGCTCTTGGAACAGCTTGACTACTTAAGAGAAACATAAGAGGAGATCAGGAAAAGGCAAACAATTCTATGGTCTTGGCAGATGAGCTAAACCATTTTGGAACTTGAAGAATATCGAAATGAAAGCAGTTGTTGTCTTGGCAACTCAATGATGGTAGTCTACAGTTTGTTGTTGTTGTTGTTGTTGTTGTTTTTGAGATGAAGTGTTGCTCTTGGAGCCCAGGCTGGAGAATAATGGCACAATCTCAACTCACTGCGTCCTCCGCCTCCCAGGTTCAAGAGATTTTCCTGCCTCAGCCTTCTGAGTAGCTGGGATTACAGGTGCCTGCCACCAAACCCGGCTAATTTTTATATTTTTAGTAGAGACGGGGTTTCACCATGTTGGCCAGGCTGGTCTTGAGCTCCTGACCTCAGGCGATCTCCCCGCCTCAGCCTCCCAAAGTGCTAGGATTACAGGCGTGAGCCACGGCTCCCAGCCAGTAGGCTACAGTTTTAAACAACTGGGTTTGGCTGGTACAGTGGGTACAGCTCACGAATGTAATCCCAGCACTTTGGGAGGCCAAGGCAGGAGGATCACTTGAGGCCGGGAGTTGGAAACCAGCCTGGGCAGCACAGTGAGACCCCGTCTTTACGCCTCCCCAGCCCCCTCAAAAAAGCCCGGTGTGGTGTCATGCTCCTGTATTCCTAGCAGAGGCAGAAGGATCTCTTGAGCCCAGGAGTATGAGGCTGCAGGATCACACCACTACATTCCAGTCTGAAGACCCTGTTTCTAAAACTAAGAATAAAGTAAACAATGGGGCTTGAGGATTCTTACATACTTATCAAATTGACTGAGGATCTTTCCTAAAGTCATTGCCATTGTCTGTACTTGTTGACACCATGTAGCCTCTCTAAGTAGGGCTTTGAGACACCTGTACAGGCAGGCATACAACCAGCACACATACATGAAGAGGCTGAAAGACAGCTTGGTGGCCCACGATTTTAGCCTCAATGTTAAATATATGTTACTTGGCTCATAGTCAGCAAGAGTCCATTGTGTTATAATATTACCACACTTCTTTAATAAGTTAAAATTGCAATATCATAAAAATATTAATCCACACCTTTAAGACACATTTTTACCTGCACTCAGTACTGGATTGTTTGATTGGTAAATTGCATGCTCAGCTGATCAAAGTTGGGAGAAAGGAACATAATTCATCTAGTGTTCAGTGCAAGACCTTCTGGAAAGCACCTAGGATCATGAAATAATTTTGAAAATGGTTGGGAGGCTCCTGTTCTAGGGTTCCCAGGCATTAAGGTGGAGAATAAGTGGTTCCTCCAAATTTCAATGAAAGGATGAATTTAGGCAGCTCAACGAAGTGCCTGTGACAACACCAGTCACAGGCACTTTTGTGTGTGGGGTGGGATGGGAAGAGAACGAGTAGTGATACATTGTGGTGGCTAAAACAGCAGGAATCAGACTGGGGAAAGGTTCCTACTACTTCCAGAACAAGGTGGCTTAAAATACTCAGGAGGCAGCCTAGGGAGAAGGAGCTAGCTAGATCAAGATCTGGCCAGACGTGGTGGCTCCCACCTGTAATCCCAGCATTTTGGGAGGCTGAGGTGGGAGGATAGCTTGAGACCAGTCTGGGCAACACAGTGAGACCTCTATGTCTACAAACACAAAAGGGAAAAAAAATGCACCAAAACAACAACAGAATAACCCCAAAATTAGCCAAGTATTGTGATGCATGCCCAGTCCGGGCTACTCAGGAGGCTGAAGTGGGAGGATTGCTTGAGCCCAGGGATTCAAGGCTTCAGTGAGCCATGACTGCTATTGCACTCCAGCCTGGATGACAGAGGAGACACTGCCTTAAAAAAAATTCTCAGCCGGGCGTGGTGGCTCACACCTGCAATCCCAGCGCTTTGGGAGGCCGAGGCGGGCGGATCACCTGAGGTCAGGAGTTTGAGACCAGGCTGGCCAACATGATGAAACCCTGTCTCTACTAAAAAATACAAGAATTAGCTGGGTGTGGTGGCAGGCGCCTTAATCCCAGCTACTTGGGAGGCAGAGGCAGGATAATCGTTTAAACCTGGGAGGCGGAGGTTGCAGTGAGCCAAGATCAAGCCATTGCACTCAAACCTGGGGGACAAGAGCGAGACTTCTCTCAAAAAAAAAAAATCTCTATATCTATCTATCTATCTGTCTGTCTGTCTGTCTGTCTCTCTCTCTGTCTGTCTATTTGTGTTTCTGTCTATCTGTGTGTCAAACAAAAAAACCCAAGGTAGTGTTCATGGTCCAATGTAGAATGATCATATTCATCCAGTCAAGGCAGTAGGGCTGGTAGTTGGGTCATATGCCTGATATCTTCCCCTTGTTTTCTCTCATCTTCCTGATGTTCCCTTTGAAGGTCCTCTTGGCATTAATTTTAACGGGATCTTATCTATATGAGCATATCAACATGGAACCATGTTGGCATGGGATGTGGTGTGTGAATTGGTACAAAAACTTCACCCCTCTGGAGGTAGCAAGGCATAGCCAGTGCAGACATTGATACTTTTACATCAGGAGAAAGCTCTTTCCTCTGTCATAATTATATTTTACTTCTGAGACTTCTCCTTCAGAGCTTTCACAAATGCTCTACCCAGACACTGTCAATGGCATTGTACTAAAATTGTTTGTCAGCTCTGGCAATTCAGTGGAATTGCCTTAAACTATATTAGTGAAAATGGAGTTGTGATGGTTATGAAATGGAATCTGAATTAGCAGAGATTGTGAATCTCCATTTTCCATTTTCTGGAGGCTTTTGCTGCATTTTGTGTGTGGGAGTTGAAGTACCTTTGTAGCCCCGGATATCAGTGAAGAAATTGTCATCTGAATATGGTAAGTTGCAGAATGGATATGGATGGCTTTATGACTGGTTTCTGATTGGTTTCTCTTTCTACTAGGGTTGTCAGATAAAATGCATGCTACCTAGTGACATTTTAATTTCAGATAAATAGCAAGTATACCTTTTAGTATAACTGTGTCCTATGCAATATTTGATATATAATGAAAGAATTATCTGAAATTCAAATTTCACTGGGTGTTTTGTGTATTTGTTTGCTAGATCTAGCAATCCCACTTTATACAGTAGTCTTAATGAGATTCTAAGTGTTCAGTTAAAAGAAAGAAGGAGATGAAAGAAAGGTAAGTGGCCTACTTCAGAAAGGGAATAAGTAGGCAAGGAATTTGAAGAGGTTTTCGCGTGACACACGGAAAGGGTAGCTGGTAGGTAAATGACACGTGGACTGAGCAGCAATATTGTTGCATTGCTGGAGACATTCTGAGCTTCACATAAAGTGCTCCAGACCCAAAGTTGCAACAGTCACCTCATGGTCCGTACTTTCACGCTCTGTTCCATCTCTAACACAATGCTGTTAGTGCTGAAGGCAGACACTTGGCCAGGATTTCTGTTTGCTATAGCTCTTTTGGAAAGATTTGGCCAGGATCCCTGAAATCTTAAACAGCTGCTCCTTCAACTACGTTTTCCTGAAGAGTATAGCCAGAGCAGTGGACGCTCCAATCAAAACATCGGCCTCTACACCTTCCTGTATTCCCCTACTCTGGTGAAAAGGGCCGACCACACATGAGTGGCAATGATTCTCTTTCCACTCAGTCTTGTGGCCTTGACTAGCAGTAGGGTGAATGGCTTCCTTGGGTCAGTTTCCTCAAGCACAGACCCATATATTGGCTCTCTGGATCGTGTCACTCAGATGGCTAGATGAGTCTAGAAGGGCAGATCTGGGAAAGTGTTTAATCCAGGGTCACTGATATGATTCCTCCTAGGGGTACAGTAGTCGATACTATGTCACTATTTCCACCACTGGGAGCCAGAGGGACTGGAAAGAGGTTGTATTTCCACATCTTAAAGTATATGGCCACAAAACCTATTCCCAATGAAGCTCACCATCTTTCCTCCTGGTGTTTCCCTAATGACAGGATGCCATCCCCGTTCACAGGCTCAGAACCCTGGCATCTTTTTTGACCACATACTCCTCTGCATGATTCTCTTCCCCTAATGCTGATGATTTCCAAAGCCCAGCACATTTTCTCTCTGCAGTGTGTCTGCCGTTGCTCCTGCCATTACCCTAATTCAGGCCATCATTCCTTTTGATCAGGGCTATGGACCATTAACTAATCACTTCGTGTTTGATTTATTTTTCTTTCTCTCATTTATTTATTTATTTTTTTAGACGGGGTCTGCTCTGTATCCCAGGCTGGAGTACAGCAGCATAATCTCAGCTCATTGCAACCTCTGCCTCCCGGGTTCAAGCTATTCTCCTGCCTCAACCTCCCAAGTAGCTGGGATTACAGGTGTGTGCCACCACACCTGGCTAATTTTTGCATTTTTAGTAGAGATGGGGTTTCACCATGTTGGCCAGGCTGGCCTCGAACTCAAGTGATCCACCCGCTGTGGCCTCCCAAAGTGCTGGAATTAGAGGCATAAGCCGTGGCTCCAGGCCCGATTTCTCTTTAAGCCATCTTATTTAAACTGATTGAATAAGTCAAACTTACCTAAATGGATCAAATAAGCCAACTTATTTAAACTGCTGAATATATTTTTTAGACACACCTCTGATCATGTATCTGGCTATTTGAAATCGTTTAATAATCCCAGTTCATACTAAGTGCAGCTATGGGGGAGAAAGACTGCAGGTGCTGGGACCTAGGTGGGGCCTGAGAGGTGAGTTTAGAGGACGCTGGGAATTGGTGCCCTGTGGCCCTGGAGAAAATACCTTATTTTTTTGGAGGTGGCAGAAAAAGAAGCTTCCTGAGAGACGGACCCATTTCCCTATGATGAAAATGAAGCAAGCGGGGTTAGAAAAATTTTGCCTAGTTCATCTCCTTTCAAAGCAAACAAAACCCAGAAAATGGATTGAATTCTGAATGAACATGAAAAAGGCCCTAGTATATATTGAGCTGAACTACGCAACTAGAGGAAATGACCAAAATACCTTTTCTAGTGGAAACAACCTGTGTACATTCTAGGGTAAACACTCAGCAAGAAGATAATTCAGAAAATGGTTACAAAGGGAGTTAAGGGCGTAAAAGGCACAAATACTAACTAAAGTTGACTCTGCTCAAGTCTCCTTTTGTCTTAACATTTCCTATGTTCTTAAGTCTAACTGCCCTTTCTGAAAGCTTGCAAGGGAACTTAATCTTCATATGAGGGGTTTGGGGACTCTTTAGTAAGCGACTCTGATTACACAGAATTACATATATTATGTGTGTGATCTGGACCATGCCTCCTTTTGGATTTAGCCGAGGTCCTTTCCCTCATTTCCCTGGGGATTATGGATTAAAACTGAATGGCTTCTCAGTGGGGAAACCTCGGTATTTTATCTACCGGGTCTCAAAGCTGCTATTTGTGGCTCTTTGTGGCTTGATGGGTGACGCCTGAAATCAGAGTACAGATCCCGGAAAGAGCACAGCCTTGCTATGTGAAAGGCACCTGCACAGCTACCAAATTTGTTAATTTGCATATTGGATGGATTCTCAAAATGAGAATGAATTTCTAATAACAATTCTCATTGGATCAGTCACTTAATTCTGGGCGGAGTCCCACAAAACAGTATTTATTTGATCCATACAGTCTTGCAAATGGCATTACCTGCATGTATTATTTTAGCCTTAAGTAACTCCAACTGGGAAGTATAACTCACATTTGTTATTTTATTAAACCGCAATTTAAAACAAAAACAAAAACTAAACTTATTTTTAGACCACCCAATCATACAATTGGCCTTCTATGACTGACAATGTACACCAAGTACCATTTATTAATACTTAGTCCCTTTAGAGTGTTCTTAAAAAATAAATCTGCATGTTTTTTTCATTTTCTGTGTTCTTAGGGAAATTAAGCTTTTGCATATAAAGAATCAGGCTAGATGTTGTCTCAGATTGGCCTCTCTAAGCCACAGTGATGTCTCTAATAGTGCAGCCATGCTGTACTTGTTCTCCATTTCTTATCTTTCTTATGAGGCCACTTCTAAGACATAAAACGTCTATCTCTAAGGCTTTGACTGAGTGAAGAAGACAGCACAAATAGCCTTTAGATTAGAATGGCTTCCCGAGAAAGAAGTTTATAAATTTGATTATTGGCTGGATTCTCAAAATTTTAATGAGAGGAAGGACCAATATTTTCCTAAATGAAATTATTCTTCCCAGAGCTCTAGGTCTGTATCTAGATCTCGTTCCAGTTGTACTTCAGTTCCTCATATCATCATGTGTCTGAAAGGAGAGCTTAACACAGTATTTTAAATCTCTTTTACTCTCAGTAGCAACTTGGTGCTATTTCCATTATTCCTGTTATGGAAATAAATGAGACAAGTCCCAGAAATTGATTTTATGCTTAAAATACGTAGATTAATGGTCAGGATATTACTGCCAATCAGGAAAGGGAGTGGAAAGGAACTCAGAGGAAAGGAAAAGACACAGTATCTTTTGTCTTTTGTTCTGAGATGGAAATAAACTGTCTCTAGTCCAGATAAGGCTCCTTTTGATCTTCCCCATGGAATAAGGAGAAACAATTGGCTGTTTTGCATTTGCTGTTTAAAATTCAAAGTGAAGTCCACATCAAACCGATTATCGACAGGCATTAGATCTGTCAAACGGACACACGGGTGACCTTCTCGTTGCTATATCTATCTGTGTTCCTAAAACGGTCAAAATTCCCCACAGCAGTCAGGAAATGAAGTCGGTGATTAGAATTCTGTGTTTCCTGATGGTGACCCTGTGGTTATGACCGTTGGACAGAAGAGTCTAATTTATTATCATAATGTTAGGGGGAGCACATAGTCCTCTTTGCATTGTAGAAAAGGTCATGGGTATAGGAAATATGATTTAGAATTTTCTGTGAAGTTTATTATTCAGCCATAAATAGTACATAGGCATCTATCTTCATCTTCACCTTGTTATGGATCAGAAGGAAATGTGATATATAGTACTTGGAAATTTGGGGGCTTTACTACTATGTAGCTCAAGGTTAGAACTTACTCAACATTACTCATTTTTAACCTTTGATTGGTTTGTTCCTTTCTTACAGATGAATCAACTATGTTCAGTGAAAGATACTATCCTGAATGTAATACTGTGGGGTTTTGTTGTTGTTTTTGCTTTGGAGTTTGGATATTCAGGGATTTAAATCCTGGCTTTCTTGTTGAATTACATATGAGAACGTGGGAAAATTATTTAATCTCTCAAATGTGAATGTTTTTGTAAAATGGGGAAATAATTCCTATCTTGTAAGGTTTTATCATTTGTAACTTTAGAGCTAATATGGATAAAATATCTCAAAATATTGCCTGGCTTAAAGTAGAAATTCACTAAAGAACAGCTTTTTTTCCTAATAAAAACCACTATTGGTCAAGTGAGGGGGTACTTAGGTTTCAGTTCACCCTTGAGCCTTAGAACCTGCTCTGTGGTTTTGGCCAAGTCTTAATCTTTGGAAACTCAGTTTTCCCATCTGAAAAATAAAAGAGGTGGTCTAAATCAGGACTTTGTTTTTTAAAAAGTCTGCAGGTGTTATTGCCTTTTATTACGTTCTGAAAGAGATTAAGAACATGGAAGAGAGCCTGAGCCCAGTGGCTCTAGTCTGTAATCCCAGCATTTTGGGAGGCCAAGGTGGGGGGGTTGTTTAAGGTCAAGGGGTTTGAGAGCAGCATGGGCAACATAGAAATACCTCATCTAAAAAAAAAAAAGCCAGATGCGGTGGCTCATGCCTGTAGTTCCAGTTAGCTACTGTGGAGGCTGAGATGGGAGGATCACTTGAGTCTGGGAGGTCAAGGTGGCGGTGAGCTGTGATCACCCTGTGGCACTCCAGCCTGGCAACAGAGCAAGACCTTGTCTCAAAAAAATAAAAAAATAAAAAAAATTAGAGGAATATTTCATGCTTTAGGTCCCCTGAGCTCGAAAATTCTGTGATTTATGAAATAAAGCTAATTTCAAGTTTATTTAGCATATAATTTTTTGGCTAATTGTTAAGACATGCTATACTAGAAAAGGCCGCTGATGTATACTAAAATTCTTTAGAGATGGAGATGTTATGATGGATACATTTCTATATGTTCTTTAATATTTGAAGAGCCAAAGAGTTCTTGATGCAGTAATTACAATAGAACTCTTATTTAAAATGCAGTCACAATCATTGAGAAGAAAATCCATTAAACACTCTTTCATAGCAACTAGAAATTAATAGTAGTCTTCTGAATTGAACATTAGTAACATATAAATGGCATACATTACTTATCTCAGAAAAGCACTTTGAAAATGTGTTTCCGGGCCGGGCGCGGTGGCTCACGCCTGTAATCCCAGCACTTTGCGGGGCCAAGGTGGGCGGATCATGAGGTCAGGAAATCGAGACCATCCTGGCCAACACGGTGAAACCCCGTCCCTACTAAAAATACAAAAAATTAGCTGGGCATGGTGGCGGGCACCTGTAGTCCCAGCTAGTCGGGAGGCTGAGGCAGGAGAATGGCGTGAACCCGGGAGGCGGAGCTTGCAGTGAGCCGAGATCGCGCCACTGCACTCCAGCCTGGGCGACAGAGCAAGACTCCATCTCAAAAAAAAAAAAAAAAAAAAAGTTTCTGTATAATGTGTGTTGCAGAAAATGTGAGCTAACATTATTTTCCAGACATCTAATGCTAGAAGAATAGAGTCACTTAGGGTGTCTGGTGAGAAGAATGGAAGAGGTGTTCTCAGTCGTGGGCTTTTAACCTGGGTAGTTAGCCTAAAGGTCTAACCTTGCATGATCTTGCTCAAAAGTATTGAAATCCTCAAGAGACCACTTTGCGACTGAGGGTCACCAAAGCTCTGTGATTTAAGAACTATAACTCATGTTATGTTTACTGATTATCAGAAGATGGTATGTGGAGCTATCTCATAAATTGCTGAATCAGGGAGAGAAACTAAATTGCTAAACTGATCAAAGATTTGGTAATCTTAAAGTGCAGGAGAAAAAAAGGGAATACCTCCTCCCCTCTAGTTGCAATTAGAGATTTGGGCAAGAAAGAAAGAAAGAGTTGCTACTGAATTAACGTGTCACGGGTTTTGATTAAGGACTAAGTGCAATTTTCAGGAATGTTATGATGTATGCCATTTAGGCTGTGTCAACCTGTTTGTTCTTATTCTCAACTCATATGATTAAAAAAAATTCTAATAGACACAGAGTCACTAGGGACCGAAATAACTCACTGAGATTCTGTAGGTGCCCTACTTCCTTTTACTTATTTAGTGACAGGGTCTTGCTCTGTCACTCAGACTGGAGTGCTGTCACCCAGACTGGAGTGCATAGCTCACTGCAGCTTCAAACTCCTGGGCTCAAGCAATCCTCCTGTCTCAGCCTCATGAGTAGCTGGGACTACAGGTGCGTGCCACCATGCCCCACTAATTTTTTATTTTCTTTTTTGTAGAGAAACAAGGGTTGTCCAGGCTGGTCTCAAACTCCTGGCCTCAAGCAATCCTCCCTCCTCGACCTCCCAAAGTGCTGGGATTACAGGTGTGAACCACCACGGCCGGCCCACACTTCCTTTTAAAAAGTAGTTTACACAGAGGAGAAAGTGGACTTCTATGTACAGCTGAACATATAACATCTAATCAAGGCCTTGCGGAGGGTATAGCTAGAGTACTTGGAGGCTCAAAACCCTTGGGGACGTCAGTGTTTCCAGTGTAGGCAATGCCCCAGGTGAGGGTCAATTGGAGGGAGAAGGGAAGAGAGGTTTGGTTCTAAAGTGAATTC